>NC_000011.10:64222043-64525074 GCF_000001405.40 Homo sapiens | reverse complement strand
AATCACAAGCCCTGGGTGGTGACCTGTGCTTCTGACCAATCACCTCTAAGAGGTCCCCACGACCTCTTCCTCGGGTTCAATTCATTGGCTAGGACTGCTCACAGAATTCGGGGAGACACTTACTTACAGTTATAGTTTATTGTGAAGATTAGAAAGGACACAGATGAACTGCGAGATGGAGGGGGCACATGGGGCAGGGCTGTGAGGGGGGCCGCGGAGATTCCACACCCTCCCTGGGCGCCATTCTCGGGACACCACCACGTGTTCAGCAACCCGGAAGCTCTCCAAACCCAGTCCTTTTGGGTTTTATGGAAGCTTCACTTTGTAGGCAGAATTGATTGCATCATTGGCCATTGGTGATTAACTCAACCTTCGGCCCCTCTCCGCTCCCTGGAGGTTGGGAGGTGGGGCTGGCTAGTCCTGCCTTGGTCTTTCTGGTGACCAGTCCCATCCTAAGGCTACCTAGGGGCCCCCAACCACCAGTCATCTGATGAGCATACTAAAGGCACTCTTACCACGCCAGAGATTCCAAGGGTTTTAGAGGCTGTGTGCCAAGAACCAGGAGCAGAGACCAAATATAGATTTCTTATGGTATGGTAATATCACAAGTGTCATTCTGTATACCACCCTCTGCCACCCACCTCACTCAGTTGGGCTCCCTGAGGCACATTGTGCTCTCCACCTTCTCCTGTGGGGTCAAGTGGGGTGTGGTTTAAATGGATCATCCAGTCCTGCTGGGGGAGGTTGGGTGTGTCACACCCCCCACAGGCGGAATGCAAGCCCTGTGTGAAAACAGCCACATCCAGGAATTCTAGCTTTGGTTTGGTTTTTCCTGCACAAGTACCCCTGAGGCACAATATTCTCTCAGGGCACTGCAATGCTACAGCGGTTCAGACTGGAGCTCCTGCCTTCACACCCAGCCCAAGGTAATCACGATTGCTCTAAGTCACTCAGGACAGTCCAGTTACCCACTTTTCCAGCTTTCCCTACAATTGGAGGAAGCAGAATACACCTTGGCTCTGGCCAGCAAGGCATGAACAGAAGTCGGCTGGGGCTCTAGGAAACCTCGCCCTCCCGATGAAAGGGCAGATGCTGCTGGCACACTTCGCTCCGTTGTCCCAAGAGCAGAGGAGAGGCCTGGTGCTACAGTGGCCATCTGTACCCAGGAGGTGACAGACATGGTTATGGCATGGATGGAAAGAGAGAAGGGGAGGGTGTGGTCCCTGGTGGCACCATTAGGTGACTGAACCAATGCCAGAAATTGTCCATTCTGGATTCACAGTTACACATGAAAAAGTGACCCACCACCTGTCTAAGGCGTAGCTGGTTTGGGGTTCTTTTTCTCCTACTTGCAGCCAAACACACTCCTACTGATTCCATGCATGGATGAACAGCCGGTCAGTGGAACAGAACCGCCTGCCCAGAAATAATGGATGTGTCATACTCAGTGGGCAAGAGCAGGAGCGTCTTCAGAAGTAGAACCAGGACTATTCACTGGCCATATGGGGGAGGAAAGTTGGATTCATATCTCACTCCACACACAAAAATAGATTGCACATGTGTCAAAGGAGGGGAAAAATGAACTGCAAAGACCTAGAAGAAAACAAAACTAAATATTTATAAATAGATATAATAAATAAAGATAAAGTACCAATCAAAAGCAGACTACATGGGCGTTAGGAGGGCACAGTAGGATGTGCCCTGCCCCACATCACAGTGATTTTATCCTACATTAATATGACCCTCCCACTACAAATTTCTACCTGCTCCCAACTCCCAAATTAATTCCCCCAAAGTTCCGGGGGTGGAAAGAGGCAAGAAGTACTTTAATTGTTTGGAACATGCTAGCACGGAAACCACAGTTCAATTTGTTCTGCAACAGCAAATGACTTTTTTTGTGACAGAAGCTAAAAGCAAAGAGAAACCACAAGGAGTTCTGCTTCCTACCATATCAAGGACTTAATATTATGAAAATAATAGCAACAACAACGAAAACGAAGCCTGTAAACATGCTAGATTAAATGCCACAGACATTCTTTGAAATGCATAGCTGGGCTTGCAAGAACGTAAAAGTACTCCATGGAACAAACAGGGAAATGGAAGAGAAAGCCTGGGCAATTAGGAGCAAATGGTTTTTGTGGAATTGAACAGAGGTCTTGGTTTTAAGATCCCCATGGGGATGGGAAATAAGGCCTGGAGCCCACGGGAAGGGAGGAGATGAAATGACAGCCCCCTCCTACCTGTAAGCCTGGAACCCTTGAGAGGCTGCTTCCTTCATGAAAGGTGGGCTAGAACAATCCCACCTACAGCAGATGGTCAAGTCTCTGCATGGCCAGCTGGGAAGGCTTGCCCGGCTGTGGCCAAATACGAGAGAAGAGACTACGGAGAAGACGAGAGGGAAGAGAGGGAGGGGAACTGCAGGTTCCTGCTAACGTGCACCTACAAACCTGGGAGCACATGCCTGGGGGTGGATGGAGTGTGCTGGGCAAGATTAGGGGTGGAATAGTAGGCCAGGAGGGGGAGAATTTACCAATGAAGGGGCACCGTCCCGTGACTCAGGAGTCTTCATCATGACAAGGGCAGCTTGAGCTGTGCCTAATGCTTTACTAGGCTGCCATCTTGAGATTTAGCAACAATGGCCTGCAGTAGATGAGGAAGAAATGCTGGAGTTACCTTGGCAGATTTTGATCAAGAAAGGGATCAAGTGGCTCAGAAGGTGCACGTGTTACAATGAAGTTATGATGGAAGACTGGAGAACTTACTCCCTGTGTATGTTCCCAGGGAGCGCCAGAGGACTCTGCTTGTGAAGACTGTAAGACATGCACCAGTGAAGGAAGCCCCGGCGGCGTTGCCAAATCCGGTTGTGGTCATCATCTGCAGTACAGGATTGATGACGGGAGGCTGCTATAGAACTGGCCTCCCTAGTGTCCACGGAGAAGAGAGGATCCCAAAACGGCAGAGACCATGTAGCACTCTTAACCCTCAGAGGCAAGATGATGCCATTACCAAAATGTGCAATGAGGGTGGAAAGGTCACCAGGAGCCTGACATTCAGGGCTCTGTGGTAACGAATAATAGGCTGTGTTCTGGCCGGGCGCAGTGGCTCATGTCTGTAATTCCAGCACTTTGGGAGGCAGAGGCGGGCAGATCATGAGGTCAAGAGATCGAGACCATCCTGGCCAACATGGTGAAACCCCATCTCTACTAAAAATACAAAAATTTCCTGAGCGTGGTGGTGCATGTCTGTAATCCTAGCTACTCGGGAGGCTGAGGCAGGAGAATCGCTCGAACCCGGGAGGTGGAGGTTGCAGTGAGCTGAGATTGCGCCACTGCACTCCAGCCTGGCGACAGAGCGAGACTCCATCTAAAAAATAAAACAAAACAAAAAAAGACTGTGTTCTCTCTAGAGGCAGGGTAGGTGGGCAGCCAGTGTGCTTATTTGACTTATGTAACCAAAAAAGGATAAGAATGTGTGAGCAGAAGGCTGAGGCCAGCCACTTCAATGGAAACATTATTATCTCTTCGCCAACTTCTAGGTTCGTGCTAGTTCTCAGACTCAGAGCCTGCGGATTGAAGGGAAGAAAGGTCCTCTTGAGGAAGGATCCTGAAAGCCCACACAGTAGGATTCTCCCAATCCCTCTGCTCTGCTTATTTATCAGAATAGCTTTTATAGTGGGGAAGGAGGATGCCCAGATTTCTCAAGGACTGATGGATACGTGTCAGAATTGACACTGGTCCCAGAGAACCCAAAATACCATCGTGACCGCCCCCATTAGAGTGGGGTCTACAGAAGCCACGTGATAAATGAAGTTCTGGCCCAAGTCTACCTTTCAGGAAGCCAGTGAGTCTGGAGAACCATCTATGGCCATTTCTTTAGTCTCTGAGCACATGTTTAGGCTGGAGACACTTACAAGATGGAAAATCAGAAGCAATACTAAGTCTGAGCATCATGACAGAGATGAGTGTCACCCTTATTCACTTAGAGGATGCAGAGAATGTGGTCCCTAATATATCCCTCTTTAATTCACCAGTATGGCCCTTGAAAAAGTCATCTGAATTGTAGCAGATGATGATGGACTCTTGTAAACCCAACCGCATGGGAGCCCCAAGTGCTGCTGTTGTGCCATGTACAATGTCTTCAGTAGAACAGATCAGCACAGCCTTGGAATTCGGTGTAAAGCTGTTGATCTGGTGTGTGTACCCTCTCAAACCCTATCAGGAAGATGTATCTAAACTGATTTGCACTTACCTGGAATAGCAGCAGTACACATTTACAGGGACCTTAATCATCTGGACATCCCACAGAACATCACATAGGGATGCTACACTGAAGATGCCATGCTAATCAGACCTGGTAAGCAGGAAGTGGAACATACCCTACATGCCCTTGTAAGGCACCCATGCATTGCAGAGAGTGGGGGATAAGCCCTAGAGTGGTTCAGGGGTCTGCTATCTCAATAAAGATCCAGGGGTCCATCCTGGGTAATATAGCAAGACCCCATGTCTAAAAAAAATTTTTTAAGTAGCTGGGCGTGGTGGTGCACACCTGTGGTTCCAGCTACTTGGGAGGCTGAGGCAGGAGGATCACTTGAGCCCAGGAGGTCAAGACCAGCTTGGACAACATAGAGAGACCCCAATTCTACGAAAAATTTTTAAAATTAGCTGGGCATGGTAGCGTGCACCTGTGATCCCAGCTACTCCAGAGGCTGAGGTGGGAGGATCCCTTGAGCCTGGGAAGTCGAGGCTGTAGTAAGCTATGATCACGCCAATGCACTCCAGCCTGGGGAGCAGAGCAAGACTCAAAAAAAACAAAAAAATCCAGTGGTGTGGGTCATTCTGAGACATTCCCTTCAAAGTAAAGGATGAGTTACGTCATCTTGTATTTTCCACCACTAAGGAAAAGGCACAGACCTTGGTAAGCCTCTTGGGACTTTGGAGATGATCTCTTGTCATGGCACACTTGGGAATACTGCTCCAACCTCTTTATGAGATGACTTGGAGACTGCCGGTTTTGTTGGATCTGAGAGCAAGAAATGTCTCTCTCTCTAGAAGGTTCAGGTGCCAGATAAGTAACTCTGCCACTTGGGCTGCATCTTTTCACATCCTGCGGTGCCAGAGCTGCCCGTGGCAGAGAGGGATGCTGTGGAAAGCCTGGAAAGCATCTGGAAAGAATAGATAGGGGATTCACGGTGTGGACGCAAGAACCAGGCAATACTGTCAGCAGCAGAGAATTGGTCACCACTGAAAAGTAGTTCATAGACAGACACTCATGCCTGGCACAGGACAACAGTGACTCCGTGGTAGAGCTGCCCATCTTGAGCTGGGCATCACCAGGCTTGCCAAGCCGGAGTGTTTGGCCGTAATGAAAACAATCCACTGAATGATGAAAATGGAACAGTCAGGAACATGCCTGAGCAGGTCCTAATGGTATAAACAGGTTACACAAACAGGTGGCCCAGACCCCATGTCACCCATCTCTGGCATCCCTGCCTCTCTCAGCTCACACCTCACCTGGCTAACAGAGGCTGGGATCCTCTGGGTCTCATTCATTGGCTTGATATATTGGAGCAAATAAAAAACTTGATATATTGGCTTGATATATTGGAGCAAATAAAAAATGGATGCTGCCTCACTCCAAGCCGATCCAGCCAGCAGAGCTTCAGGCAAGCACCTGGTTATCCACTTAGGTAAGGATGTACACAGACTCTGGGCAATGGTAACTGATTGGGCTGGTTCGTCAGAGACTTGGAAGGAACGAGATTGGAAGATCAGAAAAAAATGGCCTGGGAAAGAGTGATGGGAATGAGCAAATGGGAGTGAGCACATTGTCTTACGTCAACACCACCGCTGGCCCCCTGAAATTATCAACTGCAGATGAAGCACTGAAGAACCAGATAGAAAAGGTGACTCAGCCAGCAGAGCTCAACCAGCCTCTGCCCACAGCCACCTCTGCACTTGCACAATGAGTGTGTGCAAGGAGTCGCCACGGTGGTGGGTTGGGAGACCGTGCATGGGTTCACTCCATCTGTGCCTGGAGTCCGGCTCACAAAGGCTGATCCAGCTTCGGCTAAACACCTGCGTGTTCAGGAGCAGAGACTAACGCTAGGCCCTCATTATGGTGTTGTCCCTGGAGGAGACCAACTCGCTATGTGACAGCAGCTTGGTTGCATTTAATCCCCCTACACTGGAGGGAGCAGCAAGCCCTCTGGACCAGAATTGACCCCTACTCCAGGTAGGATTTTACCTTGCCTGACTGCAGGGCTCCAGCTAGTACTCTGGACTCATGTGAGTCTGCGGACTCACGGGGTGTCTAATTTGCCATTATGGGATTGCAAATAACATGGCCTTGAACTGAGAGAATCAAATTACAGCAAAATAGTTGTGATGATGGGCAGGACAAGAGGACCCACTAGGGTCTCCATCTAAGCATCTGCCGGCTGGGTGGAATGTTTGGGGAAGAAACCAGTTTGGGGAAGACACCCTAGGGCACTGGGACACTGAGTTGGAAGGTGCGATCTATACTCTGAACCAATGGCCACCCCATGGTGTGTGTCCCTTATAGTGAGAGGACCCAAGGGGTGAAAGTAGGGGTGGAAGTAGGGGCGGAAGCTCTCACCATCATCCGCAGGACTCCCTGGCGAATTTGTTTCCCATCTCCACGACTTCAAGCTCTGCTTGGACTAGGGGTGTTATTTCCCACTGGGGAAGGGGAATGCTTCAATGGGGACATGTTAAGGACTCCAGTTAGTAGGTGGCATTTGGTGAGGGTGG
Source organism: Homo sapiens (assembly GCF_000001405.40). Classification (NCBI taxonomy): domain Eukaryota; kingdom Metazoa; phylum Chordata; class Mammalia; order Primates; family Hominidae; genus Homo; species Homo sapiens. The sequence continues at coordinate 64,518,304 of NC_000011.10, read as the reverse complement.
TTGTATGCTGCCATGTAATAGGAGCAGGAAGGACTTTGTCTGAAGACTGAGGAATTCGCTGCAGCCCCTCCTGGTGCTTGGTATGGTAATAAGTCTGAACGGGCAACTGCAGCAGCCATGGCCTCGCCAGGTGTGGTGACCAGGGGCTCAGACACCTCAGGGATGAAGTCTGCATCACCCCACCAGGCAAGCCACCAAGACCAGCAGAAGTACAGGCCCAGGGTGCAGGGAATCCAGAATAGTTGGTAGAGGAAAGAGATAATGAATGTCAGGTATGGCCCTGGGACCCACTGAGGCGGCAGGGACTGCACTTCGTCCTGCTAATATTCCGGTTGTATTATTTTTTCTTTTTTTGAGAAAGGGTCTCACTCTGTCGCCCAGGCTGCAGGAATGCAGTGGCACAATCACAGCTCACTGCAGCCTCCACCTACTGTGCTCAAGTGATCCTCTCACCTCAGCCTCCCAAGTAGCTGGGACTACAGGTGTGCACCACCATGCCCAGCTAATTGTTTTATTTATTTAGTGGAGACTGGGGTCTCACTATGTTGCCCAGGTTGGTCTTGAGTTCTTGGGCTCAAGTGATCCTCCTGCCCCAGGCTTCCAAAGTGCTGGCACTACAGGCATGAACCACCACACCTGACCTGCCTGTTATTTTTTAGAAATTGTGATAGGCCACAACCTTGAAGAAGCAGGGATGGAGCAGAGTCAACTTTACTTGCAGCATGAGTGCATCTGAGCTGTTCAAGGGGTGAATGATGGCAGATGTTCCCTTAGGTGCCCCACCCAAGTCTCCTCAGCCCTCACTGTTCCAGTGCATGCTGGTGGCATCCTTTTCAAGTGTCTGTCTAAAGGCTCTGTCCCAATGCACAGGGAGAAGACTGGAAGTGCCTGGAAATTAATTCCCCTGCAACATCCTTGCAACATCAGCCAATGATGAAAAGAAGTTTGAAAATAAATACCTCCAGACTGGAATAGCCCCCATGCATGTTCTGCACTGTCTCCAGAGTTCCTCTGCTTTGCATTTCTGTGGCTCACATTGACACTTGCTTGGTAATGCATCCATGGACTTCCTTTACTTTCCTCTTTGGACTTTTACTGTATAGTGTCTACATTCCATTTCACCAATTCTCTCTTCAACTGTGTTCAGTATGTTCTGCAGTCTATACATTGAGTCTTTAATATCAATAATAATACTTTCAGTTCTAGGAATTCTATTAGCTTTTTAAAAAATGTGCCTAGTTATGTTTGAAGTCTCTTATATCTTACTCATGTTTTCAATCCATCTTTTATTTCTTTTAACAGTATAAATATAGTCTGTTTAAAATGTTACATTCATTAATTCTGATACAGGAGCCTTTGGGCTCTGTTTTAATTTTAGCTATCCTAGAAGCTGACCCTGACACAAGTATTTGTGTACAACTTGATTGTTTTCGTAGTCTTAGGAAGCACTAATAGGAGAATGGAGAAGTTTATAGAGGAAAAAAGAAGAAGAAATTATGGGCAAATGAACGGGTGTGATGTGGATAATTCTTAACAAGATGTATAGACTGTATAAAATAGTAATATATTACTTATTTTGAAAGATTAAAAAAACAAACTAAAGCTAAGGCAACTTTTTGTAGTCACTGTAATTCGCCAATGAAATATAAGATGGAATAAGGTGAACTGAAGTGTTCAAACGTCATTGAATTGTTTTTCATAAGCAAGTGGGTCCGTTATTAAACTATTGTCTCATTTCCAAACCAGCCTTCTGTATTCGGTTTTGTGATACTGGTGATGGAACTCTGCAAACATTTCTGCTTTGACAGTCACATCCCTGTTAGGGTCTGCCAATAGGGGGCACTAGAGAGAGACTAACAAGCTGGGCTGGAAGAAGGGACCTGCTCCTTCCAGTTGGCTTCCTGTTCTGATGAGCATCCTCCCAGCAGAGCTGCTTCACCCTGGCTGCAGCAGTTCCTGCAGCTGTGAAATCCAGCTTGCAGTTTTTTAGACATTTGCAAACCAATTTCGTCTTGTCCCCTCTCTATCCCACAGATACACCAGCACCCACCAGAGTTTCTCCTCAGAAGTCTGGGTCCCAAGCCCAGGGGGCCTCTCCTTTAATTACTAAGCTTTAATAATTCCAGCTTCTTCCCTTTGCTCCCTCAGCCCTGGGGGTGGCAGCTGCTGCCTGTGGTTGCTAATCCCTTGATAGGCTACATTTCTCTTTTTTACCATTTTATTTACCTAGTTAACAACTGTTTATCTAGTTAACAATTATTTATATTAAATCCTCTCTGTTCAGATAACTGGGGTGGTTCCTGTCTCTTGACTGTGTGCTAACTGATGCAGCTTCAGAAATTAATAAATTTCTAAAACCTGGAAGAATACAATACTGGAAAAATAAAAACAGTACTTCTTAAAATAAAAGCACTGAGTGAACATAGCATAATTATTTTATAAGATTGAAATGGGAGAAGCCCTTACCAACTATAACACAAAGTTAAGAGGCACAAAAGAAATAAAAAATGAAGAAATTTGACTATATAAATTAAAACATTTCTGGGCTGGGTGCAGTGGCTTACACCCAGTACTTTGGGAGGCTGAGGTGGGAGGATTACTTGAGCTGAGGAGTTTGAGACCAGCCTGGGCAACATAATGACACCTGTCTCTACAAATAATGTTTTCTAAATTAGCTGGGCATTGTGATGTGCACCTGTGGTCCCAGTTATTCAGGAGACTGAGGTAGGAGGATCACCTGAGCCCAAGAAGTCAAGACTGCAGTGAGCCATGATTGTGCCACAGCACTCCAGCCTGGGTGACAGAGATCCTGTATAAAAAAAAAAAAAAATCTGAATGGGAAAAGATGACTTTAAGTAAAATCAAAAAATAGTCAAATTGGAGAAAATAAGTATAATTAATCAAAGACTAATATGTAAAGAACTTCTATAAATAAACAAGAAAGAGGCTAATCACCAAAAGAAAAAATGTCAAAGGGGATGAGTAAACTATTCATTTAAAAAATACAAATAACTTTTTAAAAATAACCTTTTATATTTTGGAATAATTTTAGATTTACAGAAAAATTACAATGATAATACAAAGATTTTCTGTACACCTTTCTTTCAGTTCCCCTAATGCTAACATCTTACATAATAACTGTGGTGTATTTGTCAAAATTAAGGTATTAGCATTAGCACATTCATTACTATTAACCAAATTATAAGCTTTGTTCATATTCTACTAATTTTTCTCAATAATTCCCTTCTCTGTCCCAGGCTCATATCTAGAGTGCCACTCACATGTATGTGTCTCTTTGGTGTCCCCTGGTTGGTGACAGTATCTCCATCTGTCTTTGTTTATCATAACCTCGACAGTTTTGAAGAGTAGTGGTCGGGTATCTCATAGAATGTCCCTCAGTTTAGGATTGTCTGACTTTTTTCATGACTAGAGAGGGGATATGAGTTTAAGGACTCCCTTCATCACATCACAGCAGGGGGTGTGTGTGGTACTCACGTGGCATCATTGGTGATGTTGACCATCATCACGTGGTTTGGATGGTGTCTGCAGTTTCCTCCACGGTAAAGCTACTGTTGTTGCTTCCCATCTTCTATTCTTAGGAAGCCAATCACTAAATCCAGCCCACACTCAAGGGGAGGGGAATTAAACTTCACCATCTACGGGGTGGATATCTACATATATTTTTGGGATTCTTCTATAAGGAAGATTTGTCCCTTCTCCCCCCATTTATTTATTTATTCAATCATTTATTTATATGTGGACTGACGTATATGTATTTATATGTGGACTTATGTATATTTATTTATATGTGAGCTGATGGATATTTATTTATATGTGGACTGATGTATATTTATTTATATGTGGACTGATGTATATTTATTTATATGTGGACTGATGTATATTTATTTATATGCGGACTGATGTATATTTATTTATATGTGGACTGATGTATATTATATGTGGACTGACGTATATTTATTTATGTGTGAACTGATGTATATTTATTTATATGCAGGCTGATGTATATTCATTTATATGTGGACTGATGTATATTTATTTATACGTGGACTGATGTATATTTATTTAATACGTTGGGCTATGGTCCAGCACTACATTATTTATTTTGCTGCTCAAGTGGTTCTTAGGCTGCTGGGAGCCTTTGCAGTTGGTTCCCATGAGCCTTTGACATAACCCCGTCACTGTGGGTTGTTCTGGTTTTGTTGTGTTTTGAGTGCTTCCTTGCTTCCAACACTGAAAGATGCTCCAGGCTGATCTTGTATATTCCCTGCCCCAGACCTAGAATCAGCCATTTCTCCAAGGATCCCCAGTTCCTTTCACTGGAGAATGGCATTTCAAAACCAAGATCTGTATAAATTAATTTAAAACATGAAAATATGCTCAACCTCACTTACAATAACAGAAATATCAATAAAGCTAGAATGATACTGTTATTCACTAATAGATCAACAAAGAACCAAGATTTGATAGGACGTTCTGTTGGAAAAGCCAGGAGGTAAATAGGACCTCTCACTCTACGCTGCTCTAGGTAGATACGGCACAGCCTCAATGGAAAGCATTTGGCAACAGCTGTCAAAATTGATATGCACATATGCTTTGATTTAGCAACTCCACTTCTACCGACCTGCTTGCTGCCTATGAAATAATGGGTAAAAGAAAGGGTTTTTATTGCAATGTTGTTTATAAATTTCAAAGAACTATAAACAACATAAATATATATCAATAGAGAACCTGACATTTAGATTATGGTTCATCAAATTCAATGGAATACAATGCATTTGTAAAAACAAATGAGGAAGCTCTTCACATACTGATGCCAAATGATCTCTAAGACATTTTTCTAAGGACAAGCTAAAACACACTTCAGAGCTGAAGGAGTAAGGTTTGTCTAGGAAAAGCAATATATGCATATTTACACACATACATAATATATATTTCTATATTCATATATACACATTTTACTTTGTGTGCATAAACTTTACCTGGATGGACTCTCAGCTAATGAATAATAGTAATTGCCTATGGGTGGCTGGCTGGGGGACAGGAGTAGAAAAAATAGTTTTCCTTGTAGACTTTTTATGCGTTTTGAATATTGAAACTTTTGAATGTATTACCTACCCTTTCATCAAAAAACAAATTAACACTATGCCTCTAAGTCATTCATGAGTCCATTGAGAAATCATAGTGGAAATCTCTAATACTCAGAACTGAATGGTGGTGAAAATACTACCCACCAAAACTTGTGGGATGCCACCAAAGCAATACTTGTAGGGAAATTCGTAACCATAATGTTCCTATTTGCGAAGAAAATAGGCTGAAAATGGATGGATGTTCCAAATGAGGTCACTGAAAGAGAGGTGGCTCAGGTGGGTTTTTGTTTGTTTGTTTGTTTTAAGACAGGGTCTCACTCTGTCGCCCGGGCTAGAGTGCAGTGCCGTGATCGTAGCTCACTGCAGCCTCAAACTCTTTTGCTCAAATGATCCTCCTGCCTCAGCCTCCTGAATAGCTGGGACTACAGGTTTGTGTCACCATACCCAGCCAATTTTTTAATTTTTTGTAGACATGGTGTCTCACTATGTTACCCAGGCTGGTCTCAAACTCTTGGCCTCAAGTGATCCTCCCTTGACCTCCCAAACCACTGGGATTCCAGGCGTGAGCCACCACACCCAGCCAATAATGTTTAATTCTTTCTCCTAATGGTTTAAAGAGCTTAAAGTGTCCTTGGAGGTCAACAGGTACAACCCGCTCATTTCCTGGTTGGAGAACTGAAGCCAGAAGAAGTCTGGAGACTTCAGTTCTGTCCCCACCTTCTCCTGATCTTTGAAGGTGTCTCTCACTCCTCCTGTGCTCAGTGGCACCCCATAGCAAGTGGTACCAGATGCTCCATGGAAGGGTCTGAGTTGCTGCACATTTAGGAATATGGCCAATGGGTTGATGTGCATTTCTGGCTGTGAGGAAACTGTGTATTCCGAGTACAGTGTGAGCTCAAGCTGGGATGCGAGTTTCTAGCAAATGATGGGGCAGGCCTAGAACCCTGTTTCCTGGAGGAACAGGGGGCAGGAGCGGGCAGGAGAGGCTGATGCATTAACAAGTGCAGGTTGCACTGCAGGGAGCAGGACCCCGAGACCATAACCGACATCAGCCTCTGTGCTCAGCCCAGGCCCCTGCCTAGCCTGGCCACATCCGGGTCCTAGAAAGACCGTGAGTAACAACCTGAAAGAGCTATTCTTGCAAAACCTTCCAGGCACCTAGGGCTTAATGGCATAGCCTGAGCCCTTCAGCAAACCATAGAGATGAGCCTTCTCCCCACCTGCCACCCAGGGCACTCGGAGACAGATGCCAGGGACTGGGCCAAGGGAAGGGACGGCTTTGTCCAGCAAAGACCAGCGCTGGTGTGCCAAGCATCAGCAGTGTTGGTGCCCATCAGATGCCAGCTGGCAGCTGCCTGGGCCTGAGCACAGGTGGGACACCCACAGATATATGGGGGGGATTGAGAGAACCTTGCAGGGAGCCGAGACCCCAACTGAGGATGGGGGCAATACCATAGCAGGCATTACCAGATTATTATTGGTGCCCATAGGCTGGAGATGCCTGGGGCTGCACCAGCTGTACAAGCAAACACTGGAAGCATATGAAGCACGTAGAGCAGCCTCCGAGCCCAGCTCAATCCCCTACCCAGCAACTCCAGTCTCATGAAAACACAGGGCAATTGAGACACGCTCAAAGAATAAAGAATACGACGCTTGTGATTTACAGTAGAGACAAGTTCACACATAAAAGGTTACTTTAGTCCTGAATTTAAAATTTACGCTTGTTCCAAAAAGTACACATTTGCAAGTATTTTCACTTTAGAATATTATAAAAACAATTTCCCGAGGACTTAAAGATTTCTATTTTGAATTACAGAAGGCAAAGTGGAAGAAGTTGCTCTCTGAAAATTGAAATACATGTCAGCTGTGTGATGCGAACAGCGGAGACCCGATTTTATGGGCAAAACAGATTTCTTAAGGCAATATCAAAAGGCCTGAGTTGAGTAGTTACTTTGAATGTTCTAATTTCAAAGAAATTTGCCTCCTCTTTACTGAAATTCTTTGCACTGTCACAGCACACTGGCACAAAAACGCTTCCCTACACGCACGTTCAGCAATTTTTTTGTTGTTGTTTGATGCCTGTAAATCTGCCAAACCGATTGCCAGAAGTTGATGGAGCCACTGTCCACTGTCGCCTGGGATCAGCAGGACACCAAAACTCCAGGTCAGAGAGCGGGCTGGGTGCATCTCAGGGAGAGCTCCCTCCCAGGGACAGGGAGAGGGTCAGCACGCACATCCACAGACAGCCAGGCGGTGCCTCTCCAGGGTCCTGAGAACTCTCTCAAAAGCAGAAATAGTGTGATGGTTGGCCAGGCCATCTCTGCTGCCTAATGCGCCCCTTGGGGTCCCTGCAATAGAAACAAGGGGTTCCCTTTCAGAAATGTCCTGGACAAACCATTTCATTCATGGTTGCAAGAAGCTCCAGGAAACCACTCTCCCAAATGCCAAACCACCCGCAGTGGAGGACAGCACGAACAAAAGGATGTCTCCAGTGTGGGTCAGCTCCTCTGTCTCACCAGGAATCCTCAGACCCGGCTGGTCAGGGTGCAAACTGGCTTCTCGGTTTGGAGAACAGTTTGGTCCTATCTGGTAAAATAAAAATGTACATATCCTCCTCCCTCAGTTCACTTCCAGACTCTGTCCCCTAGAGATGCCCCCACTCCCAACACACACAGACACACAATGTTCATGATTTAGTTTTAAAAAATGGAAACATCTGAGTGCCCATCAATAGGAGAGTGTGATGCCTTCAAAGCATGGAATATTACACAGCCAGGAAGACAAATGAACTAAAGCTGCTGGCCTCTGCATGGATGCATCTCAAAAACATACAGCTGCATGAAACAGGCCCATGTCTGTATCAAATAATGCTATTCCTATAAAATTCAAGAACGTACAAGACTATACCTATACCATATGTTGTTTTTGAGGACCTTCATGTGTAGTGAAAGCTGCAATCCTGCCTGGGGCGGGTACAGCAGGCACCCCTCATAGGGGCCTGCCGAGCCCCCCAAGCATGGAAATAAAGGAAAATCTTGAATTCTTTCAAGGGAAATTCCCCACACCTAGCTAGCCTTGAGAAGCAAACGAGCAACTTCATTGATAAACAAGACCGTAACGGTAGCTTAAAGCGATGCCTGCCCAAATAAGTTAGTGCCACGAGAGGTTTGGGTTCCTACAGAAATGAAATATAACATCCTGATCTATGTCCCTGAGTTGTTTTTCAGAAGCCCAGATCCCCACTAAATGGCAAATGCCATCCACTGCCATGTAGACTTAGACCAGGGGGACTGAGGCCTAAATTCTGACTGCTGTTTTTTGTTCTAAATTTCTTCCTGAGGGCACAGCCACAGGCCAGACCTTAACATTTCTTTCTACTGACCTCAAGTGTTTTTTGTTTTGTTTTGTTTTGTTTTTCTTTTTTTGAGACAGAGTTTCGCTCTTGTTGCCCAGGCAGGAGTGCAATGGTGCAATCTGGGCTCACCAAAACGTCCGCCTCCTGGGTTCAAGTGATTCTCCTGCACCAGCCTCCCGAGTAGCTGGGATTACAGGCATGTGCCACCACGCCCGCTAATTTTGTATTTTTAGTAGAGATGGGGTTTCTCCATGTTGGTCGGGCTGGTCTCGAACTCCTGACCTCAGGTGATCCGCCTGCCTCGGCCTCCCAAAGTGCTGGGATTACAGGCGTGAGCCACTGTGCCCAGCCCTGACCCCAAGTTTTTAGACAAAGCTTTGCTTCCTTAACCAATCACAAATCAAAAATCTTTGAATCCGCCTATGACCTGTAAGCCTCTGCTTCAAGATATTCCTCCTCTTTAGGCCAAACCAAGGTAGAACCTCCATGTACTGATACGATTTTGCTTGTAACTTCTGCTTTCCTGAAATTTACCGCTGCCTTTACAACCCTCGTGTGTAGGCCATCAGGGAGGTCGGAAGCTCCCGACTGGCACCCAGTAAACAAACACCCTCCTTCCTCTCACCTCAAAACCTCAGTGTAGATATTTGGCTTACTGTGCTGGGCTAGCGGACTCCAGTTCAGTTCGGTAACAATGACGCTAATAGGGTAGAGCAAATCCCTTGGGAAGGAAGGGGATGGGGGCCAGAGGACACATGGGGGTTTCAGGATAAGTCAGGGGAAGTCAGAACCTCTGGTTTCTTAGGTAGGGTGACAGCACATGGATATTCCTTGTATTCATTATCTCCTCCTCCTCCTCCTCCTCCTCTTCTCCTTCTCCTTCTTCTTCAGATGCAGTCTCTCTCCGTCGCCCAGGCTAGAGTACAGTGGCACAATATCGGCTCACTGCAACCTCTGCCTCCCAGGTTCAAGCAATTCTCCTGTCTCAGCCTCCCGAGTAGCTGGGATTACAGGCATGCACCACCACGCCTGGCTGATTTTTGTTTTTTCTTGTTTTTTGTTTTTTCGGGGGGGTTTTTTGAGATGGAGTCTCGCTCTGTCACCCAGGCTGGAGTGCAGTGGCACAATCTCAGCTCACTGCAAGCTCCGCCTCCTGGGTTCACGCCATTCTCCTGCCTCAGCCTCCTACGTAGCTGGGACTACAGGCGCCCATCACCACAGCTGGCTAATTTTTTGTATTTTTAGTAGAGACGGGGTTTCACTGTGTTAGCCAGGATGGTCTCGATCTCCTGACCTCGTGATCTGCCCACCTCAGCCTCCCATGGTGGCGGGATTACAGGCGTAAGCCACCACGCCCAGCCCATGCTTGTTTCTTCTTATGCATAAATTTTTTTTTGCTTGAAATATTCCACTGAGAAACAACAGCCAAAGGGTGGAAACCACCCAAAAGTCCATCGATGGATGAACAGATAAACATGATGTGTGAAAATGTTGCCTCAATTTGTTTTAAGCAGGAAAGGGGAGACACACAGTCAAGGAAATGATCACCGTGGAGGAGGAAACTTGTCCTCACCCTAGAAACAGGATCACAGCCGGCCACACAGGGCCACGTGGGGAAGCACCAGGGCTGTCAGGTGAGAGAGTGGCCGTGGCCCTTACTGGGGTTTTCATGGGATAGAATAGGCGTGGCGGGGCAGGTGTGCTAAGTTTCAATTGGGTGGTTTGAATAATTTTGGTGGACTCTGGAGTATAGGGCCAGTCCCTACTTGTCCAGGACCTGACCCTGGGGTGACTTAGGCCGGGGGATTATTGGCTCAGTGTGTGAGTTTGTGATAAAGGAGGAGGCTGGGAATGTGGGCTCTGGGTTGGTTGGTCTGCATGTCAAAGGTGTGTGCAGCAAACTATCGCAAGGACAAAAAAACCAAACACTGCATGTTCTCACTTATAGGTGGGAATTGAACAATGAGAACACATGGACACAGGAAGGGGAACATCACACACCGGGGCCTGTTGTGCGGTGGGGGGAGCAGGTAGGGATAGCATTAGGAGATATACCTAATGTTAAATGACAAGTTAATGGGTGCAGCACACCAATATGGCACAAGTATACATATGTAACTAACCTGCACGTTGTGCACATGTACCCTAAAACTTAAAGTATAATTTTAAAAAAAAAGGTGTGTTGCAGGCAGGGGAGTCATTTGCTAGCTTCAGGACTTAGCTAGCTCTGGAGGGGGCAGACTCTCCACGATCAAGGATCCCAATGCCAGAGCAACGAGAACACAGAAAGTGAGAAAACATTGTCAATACAGGGGCATCTACAGATGATAGAATATTATTCAACCTTAAAAAGGAAAGAAATTCAGGCTGCAACGCAGATGAATCTTGAAGACATTATGCAAAGTGAAACAAGCCAGTCACAAAAGGACAAATCTGTATAATTCCACACATAGGAAGTGCCTGGAGTATCCAAATTTATACAGACAGAAAGAATAGCATTTCCCAGGGGTTGGAGAAGGAGGAGCAGAGAGTACTTAATGGACAGAGCTTCAGTTTGGAAAGATGAAGCATTCTGGAGCTGGGTGGTGGCAATGGCTGCACAGCCATGTCAATGGACTAAATGCCGCTGAATCATACGTTTAAAAATGGTAAAATGGTACATTTGATGCTATGTATATTTTACCACCATAAAAACAATACTAAATGTTAAAAGACTTCTTTCCCATGCAAAAATGTATGTGATTCCTTTTGGCTATTCTCAGCTGACTCTTTTACATGTACGTGGGATATTTTTGGGAAGTCCTAAATTTTTCAGAATATATTAGATAAAACACACTGATAAAAACAGAACAAAGCCATAAAATAACAGAGGTTTGCAGGAGTTGTTTATAAGGTCAAGGTGACCAGTGTGAGTCAGGAACCAGAAGCAGAGGCTGAGGTTTTCATGCCTTTTTCCTGACAATAGGGACTTCTGGGACCCCAGGTAATGAAGGGGTGGCCCTTCTGCAGCTCTGTACTGAACACACAGAGATGCACACAGCAGCAGTGCACGACTCCATGTAGTCTGAACACTGCATGCCAGGGCTGGGCTCTGCTCCAGGGAGTCTCGAGGTGGACTCAGGCTTGGTTGCAGCCCTCAGGCAAGAAAGCACACACCGTTGCTTTGCCGAGGGATATTCAAAAAACACAGACCGTGTTAAGGGGTCCAAGGGGAGACACAGAGCAGGAGAAAAGGGCTCCTCTAGGAGAGAGGGCTGGAAAGAGCCTCGAGGAGAAGGCACTTTTGAAAGGACCTGCACGTCTACAGCCGTACCACCCTGAATGCGCCTAATTTCATCTGTCTGGTCTCAGAAAGGACCACTGAGAGGTGGAGGCTGGCTCCAGCAATGGGGACAAGAGACGACTGCGGACTGGGTCACGTGGCATCTGCACGGTCATGGGGCAGGATCGCACACAGCCAACTCAGGGAGGGTGAACAGTTAGGTCTCAAGGCGGAGAACAGCTCAGCAAGAGATGAAGCTGGACTAACAAATTGGTGGGAATGAAAGGGACCCCATGAACAAGCTCCTGAGGCTAGAAAGACCTCGTCAGAGCAGAGCCGTCAGTGGCGTGACACTCCAATTCTCCATCAAGCATGGGAAGAGGAAGCTGAGGGCCCCATGGTGGATAAAACCCACATAATCACACAAATAGATGCAAACCTCCAACTGCGGCCATTGCTACAGAGCAGAAGTTCAGGAGAACAAGGTTGACAGGGGGCTTTGGTGCGGCCAGGGAGGTCAGAGACACTCCCTCAGGAAGCGATGCATGAGCCAAGGGCCTCAGCATGAGTAGAAATTAACAAGTGAGGAGGAGGCCAGCAAGTTCCCAGCAGAAGGGATGGCATATGCCAAGGCCCTGTAGATGGTCTCATGGCTTCAGACGCCGGCCACACCCAGTGACTCCCAGAAGCGCACCTCCAGCCCAACCCCACCCCACACACCCCCAGACCCCAGAATCATACCAATGGTCTACCTGATGTTGCCACTGGAATGTTTAACGGGCACTTCACACTCAAGGAGTCCAGTCCTTGATCCCCCGAACCCCTGCTGCCCCTTATCTTTCCATCTCAATCATGGTGGCACCATCCACCTGGCAGCAGATAACCTGATGTGATCCTTAAAGTCTCCCTTTTCTTCTCCCTGCCACTTTAACAAGATACCCCTGAAAGCCAGGAGTGTCTGGGAGCCTGCAGCTGGCAGCAGCCCTCAGAGAGCCCAGCTGCCTTGCTTCGAGGTGGGATGAGCTCTGGGACATCGTTAAGGCTGCAGAGTGTCCTGCGGGATCTGGCTGGGGCTCAGCTCTCACCTGAGACTGCACCTTTGTGTGGTTTCCTCCTGATCCTGCTTCCCCCTGTGAGGAAGGTTACTCTACCACTTGCACAAGCCGGGTGAGACAGAACGCTCACACTGTAAATTAAGAAAAGCAACTTTATTATTCGCGGATCGGCATCAGGGGACAGCAGGAGCCTAGGGTCCCTGCTCCCCGACAAGGCTCAGGCAAGCTGGCCAGGGTGGGTAGAGTCCATCTGCACATGCCCTAGGCAGCACCACAGCCAAGGGACGCCAAAAGATGCTCCACTCTAGGTTTTATACCTAGGGGAAGTTGACTCACTGAGCACAAGTGTTGCAGGACATCTTGTTCTAGGAGGGACAGGGAGAGACCTTGGACTGTTCCAGCCAGTTCCTTCTTATCTCAAGTTGTTGCACTCCCAGCACAATCAACAGTTATTCTGAAAATGACAAGCAAGAAAGTGGGGAAGAGCTGGGTGGCCAAGGCCATCTGGGATTTGTCCTGCATGGCTACTGTCCTTCCCATTTGTCCTGCAAACACTTTAATAAATCCTTTGCACATGAGTCCTATCTCCTGGTTTGCCTCTGTGACAATCTAAAAACCCCTCATCTGATCTATTACCAAATCTTATGCTCTGTCTCTGAGATATTTCTTGAATCTGTCCACTTCTTCCCATCTCCATGGCCAGCACCCTGATGCAGAGAACTATCAGTGAACAACTGCCATGGCCTCCTCAAGGGTCTCACTGACTTCTCTCTTCCTCCTCCACATTCCCCACTGAATCATGCCACTCCCTGAAAGAAACCACTGCTCTCACTGTAGGTCAGCCAGGATGGTCTGCCTAGGTTCCTCTGATACCCCCTCTGCCATGGCAGTATCTGGCCTGTCACAGTCATTGCAGCATCCCCTGGCTCAGTGCCTGGAAAGAATGAATTCAGTCTAAATGACCCTTAAAGAAGTACCCTTTAATTCCCTCTAAAGCTGAGGGGGCCGGAGCCTGCATAGAGGGTCAGTGCAGAGTAGGCCAGCCACCAGGCCAGCTTCCTTGGAGTGCATGACCCCCTGGTCCATATTTGGTTGAAAGAGGAGGGTGATGTGATGGTTAAGTTTATGTGTCAACTTGACTGGGCCACAGGATGCCCAGGTAGCTGGCTAAGCGTCATTTCCGGGTGTTTACATAAAGGTGTTTCCAGAAGAGATGAGCATTTGAATCGGTGGGCTGAGGATAGCAGATAGTCTCCCTAATGTGGGCGGGCAACATGCAACCTGTTAAGGGCCTGATGAGAACAAAAAGGCAAAGGAAGGTTGAATTCCCTCCCTGCCTGACTGCTCGAGCATCAATCTTCTGTCCTTGGTGCTCCTGGTTCTCATACCTTCAGACTCAGACTGGAATCTGCACCATTGACCATCAAGCTCTCAGGCCTTCGAACTACACCACCAGCTCTCCTGGGTCTCCAGCTTCTGGGTTTCCAGCTCTACCAGGTCTCCAGCTTCTGGGACTTCAGCTCTCCTGGGTCTCTAGCTCTCCTGGGTCTCTGGCACTCCTGGGTCTCCAGCTTCTGGGTTTCAAGCTCTACCAGGTCTCCAGCTTCTGGGTTTTCAGCTCTTCTGGGTCTCCCACTCTTCAGGGTCTCCAGCTTTCCTGGGTCTCCAGCTTGCAAACAACAGACTGTGGGACCTCTTGGCCTCCATAATCACATGAGCCAGTACCTTCTAATACATCTTTCAGCTAGATGATAGGCAGTTAGATAGAGATACAGATCTAGATCATACATATAGATATTGCGATAGTTAATTTTTGGTGTCAACCTGACAAAATTATGAAATATGAAACAGCTGGTAAAGCATAATTTCTGGGTATGTCTGGGGATGTTTCTGGAAGAGACTTGCATTTGAATCAGTAAGCTGAGTAAGGAACATCCACCCTTACTCAGTGTGCAGGGAGCACCATCCACTTGGCTGAAGGCCAGGACAGACAAAAAGGCTTGGGAGGGCTCAATTTGCTCGCTCTCTTTCTCCTGGAACTGGGACATCCTTCTTCTCCTGCCCTTGAACATCACAACTCTAGGTTCTCTGACCTTTGGACTCTGAGACTTGCACCAGCAGATCCCCGTTTCTCAGGCCTCTGGCTCCTACTGAAAGTTACCCCATTGGCCCCCTGGTTCTCAGACCTTTGTGCCTGGACTGAGTCACGCTACCAGCTTCCCTGCTTCTCCTGTTTGCAGATGGCATATTGCAGGGCTTCTCAACTTTTGATTACCTGAGCCAGTTCCCCTAATAACGCTCCTCTCATATCTATCTATCTATCTATCATCTATCTATCTATTTTTATCCATCTATCCCTCTATATATATTATGTACACATCTATCATCTATCTATATCCCATTGGTTCTGTTTCTCTGGAAAATCCTGATTAATATAGACATAGACATAGACGCAGACATAGACACTGACACAGACACAGATAGACACAGACACAGACACAGACAGACACAGACACAGACATAGACACAGACACAGACCTAGATGCAGACGCAGATGCAGACAAACGCAGACGCAGACACAGACACAGACGCAGACAGATACAGACGCAGACACAGACACAGACAGACACAGACACAGACCCAGACCTAGATGCAGACGCAGATGCAGACGCAGACAGACGCAGACGCAGACAGACGCAGACGCAGACACAGACACAGACACAGACACAGACCCAGATCCAGACGCGGACGCAGACGCAGACAGACACAAACGCACATGCAGACGCAGGTGCAGGCGCAGAGGCAGACATAGACAGAGATGGAGACGCAGACACAGACATAGACATACACACAGATCTCCCATGTTGGTTCTGTTTCTCTGGAGAACTGTAATGTGATGGGGAAGGTCCATTAAGCCCCTGAAAATTGCATGCAACATTTCACCTGCATGTACACTCTGTGTCTTCTACTGTCCAATAGCTTCCATCAGGTCTTCAAAGGGCTCACAATCTTCCATATAAAAGGAAGTAATTCACATTGGAGAGGGTCAAGAAAAATGTCCCATCATGTGTTGGCCAGTATTGATCTCTAGGCAGAGAAATTAGAATGTTATTTGATATATTTGGTTTTTAGTTATTTATTCATTTATTCAACTAAAATGTAGTGACCACTAAAACATGCCTGGCTCTGTGGTGTTCACTGCAATTGAGACTATGAGCTCTGGTGTCAGACTGCCTGGGTTCAAATCCTGGCACTGACATTTACTGGCTGTGTGATCTTAGGCGAGTTGCTTAGCCTTTCTGTGCCTAGGGTTCCTCATTTGTAAAATGGGTTTATTAAAACTTTCTCCAAGGGTTGTTGGAAAAATGTAAAGTACTTGAAACAATGTCTGGCGCAGAGTAAGTACTCAATAAATATCAGCCAGGCTTCATTAATTTAATTCATCAAGTAAAAATGTACTGAGCACCTGGTATATGACAGGCACTGTTCCAGGTGCTTGGGATATGCCTGTGAAGAAAATGGTAAAAATCTCTATGCCCGTGCAGCTGACGTAGACATAGACACAGACATAGACACAGTCCAATCGGGGAGACAGGAATAGAAAATAACCATAATCCAGAAGTAAATTACCTAGCTTGCAGGAAGGTGGTAAATGCTATAGGAATAAGACTAAGCAGAGTAACCGGGAGGGGGATCAGGAGTGGTCGGAAGTGCAATTACAAGTGGGGCGGTCAAGGTCAGTGTCGTCAAGAAGGTCGTGTATGAGTAAAGACTCAGTGGTGAGGGAGTCAGCCATACAGATTCTGGGAATATGCATTCCAGCAGAGGAAAGAGCCAGTGCAAAGGTCGCAAGGTGGGAGGTGTGGTCGATGAAAAGCAGGAGGACAGATGGGAGGTGGCAGAGTCATGGGTAGTAGGAGGAGACGAGGTTAGCATTCCACACCCCAGTGCACTGGACAGATAGCAAAACGGAAACAAAGATAGAATTGACTTTTTCCCTTTTTATATGTTTTCCAAATTTTCTTTAATAGGCATTTTTAAGCTGGGCAAGGTGGCTCACTCCTATAATCCCAATACTTTCAGAGGCTGAAGCGAGAGGATCGCTTGAGGTCAGGAGTTCAAGACCAGCCTGGGCAACAGAGGGAGACCCCTGTCTCTACAAAAAAGTTTAAAAATTAGCCAGTCATAGTGGAGCATGTCTGTGGTCCCAGCTATTTGTGAGGCTGAGGTGGGAGGATGGCTTGAGCCTGGGAGTTTGAGGCTGCAGTGAACCAAGATTTTGCCCCGGTACTCCAGCCTGGGTGACAGAGTAAGACCCTGTTTCAAAAAAGAAAAAAAATTTATATATATATATGTCAAAGCTTGGTACGGAAATCTTTTTGCAATAAAAGAAGTTTTGGAGTTGTGGAACAAAACTTTCAATATCCTCTAATATCGTCCTTCACTTTAGCCTTTTCAGGAATTTAGGATCTGGGACACAGGGCATTATGTGGTGGGGGCTCCTGAGCAGCACAGGCTTCTGTCCTCTCTCCCTTACCCACAAGCAGGCCCAGCCGGCCCCGGGAGCCTTTAGGGCAAGGGTCCCCAGCCCCTGGGCCACAGACTGGTACCAGGCCACACAGCAGGAGACGAGCGGCTGGGGAGCTAGTGAAGCTTCATCTGTTCTTACGGCCGCTTCCCCGTTGCTCACGTGACCACCAGAGCGCCACTCAGGTCAGATTAGTGCCGGCGTTAGATTCTCACAGGAGCACGAACTCTGCTGTGAACCCCGCATGCAAGGGATCTAGGCTGTGCGCTCTTTATGAGAACCTGATGCCTGATGATCTGTCGCCGCCGTCGCATTGCAGGAAAACAAGGTCAGGGCTCCTACTGATTCTACATTATGGTGAGGGGTATAATTACTTCCTTATATATTACAACGTAATAATAATAGAAATAAAGTGCACAATAAATGAAATGCCCTTGAATCATCCTGAAACCACCCCCACCCCCATCCCCCACCATCTGGAAAATTTGCCTTCCTCCAAACCAGTCCCTGGTGCTAGAAATGTTGGGGAGCGCCGCTTTAAGAGCCTCACAAGAGATCAGTCTTGAAGACGCAGTTGGGGTCACGTGACCCGAGTCCGCCCATCACAGGGCTGGCCCCGGGTGCCATTTTGAGAGCGTGCTCCTTCCTTAACTCCTCCTGGTGGGGCTAGAATTTGGTGGATTGGGTGTTTATTTGATGAGGTCGCAGCATTTGGGTCTAATTTAAAACTTAGGATGTTCTTTAAATGTTTCATTTCTTCTTTGGTTCATTTCCATGATGCTATGCCACCAAAGGGGAGCCTCTAAGGGATTTTCCTTCCAAAATGTTGTATTTTGCTGGAATTTTGCAATTTCTTTGTTAAAGAATCCACCCACTCTTCCATTGCTCTGCATTCTTTCTGAAAGGACGTATACCTTGTGCGTCCAGTGAGACCTGAATCATTGTTAAAGTTGGCCAGAGACCAACAGCCTCAGGGGTGAGTATAGCTTGGGCACCCGCCCCCCCACCCAAAGCTCTGAAGACAGAGTGGGAGCTTCTTGTGGCCGCCCCCACCCCAACCGTCCTTCCTTTGTGGCGTCCTTCTGGTTTATTCTTCCACACACAGCACTTGTTCTTTCCTGTGACTGTTGGGACACTCGTAACCGTTTATTTCCTTGTTTATTATCTCTCTCCCCCACACACCCAGGCTGTACACTCTAGGAGGGCAGGACCCCATCCTCTGCTCCCCACACTGTGCACCGTGCCAGGCCTTTGCTATGGGTGTGTTTTATGAACAAATAAAGCGCATCTTCTCTCACTGGGGAAAGGTGAGGAAGCGATTCTTCCGCCTTTAATGGGGCCCTTCTCAGCCTTTCTCCCTTCACATTCTTCTTCAGCGAGCTGGGGAGACACCTGACCATAGACGGGGCTAAGATTCCCCATTCCAGGAGCTACTAAAGCCATCCCCAGGGTCGTGTTTGAAGAAAAAGCCAATGAGGACTGTTCTTTCCAAGGCTGTGGCCCACAGGGGTGGTGAGGCCAGCAGGCAGTCAGAGGAACAAGTGTCCACCCACAGTGCCAGCCCCAGCCCACACCCTAAACCAGGAGCCCTCAACACGGGCAGAACCCGGAATAGGTTTGGAGACTTCTGGAGGCATTTTGTATCACAGTGACTGGGTGAGGACACTGTTGGCATCCGCAAAAACTGGGGTGGGGACTTAAAATGTTCCACAGTGGGCAAGGTGGTCCCACACCACCAAGATTCATCCATATCCCGCACAACTTCTGAATGTCCACTGGACTGCATTTAAAATCATTTTAAATCATTTTAAAGTTATTCTGAAATGCTAAAGAAGTCTCATAATTTCAAAATTAAATTTTATTATAGTACTTTGTTTATAATCATTCAGCACCTAAAACCTAATATTATTTTACTATATATAAAAATATAATGTGTTATATTTTATATTATATATATTTTTAACTGAATCCTGAAGTTTTCAACTATCATGTGAAATGAGATTGTACTTTGTTTTGTTCCAATTTTTATCAAGACTTAGTCACCCATTTGGAAGACCATGTCTCCTAGTGGAGTTGTGCTTGGACATTTATCTATTATAATACAGATTACTTTATTTAAGTTATCTTTATTTCTTCTTTATTACTGTCAGAGAATTATATTGAGGTCTAAAAATGTATCTCTGAATTCCATTTCAGGACAGTAAAGAAGGAGCTACATAATCTTTGTGGTAGAATGGGATTGTGGGGCTGTTGGGTTGAGGATGGTTGCGGGAAGCAGGGTGTAGGGACTGCACAGATCCCAGTGGAATTTTCCACCTGGTCCTGATGGGTCATCCTCGTGCCTTCCCTCTGGTTCTACTCACCTTTCCAGGCTGAATCATTACCCCAGCTCCCCTCCCATTGGTGCCCACCTTTGTCACCAGTATGGTGGCCAAGTTGACTGCCTTTCCTCTTGTCCTATCTCCTTGCTTCTAAAGTTTAGTTTCTTATACATAGGCTCCAGAGTACATGGAGTGAAAATTATGCAATTTCACTTTCAAAATGAGGATTCGAAGGTAGCTCTTGAGCAGTGACCAGGGTATGGCTCCCTGACACCATGACTCAGTTTCCTCCATCCATGTGGTCTGGGCGAGGGTCACAGTGGGGCGGGGGCTGATGTGGTGCCTCTTGGAATTTCATCATCATGGCAGGGACAGTGGCTTCTCTGTGAGGCAGCCAAAGCTGCAATTACTTCCTCCTTCTCTTTATCCTACTTGGTATTTTCGGGCCTCTTGAATCTATGAGTATTAACTCATCTATGAGTATTAACATTAGTTCTTCCTCAAATCCAGGGAAATCTCAGCCATAATCTTTCCAAATGTTTCTGCACCATTTCCTCCAGCCACTCTTCTGAGGCTCTAATGAAACAGATTAGATCTTTTCATCTCTCTTCTGAGAGACAAGAGACAGAGAGGTTTTGTTTCTTCATGCTTTATTTTGCCAGGTTTATTCTGACCTATATTCCAGTTCACTAATTCTCTCTATACCTATGTATAATAAACTAATAATTGAATTCCTGTCTTAGGAATTAGGAATTCAGTGGAATTCCTAATTTTAGTTATTTTTTAGTTCTAGAATTTCTATTTGGTTCTTTGTCAAAGCTGCTATGTCAGGTATTGCTGCTGCTGCTTTTTTATTTTTGGCCAAAAAATTCAAGCATAGCATGTATTTTCTTGAACATAGTAAACATAATTATTCCATAGTCTACAGTTTTTATAGTATATTGAATATTGTGTCCCTCTGTTACTGTTTGTGCTGGTTCTTGCTCTAAGTGTCTCTTCATGCATCTGATTATTTTGGAATGTGTAGTTGATACCTTATTTTATTTTATTTTGTTTTATTTTATGTTATTTTGAGACAGAGTCTTGCTCTGTCTCCCAGGCTAGAGTTCAGTGACTCTATGTCTGCTCACTGCAACCCCCACCTTCCAGGTTCAAGCGATTCTCCTGCCTCAGCCTCCTGAGTAGCTGGGATTACAGGTGGCCACCACCACATCCGGCTAATTTTTGTATTTTTAGTAGAGATGGGGTTTCGCCATGTTGGCCAGGCTGGTCTCGAACTCCTGGCCTCAAGTGGTCCACCCACTTTGGCTTCCCAAAGTGCTGAGACTGCAAGTGTGAACCATCACGCCTGGCCTGATAACTATTTTAAAAATTAACTATAGAGGCCGGGTGCAGTGGCTCACGCCTGTAATCCCATAACTTTGGGAGGCTGAGGTGGGCAGATCACGAGGTCAGGAGAACGAGACCATCCTGGCCAACAAGGTGAAACCCTGTCTCCATTAAAATACAAAAAATTAGGCCAGGTGCGGTGGTTCATGCCTATAATCCCAGCACTTTGGGAGGCTGAGGCAGGTGGATCACGAGGTCAGGAGATTGAGACCATGCTGGCTAACACAGTGAAACCCCCTCTCTACTAAAAATTCAAAAAAATTAGCCGGGTGTGGTGGCGGGCGCCTGTAGTACCAGCTACTCGGGAGGCTGAGGCAGGAGAATGGCGTGAACCCGGGAGGCAGAGCTTGCAGTGAGCCAAGATCGCGCCACTGCACTCCAGCCTGGACAACAGAGTGAGACTTGGTCTCAAAAAAAAAAAAAAAAAATTGGCCGGGCGTGGTGGTGCGCACCTGTAGTCCCAGCTACTTGGGAGGCTGAGGCAGGGGTATCGTTTGAACCCGGGAGGCAGAGATTGCAGTAAGCCAAGATCAAGCCACTGCACTCCAGACTGGAAACAGAAGGGGACTCTGTCTAAAAAGAAAAAAAATTAATTGTAGAAAACACTTGAGACCTGAGGGATGTAATTCTCCTTTAAAGATAATATTTCTTTTCCTTTTCTTTTTTCCAGGTACTGAGGATAATAACGATCTAGAATCATCTCTTCTTCTTCTTCTTTTTTTTTTTGGAGACAGGGTCTCACTCTGTTGCCCAGGCTGGAGTGCAGGGTCATGATCAGGGCTCACTGCAGCCTCTACCTCCTCGGCTCAAGCAATCCTACTTCAGCCTCCCGAGTATCTGGGACCACAGGTGCACACCACTATGCCTGGCTAATTTTTTAAAAATATTTTTTGTAGAGACCAGGTCTCACCATGTTGTCCAGGCTGGTCTCAAACTCCTGGGCTCAAGTGATCCTCCCACCTGGGCCTCCCAAAGTGCTGGGATCACAGGCATGATTCCACCATGCCCAGTCTAGAATCACCTTAATATAAATTCAGGGCTTCAGATTTTCGGAGCTGTCCAGATGATGAAAAGCTAAGATTATTCTATTTCCTTCCGTGTAGCCCTTTGGGTCCTAGCCTAAAGTGGGATAGGGTTTACAGGTTCCCATCTGTGATCTTGTGAAATATATATTTGGTCTTTTCCTGGCACACAACTCTTAAAATTCTTGGAATTTTCAAAGTGATGAGTGTCTTTTGTAGCTAATGAATTCACTGATGGCTGACAGCCCCTATGTAGCTTCAGGATGGTGGCTGGTCACAAGAAAGACCAAAGCAGGATTATATGATTAGGACTTTCATCTTGTCCCCCACCAACCTCTGGGGAAGAGAGAGGGGCTGAAGGTTAAATGGCCAATGACCAATAATTTAATCAATCATGCCTATGTAATAAAGCTTCCATAAAAACCCAAAAGGGAACTACTACTCAGCCATAAAAAGGAATGAATTAATGGCATTCGCAGTGACTTGGATGAGTTTGGAGAAAATTATTCTAAGTGAAGTCACTCAGGAATGGAAAACCAAACATCGTATATTCTCACTGATATGTGGCAGCTAAGCTATGAGGACACAAAGGCATAAGAATGATACAATGGACTTTGGGGACCTGGGGGGATGGGTGGGGGGGGGGGCGTGGGATAAAAGACTGCAAATAGGGTGCAGTGTATACTGCTTGGGTGATGGGTACACCAAAATCTCACAAATCACCACTAAAGAACCTACTCATGTAACCAAACACCACCTGTTCCCCAATAACCTATGGAAAAATATAAAATAAATTAAAAAATTAAACAACCCAAAAGGACTTGGTTCTGGGAGCTTCTGGATAGCTGAACACGTGGAGGTTCCTGGAGGGTGTGCACCTGGAGAGGGAAACATGCCCCTTCCCCATACCTCGCCCTATGCATTTCTTCATCTGTATCCTTCGTAATATCCTTTGTAATAAACTGGTAAATGTAAATAAGTGTTTCCTTAAGTTCTGTAAGTCACTCCAGCAAATTAATCAAACCCAAAAAGGGGGTCATGGGAACCCCCATTTATAGCTGGTGGGTCAGAATTACAGGTGGAACAACCTGGGGCTTTCGATGAGCACTGGAAGTGGGGGCAGCCTTGTGGGACTGAGTGCTCAGCCTGTGGGATCTGACGCCGTCTCCAGGTAGACAGCGTCAGAATTGAATTGGAGGATGCCTAGCTGGTGTCCTCTGCAAAGTCGATTGATTGCTTGGTGTATGGGGGAAAAGATCAAGCAGATCAATCAAGAAGTATTGCTTGTTGATTATCGAGTGAGAGAATAGGAAAAGCACTTTTGTTGGTTTCTGGTTGTTCTTTTTCCTATGTCCTCAGACCACCCTTTCCCGGCACTCTGACTTTTGTCCCCTTAGCCTGAAGGGACTATGAAAAACAAGGCCCATCTTTTCAGGTATCTCATTGGGATGGGAAAATGTCCTCAGAGCAAAGCGGCTCTGAGTACTGAGAAGCACATGGCATCATGGAAGTAGGTTGGTTACCTAGAAAAGATTGATCAAATAAGCAAAATATTGAGGAAAATGAAAGCCAGGTTTCTCACTGCCGCAGAAGTTACAGACACGGAAAAGGAGGAAACTGGAATGAACGCTGTGTGTTAGATTATAATTGGAGGGATGAACTAATGGTTTTCAATACTTATGGACAGATACAGAAATGAATATAGATATAATTGTGTGTGTACGTACATGTGTTGCTAGCTTTATCCACCAAGAAGGCCTGGATGCAATAACACCCCAACAGCAATGAGCGTGCCCAGCACTCAAATCTTGGTTTCTAAATACCATTCTCCCCTAAAAGCAACCAGGATTTCTTGGGAAAATGGCTGATTCCAGGGTTGAGGTAGGAAAAGCACAAGATAAACCTATAACATCTTTTGTGCCAGAGAGTGAGCATGTGCTCAAAAATCGAAGGAGATGAATTAAAAGGACAGAGGAGCCAGCTCTAAAGGGGTCCCGCTTGTTCTGACATAATTTGAACACCAAACTAGATAATAATAACATAACCTATTGGATAAAACAGAAAGCCATATAGATACTAATGAATGAATACATAAATGAGGAGAAGAAAAAATTTTCTTACAACAAAATGCCAACTAACAAACGTGGAAGAAATTATGGAATTAGAAAAGTTACCATTTGGTAATCATCATAGCTGTTAGTAATCAGTAATTTAGCCAAGAAGTATCAGTAGATGTTAATGCTGATGAGTGAAAGTTTGAACAGGCAGGAATATTTACGTGGTTTCGAGGTACTTCTTTACAAAACATTTGTTAAATACAAAGGGAAAAATAATAACTTTACGGTGGAGACACCTGGCAGATACCATTTTAGCCAAGTGACCAAAGTCACAGTCAAAGCATGATGTCCCATCACCAGTCATAGGATAAATCTATGTTGTGTTCTCCCTGATAGGATACAATGGAAAGAACACAGCCCAACTGCTATGATAGTCCTGCCAAAAATGCGTAACCTGAATCTAATCAAAAGGAAGCATCAGACAATCCTGTACTTGAGGAACATTCTACAAAATAACTGATCTGTGCTTTTCAAAAGCGTCAGGTCATACAAATCAAGAAAAGACAGAGAAACTGTTAGATTGAAGGAGACTGAAGAGATATGTCAACTAAATACAACTTGTGACCCAAGATGAGATCTTGTTGGTACAAAGGATGTTCCTGAGAAATTGCCTAAACATGAATGCAGGATTCTGTTGATTAGATGGTAGTAGTGTGTGAGTGTTAATTTCCTGATGTTGATGTTGCCTTGCTATGCAGGAGACTGTCCTTGTTGTAGGATGTACACCCTAAAGAATTTGAGATAATGGGCATCAGGCTGGTAATTAATTCTCAAGTGGTTCAGAAGGGGAAAGCATGCTATTTGTACTCTTCTTGCAATTTTCTTTTTAAAATTCTTTTTATTTTATAGAGACGAGGTCTCACTATGTTGCCTAGGCTGGACTCGAACTCCCAAGCTCAAGTCATCCTCCCACCTCAGCCTCCCGAAATGCAAGGATTACAGGGGTGAGCTACCTCACCCAGCCCAAATTTCTACAAGTATAAAATCATTTCAAAATTAAAATTATCTTTAGCTCTAAAAATATGAAATAATAGCAAAGAAACTGGTTAAAACATAGACATCTAAATATTGACTATGAAGCAATAATAATAATGTCTAATTTTAGGGATTAAAAAAGATAAAAGTGAAGACAACAATAGTATGTGTAAGTTAGATGGGTTATATAAGAATTAAAGCATTGTAAAGTCCTTAATTAAGAGAATGAATATATTGATTAAATTTAGATTTTGTTAATTTAAGTATACATATAAAAAAATCTATGGTTAACACAGAAAGAATAAACAAACAATAGGAAAAGGAAAAAAGAAAAGTTAGTTCAAATGAAGGCAAGAAAGGGGAAGGAAGGAAAAAGCAGAACCAAAATAAGATGGTCACAAGAAGTCCAGGCAGATGGAAACAAAAAGCAAACATGAGTGGTAATATGAGAGAAAGTGGAATTGAGGGTTAAAGCACTAACTAGAAAAAAATGGACATTACATAATGATAAAAGCCACCATTTATGAAAAAAATAGATCTGTGTCCACAAAACAGTGCCGCAGGTAGACATAAACAAAAGCTATTCTAAATGGTAGGAGACTGCAGCCTGACCAACATGGTGAAACCCTATCCTACTAAAAATACAAAAATTAGCCAGGCATGGTGACACATAAATCCCAGCTACTTAGGATGCTGAGGCAGGAGAATCACTTGAACCCAGGAGGCAGAGGTTGCAGTGAGCCGAGTTCGAGCCACTGCACTCCAGCCTGGTTGACAGAGCGAGACTCCATCTCAGAAAAAAAAAAAAAGAGAAGAAAAGAAAAAAGAAATGGTAGGAGACTTTGATTAAAATATAGATCCATGACCAGGCACAGTGGCTCACGCCTGTAATCCCAGCATTTTGGGAGGCCAAGGCAAGTGGATCACCTGAGGTCGGGAGTTCAAGACCAGACTAACCAACATGGTGGAACACTGTCTCTACTAAAAATACAAAAATTAGCCAGATGTGGTGGCGGGTGCCTGTAGTCCCAGCTACCTGGGAGGCTGAGGCATGAGAATAGCTTGAACCCAGGAGGCCAAGTTGCAGTGAGCCGAGATCACGCCACTGCACTCCAGCCTGGGCAACAGACTGAGACCCTATCTCGGGGAAAAAAAAAGATGCACACACGTATATGTATGTGTATATATTTATGTATGTGTACATGTATACACATATCAATATGTGTAAACACACATATACAAGTATAGTGGGAAATGTCAATATATACAATAAGATACACTAAAATCTTCATACTTAATAGAAATATATCTTTATATCACCTGAGTAGGGATTCATTTTTTCAAGTCCATGGAACACATTCCTGTTCTTAGCCATAAAGAAATCCTTGAGGATGTCTTTATTTATTTTTTATTTTTATTTTATTTTTTGAGACAGAGTCTCACTCTGTCGCCCAGGCTGGAGTGCAGTGGCATAATCCTGGTTCACTGCAACCTCCACCTCCCAGGTTCAAGCGATTCTCCTGCCTCAGCTCCCAAGTAGCTGGGATTACAGGCATGCACCACTACACCCATCTAATTTTTGTATTTTTAGTAAAGATGGGGTCTCGTCATTTTGGCCAGGCTGGTCTCAAACTCCTGACCTCGAGTGATCCGTGCCCCCACCCCCCTCGGCCTCCCAAGGTGCTGGGATTGCAGGCGTAAGCCACCGTGCCGGGCCGAGAATATTTTTTAAACAGGCTTTACCAGCAAATCCTCTAAACATAATCCAAAACAATTGGGAATAATTACTACAGAGATAACCCAAAAATGTTTACAACTTCAAAATTAAGAGACACATTCCTAGCTTACACCTAGCTCAAATAGGAAGTTTTACAACGGCATATTATCCTGCAAGTAATAATAATAATAATAATAATAAAGGACGTTTCATCCCGAAATCTGTGTGAATCCTCAAAAACCAATACTCACAGGAAATGTTAGCACTTTAAAATGCTTTCGTTATTAAAGTAGGAAGATGAGCCAAGCACATCAAAAGAACGAATATGTTGTATTCATCCTAAGAAATTAGGAAAGGAAAACGAAATTATTCAAAAGAAACCAAGAAGAGTAACTGAACCAACACAAAAGCCACACTGATGGAAGGGAGGAGTGGGTCTGCGCCGCGGATGGGCGCTGTGATCAGATGGCGTTTCCTGAAGATGCTGCTCAAGCTGGAGAATGTTCTAGAGAGAGGGTGCAGTGGGTGCAGGAAACTACAGCCTGCTGTCACGGCCAGGCAAGCCACACGCCCATGATGGGGGTCGAGAAGAGCCCCAGTGGGCAGCGTGGGGACTGGGTGGCCACTGGGAAAGGGAGGCTGCTGCAGAATCAGATTCCGTGGGACTCGGGTGAGATCCCTCAGAGGACGCCCTCAGAGCCACAGGTGTTGTTCAGCAGTCCCTGATTGGCACACAGACGGCTGCAGGTGTGGAACAGGCCACTTGCGGAAGCACAGGAATGGAGGCCGGTTGGTTCATCTGAGCAACAGGAGGGTGTGTGCCCGCCGGCACGTGGTCTCCAAAAACGCAGTGTCCTGGCCACAGTGAATCTGAGAAGCAACCATCATTTATGAAAAGGCATGGCTCTCTGGATGCACTTATCAGACATCCACATGCGTAAGTCCAGAAACCGTCAGTGTGAGCACAAAGGAAGACGAAGGACCACGACGCCAGCATCAACACGCCACGGCGAGCTGACAGAAAGGACGAGGGACAGAGGAACAAGGAACTCCCCCGTGACCCCGAGACCTGGGGGCCTCAGGCCTGCTGTGAGTGGGTTTGGCCCCTCCTGCGTGGGAGGCAGGGGCAGTCCCTGCTGCACGGGGTGAACACAAGGTGAGCGTGTTGGGTTGGTCTCCATTGAGGCTGCTCAGAAGGGAGTTCCATTCATTCTTCCCCGGTAACATCCACAGGGTCCTTCCGCATCAGCACACAGCTCCCCACTGCGTGGTCCTGTTCTTGAACTGATGGCCTAACATCAACAAAGCCTCTGAGCCCTGAGACCCTCCTCTGGCTGGGAGCCACGGTATCCATGGCAACCATGGCTGACACAGAGGACGATGCGGACATCGTGGGAAACAAAGCCACATCTGAGTGAAACGCGCAGAGGTGCGGGTACCGGGGTACAGCGCGTGTGGGGCGCCCCCACGTGGTCAAGCAGGATAGAGGCGCATGCGTGTCCCGCAGGGAGTGTGGAAAACTGGCCCAAGCTGGAGTGTCCAGAGGACCATGCCTAAGGAAATGATTTTGTCACATTGTCTCTCGCAGCGCCCTGGCTTCTGGCAGTGACCCTCTTCATCCTGTACCTGTGCTGGGACCCTCTTCCTCCCGTGCCTGTGCGGGACCCTCTTCCTCCCGTGCCTGTGCGGGACCCTCTTCCTCCCGTGTCTGTGCGGGACCCTCTTCATCCCGTGTCTGTGCGGGACCCTCTTCATCTCGTGCCTGTGTGGGACCCTCTTCATCCCGTGCCTCTGTCTGACCCTCTTCATCCCGTGTCTGTGTGGGACTCTCTATTCTGTTGGGCCCAGGGAACACAGGGATGAGTTAGGCTCAGCAGCCCCTTCTTTCTAGGAGTGTATATGACATCCGAGTGAGTGTGTCTAGCTGTTGGAGTTACACCATTCAACTAGTGATTTAATATAATATTTTATGGTAAAACAAAAGCATACTATCTGTAGAGTGGAATGAATAATTTACAGGAATTTTTAAGGTCAAACAGAGACTTTCAAGGACTTTTACACCCAGAAGGGTCATTTTCCACCCCTTTGTACCCCCAGGGACCCGTATTTCCCTCTTCCGTGTTGGGGATGCTTCGGTGCAAATGTTTGAAAAGTATGTCCTGGCTCTAGAATCAGAAAGATTCTGCCTTTGACATATGAATTTGGAGGAGCACAAATGTTCGTCCATAGCATCATTTAATCTCTCTAAGCCTATTTCTCATCAAAAAAGTGGTGATTTAAGTCTATATACCCACAAGGCAAAGAAACCCGAAATGCATTCCTAAACTTCTTAGGCCTCTCGGATTACAGCTGATACTCATCATTGGCAATAATTATATTCTGTAAGGTCCCCTCAAAGACTGAACTAGAACTAGTGGATACTGAATTATTGCTTTTAGGGAAACTTGGGGTCAGGGTCCTGTGAGCCTCTGGTCACATTTTTTTTTTTTTTTTTTTTTTTTTAGACAAAGTCTGGCTCTTTCGCCCAGGCTGGAGTGAAGTGGTGCGATCTCGGCTCACTGCAACCTCTGCCCTCCAGGTTCAAGTGATTCTCCTGCCTCACCGTCCCAAGTAGCTGGGATTATAGGTACACACCACCACGTCTGGCTAATTTTTGTATGTTTAGTAAAGACGGGGTTTTGCCATGTTGGCCAGGCTGGTCTCGAACTCCTGACCTCAGGTGATTCACCCACCTCGGCCTCCCAAAGTGCTAGGATTACAGGCGTGAGCCACCATGCCCAGCCTCTGGTCACATTTATTAGTCAATGAATAAACAATTCTCCTTTATGTGTGTTTCTGTTTAAATATACATCATTTTGTGTCTATTGCTGATTAATTATCTCATGCCTGCACGAAGTGTATCTAACACATGTGTTTTCTCCATGGGGCAGGTTCTTGTGCTTAGAACAACAGATAGCACTTTAGTGCTATTCTGGAGCCAGGGCCATTTTAAACAAAATCACCTAGAAGAAACATGAAAATGCAAAACCATAGCACCAAATAGACTTCGAAAAAATGTGTTTATGACATAAGAGCTGAAGCAAGATGGCAGTTCCTTGTTCAGCCTCAACTGGGAACATACATTCAAAGCATTTTTTTTTTTTTTTTTTTTTGGCCACTGGGCCTGTCCATAAATGAACTCAAAAGGCCCTGACTGGCCGGGCGCGGTGGCTCACGCCTGTAATCCCAGCACTTTGGGAGGCCAAGGAGGGTGGATCACAGGGTCAGGAGATCAAGACCATCCTAGCTAACACAGTGAAACCCCATCTCTACTAAAAATACAAAAACAAAATCAGCTGGGTGCGGTGGCACACGCCTGTAGTCCCAGCTACTCGGGAGGCTGAGGCGGGAGAATGTCGTGAACTCAGGAGGCTGAGCTTGCGGTGAGCCAAGATCACGCCACTGCACTCCAGCCTGGGCAACAGAGCAAGATTCTGTCTCAGATTAAAAAAAAAAAAAGGCCCTGAGTGCTGATTTTGGATTTACAAATACATTTAAGCAAGTTGGCAAATTTGCAAATACAGAATCTGCATATAATGAGGGTGAGGATGAGCTGTCTGTGCAGCTCGGGTCCCTGTGACCCTGTGACTGGCTGTCATCTGTTTGGGTCACTGAACATTTTGCAGTTGTTGGATGTGGGGGCATGAGGGTGGTCTCATGGGGCTCAATCTGCCCCAGCCTCCTCTCAGTCTTGGCAAAGCCATGCTGGAACACTGAGAACTCGATTTTTCTTTTCTCTGAAAAAAATATTTCTACATTGGGGTGATCTTCAATCGCAGGTCTTCACTCTGCTATTTTCTCTCCAATGAGAAAAAAACGAAGTTCACCACTGGGGCCTGTGGCCATTCGTGGACCAGGGATATTGGTCCCCAATGCCTTGGAGAATCGTGGGTCTCCGATCAGGGCAGAGAGAGCATGCCAGCCATGTCCCTGCCCCCCACTCACCCACCCCCTGCCCAAGCTCCGGTCATCACTGCTCTCTGAGGGTGGCTGAGGCCCAGAGCTTCTTCTAAACAGCCCATTGTTCCTTCTTGCTTCTGGGACCCTCCTCTGCTAATTCCTCACAGCAGCACCAGCTACAAAATGTGTGGGTTCCGGTGCAAAATGAAAACACAGGCCTTTTATTCAGAAGTAGTATCAAGTTGGTGGTTGGAAAGCATTGGAACAAGCTTGGGCCCTTCTTAAGTGGCCGCACAGACCCATGAAGCCTGCCCTGCCTCAGAGCCCCAGGTCCTTTTCCTCCCCTCCTCCCACACCATCCTGGTGGTCCTTGCTGCCTTAGGCAGAGCCACGTGTCCATTTTGCGGGGCAGTGGCCCAGCTCTACCTACTAACGGCATTCCTGGCAGGAGGAGAACTATGAGTACTGGCCCAGTGGGCATAGCCCCAAAAAGGAGCTTAACCCATGATCTGGCCAAGTGCATCCACAGAGAGACTTGGGGTGGTCCCATGGGGCTCATGACTAAAGCTGTGCTCAAGGAGTCAGCCAGGTGGGGAAGGAGCATCCACGCAGTGCTGAAAACCCTGTGCAGGGTGCCTCAGGGTGAAGGGAGGTGGATTCGGCCAACAGATGTGTTGAGCTCTATGCATCTGCTGGTGCTGTCCATGGAGCTGGTAACTCAAAGATCAATAAGACATAGTCCCCTTAGAGGAACAGGAAGTCATTGGGAGGCACAAACCCATAAATGAATGATTACAACAAAATGTAATAATATCAACATGGAAGTGTGTACAGGAGGGGGTTCTGACTCCCTCCCTTCCCTCCCCATCCTGCCCTGGCCCCCAGAGGCCACTCCGCAGGTGGCAGATGGTGGACTTCTCAGCCTCCATAATTGCGTGAACCAATTCCCATAATAAATCTCCTCTTATGTCTCTATGTAGCCTATGGGTTCTGTTTCTCTGGAAAACTCTAATATGCCTCTGATACTCTATTTCTTTCAATCCTGAGCAGGAGCTGTTGGCTACAATGAAGTTTCCTCAGACATATACATGTGTGACTGTCACTGTAACCCATCACTCGCAGGGCTCCATGTGGCCCAGTCACTGCTTGATGTAGGACTGAAGGAAATGGCAGCTGGAATCCAGAAGCCACAATGATTCACAGAGAGCTTTGCCTAGAAGGCTACCCATAAATCCAGTGTAGGCTTCTCTTCCCCATCTCAAAGTTTCCCAGGCACAGAAGTTGCTGAAATCTCTCCACCTCTCCCCTCATTGATATCCCCCACCAACCAGGGGGAACCCCAAACCTTTCTGCAGCCAAAAATGACTCGGCCAGGCACGGTGGCTCACACCTGTAATCCCAGCACTTTGGGAGACCGAGGCGGGCAGATCACCTGAGGTTGGCATTTGAGACCAACCTGGCCAACATGGCGAAACCCCATCTCTACTAAAAATGAAAAAAAAAGATTAGCTGGGCCTGGTGGTGGGCACCTGTAATCCGAGCTACTCAGGAGGCTGAGGCATGAGAATTGCTTGAACCCAGGAGGTGGGAGTTGCAGTGAGGCAAGATCGTGCCGCCGCACTCCAGCCTGGGCACCAGAGTGACACTCTGTCTCAAAAAAAACTCTCGAGACATCTTTTCACAGGAACTGGACTGAGGACCTCATTGCCACCCATGGGACCCCAGGGAGCACGTAGTTCTCTCTCTGCTTTTCTTATGAGGATCGATGGTGGAGTTTCCGGTGAATGAAACTCTCTACCTGTTGCATCCACGTCAAAATAGGTAAGACAAAGAGGTGTTGCCTTGAGCCATGCGATTGGGCTGTTTTTGGATGATGGGACTATGAGTGAGTTTTCCCCTTCCGCTTTTTACCTCTCTGTACTTTCCATGTTTCCACCAGGGAGTGCCTTATTACAAAAATGATCAGAACTAGAAGACAAAAAAATAATCAAAAGGGAAATAATTAGGCTTGAATTGACATGTAAGATCCTATTATTGGCAATCAGGGATCAGGCTGGGAGTTCAGCTGGTGGGTGGCCATTCTTCGGTGCAACAACTATTTATTGGATGCCTTAACGAGGTGCGGGAGAGCTTGGGGTGAGAATGGACGAGATCTCTGTCTCGTGGAGCTTCCCTACCCGAGGCGCAGGCGGCCACCAGCCAAACTCCCAGACAGATGGAGGCGCCGCCCCACTGGGATTCCTCAACCAGGCGGTGAGTGTGGAATACGGGACCCAGCCTGGGGTAGGGCTCAGAGGCAGGAAGCATGGGAGGAAAGGGTGGGGAGGATGAAACACACAAATCCCAATCAAATACAGCAAAATGTTTGCAGTTGTCAAATCTGGGCTGTGAATTCTCTGCACTCTTCTATATGTTCAGATTCTTTTGCTTAGATTAAAAAGTGGGTGTGAGGTGATAGAATGGAGACAGCAGGAGCGGACGGCTCTGCTGAGGAGTTTGGCACTGAAAGGGAACCGAGAAATGGGTTGTGGCTGGAAAGGGTGGTCAAGGGAAAGACTGGAGTATTTTTTGTTTTGTTTTGTTTTTAATATTTTGTTTTGAGGTAGCAGAGGGGGAGAGACTGATACTGAGCGGGAGAGGAGGTCTGAGAGAAATGCTTCCTGCATTGTAACCTCAGAGGCATTCAAACCAGAGCAACTCCATCTTGAGTAGGGGCTGGGTAAAATGAGACTGAGACCTACTGGGCGGCATTCCCAGGAAGTTTGGTATTCTAAGTCCCAGGATGAGATAGGAGGTTGGCACAAGATACAGATCACGAAGACCTTGCTGATTAAACAGTTTGAGGCAAAGAACTCAGCCAAATCCCACCATAACCAAGTTGGTGACAGAGTGACCTCTGGTTGTCCTCACTGCTCATTATATGCTAATTATAATACATTAGCATGCTAAGAGACACTCCACCAGCGCCATGACCGTTTACAAATGCCATGGCAACATTCAGGAGTTACTCTTTATGGTCTGAAGAGGGGAGGAACCCTCAGTTCCAGGAATTGCCCACCCCTTTCCTGGAAAACTCATGAACAATCCACCCCTTGTTTAGCATATAATCAAGAAATAACTATAAGTGTAATCAGTGAGCAGCCCATACCGCTGTTCTGCCACTGGAGTAACCACTCTTTTATTCCTTTACTTTCCTAATAAACTTGCTTTCACTTTGTCAGACCTCTGAGCCTAAGCTAAGCCATCATACCCCCAGTGACCTGCACTTATACATCCAGATGGCCTGAAGCAACTGAAGACCCACAGAAGTGAAAATAGCCTTAACTGATGGCATTCCACCATTGTGATTTGTTTCTGCTCCACCCTAACTGATCAACATACTTTGTAATCTCCCCCACCCTTAAGAAGGTTCTTTATAATCTCCCCCACCCTTAAGAAGTTTCTTTGTAATTCTCCCCACCCTTGAGAATGTACTTTGTGAGATCCACCCCCTACCACCAAAACATTGCTCTTAACTCCACCACCTATCCCAAAACCTATAAGAGCTAATGATAATCCCACCACCCTTTGCTGACTCCTTTTTTGGACTCAGCCCGCCTGCACCCAGGTGAAATAAACAGCCATGTTGCTCACACAAAGCCTGTTTGGTGGTCTCTTCACACGGACACGTGAAACACACTTTACAGACTTACCTCAATTTTTTTCTCATGTGAGGTCCAAGAACCCTCTCTTAGGATCTGGATCGGGACCCCTTTCTGGTAACAGTAGCAGTGGGGAAGGTGAGTATTTGAATTGGGCGCACACTTTGATGAGACTCTTGCCACCCTGCAGCCCAATGCCCCTTTAAAAACAGTATTTCTCTACAGTGGCATTCAGACATTTATAAGAGCCCTTTGGTGGTTGCCATGATTGTGTCTGGCATTTGGTGGCACAGCCAGAGCAACAGGTGCCCCCATTGTCCAGGACAGCCCCTCACTGCAACACTCAGCTTCCTGCCACCTTGCAAATGTTCTGTGGGACACTTATATGGTGCAAAGCCTGAACAATTGTTTGTGCCTAGAAATAGGAAAGATTTGTGTCTATTTTCCATAGAAAACCAAAGTTCTTTTTTTCTCTTTCCTTTTCTTTTTTTTTTTTTTTTTTTTAAGACAGGATCTTGTTCTGTTATCCAGGCTGAAGTGCAGTGGCATGATCATAGCTCCTTGCAGCCTCAACCTCCCAGGCTTAAGAGATTCTCCCACCTCAGCCTCCCAAGTAGCTAGAACTACAGGCACACACCACCATGCCAGGCTAATTTTTAATTTTTTTTGGTAGAGACAGGGTCTCACTATGTTGCCCAGGCTGGTCTTGAACTCCTGGACACAAGCAATCCTCCTACCTTGGCCTCCCAAAGTGCTGGGATTACAGGCATGAGCCACAACTTCCAGTAATTGTTTTGGTTTTTGTAGAGATGAAGTCTCACTAAGTTGCCAGGTCTGGTCTCGAACTCCTGGCCTAAAGCTATCCTCCTGCCTTGACCTCCCAGTGTACTGGAATTACAGACGCAAGCCACCATCCCCCACCCAAAACCAAAGTTTCTTCTGTGTATATTTAACACACACTAGATAATACTTGCTCCTAGTCTCTTAAAAGAATTCTCCAGGACTGTCTGGCACATGTTTTCAAGGGACAGCTGCAGAGGCCAATGGATGGAAGCCAGCATCAGTGGTGTTGTTCTCAGCACCGTGAGGCTCTGCCATGGTGAACGATTCTTGGAGAAGTCCCCAAAAAACAAAGAGCCATCTCCCTTGGTTTGTGTGGCAGCTGCATTTCTGGAAAATCCAGTGTCACATCCCTGTGCCTGTGGGATCTGGAGCTGCCACGTGCATGCTCTTTATTTTGTGCCCTGGATGTCTGTGGGCACACAGGAGATTTAAAAATAAAGAATTACTTTTAAACAGAAATAGTTCTGTTTGTTTTCTTTCTGTAGATGCATTTAGATTTTCGAGTGAACATTAAATATGCATATGAAAAAGGGAGTTTTTAGCAAGTGGAATTCCATTCGGGTTTTATAATGATGACATGGGAGCAAGATGCAAAATTTAAGGAGGTTTTTTAAGGATACCTTGTCCTTGCTAAGAGCAAGAGTTTCCTAAATGTTATGCCTTAGAAGCCTCTCTCTGGCCCTGCATAAAGGTTTACCTTTGTTAGTCTCTGACGGCAATGAAATGGAATGACTCTATGGACAAATCTGGGAACAACCTTACATCTGCAGCACTGCCTGGGATGCTGTGTGTGTGTCCCTCTGTGCCCAGGGGTAAACACAGCATCCAGTCTGTTTTGCTAAGAAGTTAATTTGGCAAGGTTGCTGGATACAAGTTCAATATACAAAAATCAATTGTATACCTAATCTAGCAAGGATGAATTAGGAAATGAAAAATTTTTCATCAAGCATGTGAAGTACTTTGGGGATAAAATTAATAAAATATGTGCAATACTTGTAAATTGAAAACTTCAAAGCATTCCTGAGAGAAATTAAAGACCTAAATAGATGGAGGGATATACCCTGTTCATGGATTGGAAAACTCAATATCATTAAGATATTGGTTTTACTCAAGTTGAGCTGAGGTTTAATGCAATCCCAATTAAAAGCCCAGTAGATTTTTTAATAAAAATTTATAAGGTGATTCTAAAATTTATATGGAGACAGAAAAGTCCTAGAAGAGCAAAAATAACTTTGAAAAAGATGAGAAAATGTGGAAAACCTAAAATAACATAAAAACAAATTTTTATTTTGTTATATATATAACATTTCAATGAGAAGACTTACTGTAAAGCTACAGTAGGCCAGGCACGGTGGCTCATGCCTGTAATCCCAGCACTTTGGGAAGCCGAGGTGGGGGGATTACCTGAGGTCAGGAGTTCGAGACCAGCCTGGCCGCCATAGTGAAACCCCGTCTCTACTAAAAATATAAAAATTAGCCAGGCATGGTGGCGGGCACCTGTAATCCCAGCTACTTGGGAGGCTGAGGCAAAATAATTGCTGGAACCCGGGTGGCAGAGGTTGCAGTGAGCCAAGATCACACCACTGCACTCCAGCCTGGGTGACAGAGCGAGACTCCATCAAAAAAAAAAAAAAACAAAAAACTACAGTAATCAAGGCAAGTAATATTGCTATAAGAGTTAACATATATTTGTGGAACAGAATAGAGAATCCAGAAACAGACCCACACATACATGGTCTGTTGATGTTTTACAAAACTGCCAAAATAATCCAATGAGGAAAGGATAGTCTATTCAGTAAAGTACTGAAACAACTATATATGGAAATGACCATTTCCTCATATGGTACACAAAAATGAATTTGAAAAACATCATAGGCCTAAACATAAAAACTAAAACTATAAAACTTCTAGACGGAAACAGGAGAAAATCTTCACAACCCTGTGGTAAGCAAAGATTTCTTAGGAAGCCCAAATCATGAGCCAATAAATTTTCAATAAATTAAACCTTGAGGAAATTTAAAATTTCTCCTTTTCAAAAGACCCTGCTAAAAAGGAAATTAAACAGCAAGCCACAGGCCAGAAAAAAAAAATTATTTACAATGCATCTATCTGCTAAAAGACTGGTGGTATACAGAATGTAAAGAACCCTTACGACTCAATTTGAAGACAACCCGATTTTTAGAAATGTGTAAAAAGTTCAAAGATATTTCACAGAAGAAGATATACAAATGGCCAGTAAGTGCATACATAGAAGTTTAATATCATTGGTTATCATACACATTTAAATTAAAACCCTAGGCTGGGCATGGTGGCTCATACATGTAATCTCAGCACTTTGGGAGGCCAAGGTGGGGGGATCACTTGAGCCTAGGAGTTTGAGACAAGCCTGGGCAACATAGCAAGACCCCATCTCTACAAAAAATGAAAAAATTAATTGGGCATGCTAGTGCATGCCTGAAATGTCATCAACTTGGAGGCTGAGGTGAGAGAAATGCTTGAGCCCAGGAGATCAAGGCTGCCATGGTCGTGCCACTGCACTCCAGCCAGGGCAACAGGACGATAACTTGTCTCAAAAAAAAAAAAAAATCACTGACACTACTAGAATTGTTTAAATTTAAAAGACTGATAATTTCAAGTGTTGACAAGAAGGAATTGGAGCTCTCACACATTCCTGGAGCAAATGCAGAATTGCACAGCCACTTTGGAAATAATTTGGCATTGTCTTATAAATGTAAACATATCCTTACCCATGCAAACCAGAATCACACTCCTAGGTATTTACTCAAGAAAAATAAAAACATATATCTCCACAGAAATGTGTACTTAAATGTGCATAGTAGCTTTATTCTCAATAACCAAAACATGGATAAATCTCACAGATGTTACACTGAGCAAAAGGAACTAGACACAAATGGCTACACAAAGTATGATTTACATTTACATGAAATTCCAAAAAGGCTAAAAACTAATGTATGGTGACAGAAAGCATTGATGATCAGCCAGGACCAGGGAAGTGGTGATGAAGGTGGTGGTTACACAGGTATATATGTTGGTCAAAGCCAAAGCCCATTGAACCGCACACTTAAAATAGGTGCATTCTATTGTGTGCAACTTATAGCTCAATAAAGTTGATTTTACAGAATTTTATATACTTACTATTCTTCTATAACAAGCCCAGACACAGTTCCTATCTCATGCTCACAGTCATTAACTCTAAAGTGAGAATTTAGAAAAACACTTGATTGAGTTGTGAAACAAGATCAAAATGAAAGATGTGGATGGGCCTGAAAAATGGTAACAGAAGACACAAATGTTAGTTACAGTTGGTTTCTATAAATACAAGATAATAAAAAAGAATATGGCCAAGCGTGGTGGCTCACACCTGTCATCTCATTACTTTGGGAGGCTGAGGCAGGTGATTCACTTGAGGTTGGGAGATCGAGATCAGCCTGACCAACATGGAGAAACCTCATCTTTACTAAAAATGCAAAATTAGCCAGGCATGGTGGTGCATGTCTATAATCCCAGCTACTCAGGAGGCTGAGGCAGGAGAATTGCTTGAACCCAGGAGGTGGAGGTTGTAGTGAGCCAAGATCACACCATTGCACTCCAGCCTGGGCAACAAGAGTGAGACTCCATCTCAAAAAAACCAAAAACAAACAAACAAAAACCACACACAAAAGCAAATAAAAAACAATATAAGTCACTGCTATGGCTTGAATATTTGTGTTCCCTCCAAAATTCATGTTGAAACTTAGTCCTCAATGCAAAAGTATTAAGAAGTGCGGTCTCTAGGAGGTGACTGAGTTAGGAGGACACCACCCTCATGAATGGAATCGGAGCTGGTCTGAAAGACTTGTTGGAAGGGGTTCATCTCTCTCTTGCCTCTCTGTCCCTTCTGCCATGCGAGGACACAGCCTTTGTCCCTCTGCAGAATGCAGCAACAAAGTGCCATCTTGGAAGCAGAGAACAGCCCTCACCAGGTACTGACTCTGCTGGCGCCTTGATCTTGAACTTCCCAGCCTCCAGAACTGTGAGAAATAAATTCTGGGTATTTTTAAATAAATTACCAGGTCTCAGGTATTTTGTTATAGCAGCATAAATGGACTAAGACACACACCATCAGGAATAATGTTACTTAGAAGTCACTGTTAATAAATTTGCTATGATTTGCTAAGATAGGAGTTGATGTTGGTGAACAAGCCTTGTGGAAGACGTTGGATTGCAGAGCGGGTGAGGTGAGTGGAGAGGAGAGAGGTGAGGAGGGAGCCCTGTGCCCTTGCTGGGAGGACAAGAAGAGCCATGGGGAAGCAGGTGCAGAACAGGAGAAGCTGCTGGTGGTGCCTTGCCCAGATACTCTGAGCTGGAGAGGACTGCAGTCATCTAGGAGATTCCTCCCTGGAAGTGCCTGGGCCGTCACAGCATCCCTCAGAGGGCAGCCTAAAGCCAGTGTCATCCCATGCAGGGCACAAAATCTCCACCTCCTTGCCTGTCTTTGGGAACGGCTCCCCAGTGGGATGAGGCTGAGGCCAGCAGACTGTGGCGGAAACACAATGTCTGCTGAGCCTCCTCCTGTCTTCCTCCTGCCTCCTCCACTTCCCTTCCCCTGAGAGCCCCTCTCAATAAACCTTGCTCCAAAATCATCATCTTGGCCAGGTGTGGTGGCTCATGCCTGTAATCCCAACACTTCGGGAGGCCAAGGCGGGTGGATCACTTGAGCTCAGGAGTTCGAGACTAGCCTGGTCAACATGGAGGAACCGTGTCTCTACTAAAAATACAAAAATTAACCAGCTTTGGTGGTGCGTGCCTGTAATCTCA
Organism: Homo sapiens; assembly: GCF_000001405.40. Lineage (NCBI taxonomy): Eukaryota > Metazoa > Chordata > Mammalia > Primates > Hominidae > Homo > Homo sapiens. Next base: position 64,478,214 of record NC_000011.10, on the reverse strand, counting down.
GCTACTCCGGAGCCTGAGGTGGGTGGATCCTTTGAACCCGGGAGGCGGAGCTTGCAGTGAGCCAAGATCATGCCACTGCACTCCAGCCTGGGAGACAGAGTGAGATTCTGTCTCAAAAAAAAAAAAAAAAATTCCCCGTTCCAGGCTCCACCTCTAGGGAATCTGACCTAGGACACCAGGGAACCCACTCTGGAGAGCCGAGGAAAAAACCAGGACAAAGCCGAGGTCTAAGGAGAAGAGTGTGTCTAGGAGAAAGGGTTCGTGGCCTCTGAGGCCATGGGCAGGGAAGAACGGCAGCGTGGCTCCTCCCCCGCTGAGCCCCCAACTCACTGTGCGTCCTCAGCTCTCACACCTGCCAGGCCTGTCATCCCCTGCAGGATGAAGCCTGGTGTCCATGGCTTGCCCTTAGCACCTCCCACAACATTGTAAGCCTTGTAGCTCCTTCCTATGGGCTGCTGGATCCACACAGCCCTGAACGTCACAGCCAGCCTCCCCGACTCAAACCCCACGGAAGCTCAGGGTTCGTTCAATTCCTGAATCCTGCATGGAGCCCTGCCTGCTCCCTCCCTGTCACCTCAGCCTCACATCCTCTCCTCTCACTGCCATCGAGGGAGCCCTTTGAGGCCACCTTTCCATTTCTGAGCCATTCCCCCTAAGCCTCACGAGGGCAAGGAATGTGTCTGAATAACAACAGCTTCCATTTATCAAGGGCTTGCTATATGCCAAGCCCTGTGCTAGCGCTTGACGTGGGCAGCAGGGTCTCCCACTCGAGACTGACTGAGGCACCAAGACACCAGATCTCAGACAGCAGAGCGAGGAGTGAGACGGGGCTCCCTACTGGCTGTCAGGGCAGGGTGGCCAAAAGGAGGTGTCACGACTTTTCAAGGGCTAGAATCTAAAAGGATCAGGGCAGGGCGGGTATTTGAAAAAGGATTTATTTAGAGAGAACTGGAAGTCCCACCTCCCCCAAGTTGGGTGAGGGTAAGGGGGTGTCTGCCTCATAACTCCAGCTTGGAGAGCCTGGACATCCCAAAGAGCCTGCTGGAGGACCCCACAGTTAGAGGCACAGTGATGAGTCGAGAGACCAGGGCTGGCTCACCCATTTTAAAGCATGGTCCCGCCCACAGGCCATAGTTTGACCAGGCGGAGGCAGATGAGGGCTGCAGTGCCAGCCGGTGCAGGCCAGCGGGCCACCTAGAAGGACAAACAGCCTCAGCAGAGGGGGGTAGGAGGCGGGCTGCTTGGAGGAAGTGAACTCAGGAACAAAGCCTCTGCCCAGAGCGCAGGGTCTGCCATCAAGGAACCCCTGCCTTGAGGGTCTCCAAACTGGCCAAGTCCCAAGAGAGGAGGTGACAGCTGTGAACTCTGGCAGACACCAAACACAGAACCACATGAGGACAGTGTCAGCCACGCAGACCTTTCCTGCCCCAATGGCTCCTCCTGGAGCCTGCCCCTCCCCTTCAGAGGGGACGAAAAAGGAGATCAGAGAGAAGGAAGATGCCACCTAGATGCTCCCCAGCCCCTGCTGCCTGTCCGAGATGCCTTGGCTTGGAATGGGGAAGAATGTGTGGACTAACACATTGAACTGGAAGCCTTGAATTTCTGAATCGAGACTTTATTTTGATGCTTTTGGTTTTGTTTTTGTTTTGAGACTGGGTGTCACTCTGTCACCCAGGCTGGAGTGCAGTGGCTTGAACTCCTAGGCTCAAGCGATCCTCCAGCCTCGGCCTCCCGAGTAGCTGGGATTACAGACATGCAACATCATGTCTGTATTTTTTTGTAGAGACAGGGTTTCACCATGTTGCCCATGCTGGTCTCAAACTCCCAGACTCAAGCGATCCACCCACCTTGGCCTCCCAAAGTGCTGGGATTATAGGCGTGAGGCACCGCGCCCGGCCAAGAAACTATTTTGGACTTAAAGTGACTACAGGACATTTCTCCCCTGAGGGTAATTGAAAAAGTCATAGGAGCACCCACGTTTCCTTTTCTATCTTGGTTCACGCAACCTCCAACTCCCTGGTTCAAGTGATTGTCCTGCCTCAGCCTCCTGAGTAACTGGGATTACAGGTACGGGCCACAATGCCTGGCTAATTTTTTGTGTATTTTTAGTAGAGGCGGGGTTTCACCATGTTGGCCAGTAGGCTCTCGATCTCCTGACTTCGTGATCCGCCCACCTCAGCCTCCCAAAATGCTGGGATTACAGGCATGAGCCACAGCGCCCGGCCTAGGAGCACCCACATCTTCATCTCTCACTGTACTGAGTTGAACAACAGCCCCCACAAATTCGTGTCCACCCAGAACTTCAATATGTGACTTTACTTGAAAATAAAGTCTTCGAAGATGTAACCCAGTTAAGATTAGGTCATACTGGATTCATGTGGACCCTAAATCCAAGGGACTTACTAGGGTCCTTATAAGAGGAGGGAAACTTGGGCACAGACACACTCATAGAGGGAAGATGACAAGAGGATGCAAAGGCAAGGGAGGAAGTCCCTGGGATGACAGAGGGAACGGGAGTGACGCGTCTACAAGACAAAGAACGCAGGCAATGATCAGAAGATGGACAGGCCAGGAAGGGTCCCCCAGCACCTTTGAAGAGAGTATGGCCCTGCCGACACCCTGATTGCAGACTTCTGGCCCCCGGGACTGTGTGTGAGTTTCTGTTGTTTCACACTGTCTGGTTTGTGGCACTTTTTTCCAGCAACCACAGGACACTCATTCACCCTCTGCAGGAATTCAAGTGGGGCACTGGGGGGCAAAAAGAAAGACACTTTCTGATACCATCCCAGCTGGCTTGTTCTGCAACCCAGCCAACATCTAGGCTCTCATCTCCATGTCCGAATCCCCGAGATGTCGCTGTGCCCGCTCGGCGGGGAGAAATCAGAGTGTCGGACTGACTTGCCCGTGGTTATTCATCTAGTGCCTGGTGCAAGAGGCCAAGTGCGAAACCCGTATCTACAGCATTCTAAACAGCCTGGTCCCTCCCAGTTCTCTTTCCCACACATGTGTCAGGGACACATGTGACAACACTGCCAGCCCCTATTCCTCTGCTGAGGACCGGTCTCCAGTGTCCCATGATACTCCCTACATTCGAATTCAGTGTATCGATCTGTTTAAATCTACTATCCTGAGGCTTAAACAAAAGCCTTCAAATCTAATTAAAACCTCACCAACCACAAAGCTGGTGCTACTCCTGGGAAATATCCCTCTCGGCGTTCCTAAGACTACGTTCTCTTCACCCATTTCGCGGGTCACTGTGTCTCCAGTTCCTTTTTTCCATTCATTCGTGCTGTTTTTCTATGTGTTTTGAACTCCAAGTCTAGTGTGCCCAAGATAATCAGCCACCCGGGAGACTCTTCCAACTACCTCTTTGGGCCTGGCCTTGCCAAGAAACATTGAACGCGGCTCACCAATACCAGCAATTGCTGAATGGGAAACGTCACCCGCAGTCTGGCTCATTGAGATGCTGGGTACAGCCTCTTGATGGGGTTGTTAGAAATTCCAAGTCAGAAGTCAGTCTGTCAGTCACATTGTTAATGTCCAGAGCAAATGAAAATGAAGCTGAACTTCACAGCAAAGTTACAAATCACACTTTTTCTATTTCAGTCTGTACTAACTTTATTTCCTTCACAGATACCAATGATTTGGATTCTGTCTATTTCTTTCTTGTTTTATGTTATTTTATTATTAATGTTCATAAAGTGTTTTGTTTACAGATTACAAAGAGCTTTTCCAGATGATAGGGCCATCCTCATTTTGTAGAAAAGGCTCATGCAACTACTGATTGGGAAGCCAAACTTCCCGAAACCTCTGGGCTCTCATCTTCAACTCAGCGCTTTCTCCCCTGCATTGCTTTCTGCTGGAGCTAATGAAAGAAACTTGGTAGAAAAAGAACTTCTAGAGTCCATTTGTTGGAATCACTTTGGAAAACTGGGCTGAATCTATGAACCGCAAGATTCCCCACATCAGAGGCTGGTAATATGATCCGAGGATAATTCCTCCAGTTTCCCAAAAGAGTGGGACTGTGAAGAGAATCCCTGGTGACGTCGTAGCTTCTCCCCAGCCAAATGAACAGGGACACAGGAGCAGTCTTGAGCACTGTGTTTGCATTCCATCCCAGACCCCCACCAGAGTCTCTGCTCTCAGGAGAGTACACCAGAAATCTGGATTTCCCCAGAAATCTGGATCTTCCCACTTCTTTTTTTTTTTTTTCTTTGAGATAGAGTCTCGCTCTGTCACCCAGGCTGGAGTGCAATGGTGCAATCTCAGCTCACTGCAACCTCCACCCCCCAGGTTCAAGCAATTCTCCTGCCTCAGTCTCCCAAGTAGCTGGGATTACAGGTGCATGCCACCACACCCGGCTAATTTTTTTTATTTTTAGTAGAGACGGACTTTCACCATGTTGGCCAGGCTGGTCTCGAACTCCTGACCTCTGGTGATCCGCCTGCCTCGGCCTCCCAAAGTGCTGGGATTACAGATATGAGCCACTGCGCCTGGCCAGGACCTCCCCAATTCTGCTGTTAACTCGCTGTGAGGAGCAGAACTGTGCCCATCTCAAAATTCATATGTTGAAGTCCCAAGCCTAGTCCCTCAGAATGTGACTGTATTTGGAGATAGGAGCTCTAATCAGGCAATCAAGTTAAATGAGGCCATTAGGATGAGTCCTAATCCAATGTGACTGGGGTTCTTATAAGCAGAGGAAATGTGGAGCCACAGAGACACCAGGGAGGTGCTTGCACAGAGAAATGGCCAAGTGAGTGATGCAGGACAGGAAAGCCTCAGAATTGGGGCTTAGCCTGGGACAGTGCTTGGCTTCACACAGGAGAGAATTCAAGGGGAGCTGATGTTCTGCCCCTTGCAGAGCAGGCCTGACTCACGGGCAGTGTGCCCAGAGTAAGCGTTGTATGGGCTCTTGGCAACTGTATTTATGTTCACATAAGCCCAATTTCAATTGCATGCAAATTAAGGGGTGGTTCAATGTAAATTGAAGGCTGGGTAGGAAAGGCGCAGTAATTTCCCGGTCATTGTAGAATGACTTGGGCATTTGTAAATTGTCATGGTGCTTGTGGGAGTGTCTTATGCTAATGAGCCCTGAGGGCAGCCAGAGATTGCTTTTGCAACCATCTATTGGTTTGGGCCAGTTGGTTTCGGTTTTTTACTTTATCTTTCTGGACCAGATCCTATTTTGGTCAGCAGGGTTGTGACCAGAAAACAAGTCCTGCTGGTCTCCTACTTCATTAGGACACAGCAAGAAGGCAGCATCTGGAAACCAAGAAGAAAATTCTCAGAAGAAATCAAACTGCCAACACCTTGATCTTGGGCTTCCAGCCTCCAGAACGGTAAGAAAATTAATTTCTGTTGTTTAAGTCCTGCAGTCTGTGATATTTTGTTATGGCAGCCTGAGCTGACCCATACACTTGCTGACTCAGGTCATTTGACTTTCTGTGGCATCAGGTTTCCCATCCATAGGGATGGGCTCTGGCCCTCTCGACCTTGCAGGATCAATGTTGAAGGTCCGCTGGGGTCGTGAACACAAAAGCCTGTAAGACACAGAACACCAAAACCTGGGAGACGTGAAGAGTGTGTTGTCCATGGTGCCATGTCACAGGGTGGGGCTGAAGAAGATCTGGAATCAAGCACCGTTAGAGTGTCTGCTTCTGGTTTGAAATGAGCCCCCAACACCACTGTTGGCTCAAAGTAGAGGGGGGCACCCACTGATACAATCTTTCAGAGACTGATTGGTATGAAAACCCTGAAAATGGGCCGGGCACAGTGGCTCATGCCTGTAATTCCAGCACTTTGGGAGGCCGAGGCAGGCAGATCACCTGAGGTTAGGAGTTTAAGACCAGCCTCAACATGGAGAAACACTGTCTCTACCAAAAATACAAAATTAGCCACGCATGGTGGTGCCTGCCTGTAATCCCAGCTACTCAGGGGGCTGAGGCAGGAGAATTGCTTGAACCTGGGAGGCAGAGGTTGTGGTGAGCCAAGATCGTGCCATTGCACTCCAGCCTGGGCAACAAGAGCGAAAGTCCGTCTCAAAAAAAAAAAGAAAAGAAAAGAAAAGAAAGAAAGAAAACCCTGAAAAAGTCATCACCTTGGACTTAACAACTCTACCTATAGAAGACCAGCAGACAAGTGAACTAACATAATGGAAAAAGATGTTCATCCCAGTATTGTTTATGGTAGCAAAAAAAAAAAAAAAGAAAAAAGAGAAATGTCCAGCAGGGAATTGGTTAAGGAAGAATTATGTGATAGAATAATTTTCATCTATTAAAAATTATGCCATAGAAAAACATGTATCAGCATGGAAAAAATGTTCATAATGTATTGGTAAGAGAAAAAAACAGCTGACAACAGAATCATATATAAAAAAACACATATTTTTGTAAATCTGTATCTGTCTGAAAATATACATAAAGAAAAACTAGCAGAAAACATATCAAAATGCTAATAGTGGACAGGTGATTATGCATTTGGGTTAGACTTTTCTTGAGTTTTTCTGTGTTCTTCAATTTATCTGCATTGAACAAGCATTACTTGTTTTTTTAAAAAAAATAATAATAGCCACTATTTTAAAAGAAATAAAAAAGATAAATGGCACCTCAGGGTCCAGAAAATAAAAGTCTTATGGTTAAATGAATGACTTTTGTGTGTAACACCGTAGAGATCGTTTAAGCACAAATAAAAAAGACAGATTGCTTATAGAATTGGGGAAGATGTGGGGCAAAGAATCCTCTCACAAACTTCTGGTGGGGACGTGAATTGACAATAATCTTTTTGCAAATCAATTCATCTGTATATATTAAAACTTTAATGTGCATATCCCTTTGGGCAATAGCATCCTTGGGAATCTGTTCCATGGACACAAAAGCAGCAGTACATAGGGGTATGGGGACGTGAGTGTGACAGTGAGTATGCCTGGGCCACAGTGAAAGACCCTCACTCAGGGTGAGCAAAGGGCAGTATGCTTACACCATGAACTTCTATGCAACCACGAAAGAGCAAGTGAGTTATACAAGATGGCCTGGGGAATTGCTGTAATGTATGAAGTGAGGAAATCAAGATACAGAAAAGTGTTATGATTTGATTCCATTGTCAAAAAGACAAGCATTGATTTTGTTGAAAACTCTACAGTATATGTATGGGACTTTGTGGATGATTAAATGAGCCTGGAGAAAAGATGTTACCACTGTGTACCTGGGGTAGCAGGAGGTGGATGTAGCAAAAAAAAAAAAAAGAAAGAAAGAAAAAGGAAAATGAAATAATGATTCACAATTTTGAAAAGTATTTACCAAAATCCAATGTATGCAAAATAATGTACTGGGGGTAAAGAGATGCATAGAAAAAGGCATGAAAGGATGTGCTCTAAAACATCAATGGTGGCAATACCAAGGTGGGAGGATTTCACATGATTTTTACTTTCTTCTTAATACTTTTCCATAATGCTTGATATTTTTACAATAAGCATGTATTTTAACAAAATCATAAAAATATAAATAACAATAACTTATTTGTGGGTGGCGGGAAGCAACACGTCTACTCCCACCTCTCTCTCCCAGCAAATCTATTGAACTAAGTTTAACAGTGATGCTATAGGGCATTTCAGGATTGAAGACTTCTCTTCATTTCTTACTAGTCCTATTAGTTCAGGGAAAACAGGGTTTATTCTTCAACTCAGTTGTGCTTTAACTAACTTATTAACAAAGCCTCTGTATTTTCTCAAAAATAAATATAATTTTCCTATTGCCTACATGAATTTGTGACCTAGAGGAATTTTTAAAATGTGAATAACAAGAAAATTTATAATATTTTCCTTAATCTGAATGAGATCCTGTACCTTCAGTCACACATTCCTGAAGCTGGAGCAACATGGTTCTGAAATCCAACATTTAAAATAAGACAAAAGAAAGAGGACTCAGTATCCTGGACCCAGCCTCTTTACTCTTGACCATCAGTCTTTAGCTGACCCTTCTCCATACCTGCACCAACCTAGGGATTACAAAAGGGTCAAAGTGAAGTCTAGACCTGGCCAGCAGGAATGTGCACCAGCCTGGGGGGCATATGTAGGACCCCAGCAGCTTTGAGCCCACACTCATCCACCACCTTGATGTCAACTTGACTTGTTGTCATCGCTGAATAGAAAAATTCAGACATGGGATGGAGAGGATTGGGAGGAGACTTCAGGGTGAGAGACAGGCCTGAGGGAAAGACTTCCTGAGTGTTAGAGGAGTGATGGATGCTGCATTTGTTTCCTGGGGTTGCCATAACAACTGCCACAGATTGAATGATTAAAATAACAGACATTTATCATCTCACAGTTCTGGAGGCCAGGGTTGGTTCCTTCTGAAGGATGCAAGGGAGAATCTGTCCCATTCCTTTCTCCTAGCTTCCGGGGGTTTGCTGGCAGTCTTTGACATTTCTTATGCATTACCCCAATCTCTGCCTTCATCTTCACATGACATTTTCCCTTTGTATCTGTCTCTGGGTCCAAAAGTCCCTTTGTAAAGACACAGTAAGATTGTATGAAGTCCTACCCTAATGATCTCATCTTCAATTGACTACCGCAAAGACCCTAACCCCAAATAAGGTCACATTCTGAGGTACTGGGGATTAGGAATTCAATGTATCTTTCTGGGGGAACACAAATCACCGGTAACAGGTGCTGTTTCTACAGAGCAGTTGCAGACAGGAAGCACAAGAGACATCAAGGAAGGCGCAAGAGCAGCACAGGTGCCTCGGAGGGCAGCAGCAGGTCACAGGCACCAGCTTCTGCCCATTCCTAGGTCAGAGGACCCTGTTAGCCCTTCAGAGACTGCCATGCCAGCAAGTTGCCCGACATCCACTGACCTGTGGGAAGACTCACTTCCACCTCCTGCCATGCCAGGGCCAGCTTGAAACTGATATTAAACTCCCTGCTCAGATGTAAATGTCATGATAAAGCCAAGTTGCAAGGATCCAGTAAACTGATGGCATCAATCAAGTCTTTAGGATGAGGATTTGTCCCACTCTGTGCAAAGGGAGCTTTGTACTGATACTGATATCAATGAATTATGTGAACACCTACTGTACGCTCAGGATCATGTTGACAAAATGGACTGTGTGATTCTGCCAAGGAAAACCCCTATTAAGTGATTTTTACCCAGGGGTGATACACTGGGCTGGAGGTGTTTCAAAACACGTGGCAGAGGCCAGGCACAATGGCTTATGTCTGTAACCCCAGCACTTTGGGAAGCCAAGGCAGGTGGGTCACTTGAGCTCAGGAGTTCAAGACCAGCCTGGGCAACATGGCGAAACCCTACCTCTACAAAAATTACCCAGGCATGGTGGCATGCACCTGTTATCCCAGATGCTCAAGAGGCTGAGGTAGGAAGATTGCTTGAGTTCAGAAGGTCAAGACTGCAGTGAGATGTGATCACAACACTGAACCCTAGCCTGGGCAACAGAGCAAGACCCTGCCTCGAAAAAGAAAAAATATGGCAGCCCCTCACCCGCCAGATGACTGAAAAAGAAAATCCCTGAGCCTAGTATATGGATGATCACTGCCTTACTTGGAGAGGCCCTGAGGGACAATGGAGCAGGAAAATCCTCCCACTGGGCAGAACTTACAGAGAACACCTGGTTGTCCACTTTGCTCAGAAGGAGAGATGGCCAGAAGTATGGGTCTACACTGATTCATGGGCAGAAGCTGATGAGTTGACCAGATGGTCGGTCAGTCTGAGAGGTTTTTGTTGTTGTTGTTGTTGTTGTTGTTGTTGTTGTTTGACAGTCTTGTTCTGTCGCCGGGTTGGAGAGCAGTGGTGCAATCTCGGCTCACTGCAACCTCTGCCTTCTGGGTTCAAGCGATTCTCCTGCTTCAGCCTCCTGAGTACCTAGGATTACAGAAGTACGCCACCACGCCCAGCTAATTTTTGTATTTTTAGTAGAGACAGGGTTTCATCATGTTGGCCAGGATGGTCTCGATCTCTTAACCTCGTGATCCACCTGCCTCAGCCTCCCAAAGTGCTGGGATTACAGGCGTGAGCCACCAAGCCCAGCCAATCTGAGAGGCTTTTTTGTCCTCCTGTTACCAAATATGAAGGGTTGTGTTTTGTTTTTTTTTTCCTCACACCAACAAATTCTCTGACACCACCTAGATGCCTGATCATTCCATCCAATTCTGACACTATCTACCTGGAGTTAGCATCAGAGTCCACAAGCTAAGGGCTCAGTCCCACAAGACTGGCCCCACTTCAGATGCCAATCCCAGTCCTGGGCCCCCCATACTAGCAATAAACCAAAGGTTTCTGCAACCCCTCCTCAGGTTCAGTAATTTACTAGGAGGACACACAGAACTCATGAAAATGTTTTACTTACTATTACCGGTTTATTATAAAGGACACAATTCAGGAAATTTAGGAACAGCCAGACAAAAGATACACACAGAGCAAGGTGCGGGGATCGGGGCAAGGAGCCTCCATGCCCTCTCTGGCCATACCACCCTCCCAGCACCTCCATGTGTTCAACCCAGAACCTCCTCAAACCCCATCGTTTAGGGTTTTTTTTGTTTGTTTGTTTCCTGAGACAGAGTCTCGCCCAGGCTGCAGTGCAGTGGCGTGATCTCGGCTCACTGCAACCTCGGCCTCCAGGGTTCAAGTGATTATTTTGCCTCTCGAGTAGCTGAGGTTACAGGCACGCACACTCACACCTGGTAACTTCTTGTATTTTTAGTATAGATGGGGTTTCACCATGTTGGCCAGGTTGGTCTCGAACTCCTGACCTCAAGTGATTCACCTCCCTCAGCCTCCCAAAGTGCTGAGATTATAGGTGTGAGCCACTGTGCCCAGCCTTTTAGGGGTTTTTATGGAATTTTATCCTGTAGGCATGATCAATTATTAAATCAATCTTTAGCCCCTATCCTTGCCCCAGAAGTTGGGGGTGGGGCAAAATTCTAGGCTTTGAATCAAGGTTTGGTCTTTTTGGTAACCAGCCTGCATCCAAAGCTATCTAGGGACCTGCCAAGAGTCACCTCATTTGAAATAAAGATGCTTCTATCATTTCTGTCCCTCAGGAAATTCCAATTCAGGAGTTCTGTGCCAGGAACTGGGGACAAAGATCAAATATAATGTTCTCATTTATAATATAATATTTCTTATTATGCCACAGTCAAGGATTAGAAAGGAACAAAAATACAGTATTAAGCCTGCACAACATGGCGAAACCCTGTATCTAACAAAAAAAAAATAGAAAAACAGAATTAGCTGGGCATGGTGGTGTGCGCCTGTAGTCCCAGCTACTCAGGAGGCTGAGGCAGGAGAATCACTTGAGCCCGGAAAGCAGAGGCTGCAGTGAGCTGAGATCACGCCACTGCACTCCAGCCTGGGTGACAGAGCAAGATTGTCTCAAATAAAATAAAATAAAAGTCAAAAAGAGTCAAATAAAATAAGTCAAAAACACAGTAAAGCCACTCTCACATTAAAAAGTATGAATGAGGCCGGGGCGCAGTGGCTCACGCCTGTAATCCCAGCACTTTGGGAGGCTGAGCTGGGGGGATCACCTGAGGTTGGGAGTTTGAAAACAGCCTGACCAACATGGAGAAACTCCGTCTCTGCTAAAAATACAAAATTAGCCGGGTGTGGTGGCGCATGACCGTGATCCCAGCTACTCAGGAGGCTGAGGTGGGAGATTTGCTTGAACTCAGGAGGCGGATGTTGCTGTGAGCTGAGATTGCGCCATTGCACTCCAGCATGGGCAACAAGAGCAAAACTCTGTCTCAAAAAAAAAAAAAAAAAAAAGGTATGAATGAAAGCCACCCAGAAAAGGTAGAATAGTTCCTTTGTCAATAGGGATCCAGTAATTTCCTTCTTTCTGTTCCACACCTCCAGTACCTGGTACCATCCTCAAGGCAACCTCATATTCAAAGATGGCTGCTGGAATTCCAGCCATCCACTCAGCATTCCAGGCAGCAGAAAGGCAGAAATAAAAGGACACCCTCCCCACTCGGTTGACTCTTTCAAGCAGCCTTCTTGACCTGGGCTGGCATCTAGTCATAGGGCCTCATCCTGCAGAAAGGGAGACTGTTTAATGAAGTCTTTCAGCCAGGTACATTTTCACCACTAACACAACTTGGGTGGGCTACTAAGGAAAAAGGAGGACATTCATACTGGGTGGCAGCTAGAAGCCAGACCAAAACCAACCCATGAAAGCTGGCCTGGCAATATTAAAACAATAATTTATGACAGAACGCATTATTAGGCATAAATAAATATACAACATAATGGTAAAGTGTACTAGCCCCCAAAGCTTGAATTTGCATGCACCTAACAATATAACCTCAATATATACAAAGCAAAAACTGACTCTTTTACAAGGAGAAATTGAACAGCCACAGGCATGGAGAAAGATTCTGATGCTCATCTATCAAAAACAAATAGGTTCAAGCAGATAAAAAATGATGCAATGGTTTCTAATGTCTGAACAGCAAAATTCACAAGCTTAATCTACTTTATATAGAGCCCTGGATGCAACAAATAAACCATATTCATTAGTTTCAAGCATAAACTGAACATATGTAAAGACTGACCATTTACAAGGTCACAGAGGAGATAATAAAAAATGTGGGCCGGGCACAGTGGCTCACGCTTGTAACCCCAGCACCTTGGGAGGCAGAGGCGGGCGAATCACTTGAGGTCAGGAGTTCTAGACCAGCCTGGCCAACATGGTGAAACCCCGCCTCTACTAAAAATACAAAAACTAGTCAGGTGTGCTGGCACGTGCCTGTAATCCCAGCTGAGGTGGAAGGCTGAGGTGGGAGGATAGCTTGAACCCATGAGGCAGAAGTTGCAGTGAGCCAAGATCATGCCACTGCACTCAAGCCTGGGTGACAGAGTGAGACCCTGTCTCAAAAAAAAAAAAAAAAAGAAAAGAAAAGAAAAGAAAAATATGTGGAAGAATCTGTATCTTATAGGCCCTAATATCTAAGCACAATTCAGGTAAACTGAAGATTCACGATTTTAAAAAATAATTTTTAACCCACCTCATTTAGAAATAAGAAATTAGCCTTAGGTAACTATAGATGATAAAGGAACCTACAAATAAATGACAAAATATTTAGAACTGAATGTCTATGGAAGTACTACTTTTCAAAACTTGTGGGATGCAGTTAAAATGCATAGGTACTTGTTCTAAATTTATACCCTTAACTGTATTATATTTTTATTTAAAAAAATGAAGACTGAAAACAATGACTAAAGCATTCAACTCAAGACGTTAGAAAAAAAATTAGAGAAAGTCAAAGGAAGTAAAAGGAATGAAATTAAAATGGCAAAAGAGGCCGAGCACAGTGGCTCACGCCTATAATCCCAGCACTTTGGGAGGCCGAGGTGGGTGGATCACTGAGGTCAGGAGTTCAAGACCAGCATGGCCAACGTGGTAAAACCCCATCTCTACTAAAAATACAAAAATTAGCCGGGTGTGGTGATGCATGCCTGTAATCCCAGCTACTCGGGAGGCTGAGGCAGGAAAATCGCTTGAACCTGGGAGGTGGAGGTTGCAGTGAGCCAAGATTGCGCCACTGCACTCCAGCCTGGGTGACAGAGCAAGACTCCATCCAAGAAAAAAAAAAAAATGCAGAAGAAAATCTTGTGAGATAGTAACTTTTCAATATTGGAGGTGGTGAGCGTCAAGGGAGACTGTTGATCCCCTACTCCTGAGGATCCCTCCAAGTGGGGGAAAGAATACTGTGGGCCCCTTTCCTCTCACTCCTCTACCTCATACCTCCTGAGGGACACAATGGGTTCCCCTGATTGGACGGAGAAATTAAGCATGTATGGACCTGCCAGCCTGCCTTTCCCCTCTCGTCTTCTGTCTTCCTTTCCCACCATCAGCCAAGAATGTGTTTTCTTATTGTTCTTGACCACAAAGTAAACTGGACACCAGAACCCTGTCCCCAAGAGACAGAGTGTGGGTTGCAGTTCCCCAGCCCTGTGTAAGCGAGCACACGAGTCCATCGCACTGTGGCTTGCAGCCCTGGGGGTGTCTTTGTGACAAGGTATGCTTCATTCTCCCGCATCATCAACTTCTTTGGTAACCAAGATGATCATTTGGTCTCCCGGATTCCCTTTTTGTCTTATTCCTCAAATGATATACAAATCCCATAAAAAGAAAGACAATATTTATCGGGGTCTCTAAAACCCCTAACAGTCTGCAGGGCCGAAAGCTAATGCCTCCAAAAGAACAACAAAATGAACAAACTTCTAGCAAGTCCAATCACCTCAAAGGATGAAGGCATGAACAAAAACAATGTTCCTCGGAAGAGATCCTAACTAGTCATACCACAGGAATGTTAAAAATCATTAGAGAAGATGATGAACAACTTTATGCTAATAAATATTAAACCTTGAATGAAATTGTAAGCAAAGTTTTCAAATAATATAAAAGACAGACCCTACTTATTTTAGGAAGATGGCATCACTAATATGTCAGTTGGACATAGATGGCATGAAAAAGAAAATTATAAGCCAATCCCCCTTTTAAACAGAGATATAAAAATCCTAAATAAATACAAGCAAAACAAATTAAGCAGTGCATTTTAAACATATATACATCATAACCAAATTGGCATTATCCTAGGCACGCAATGGTCAATTTTAGAAAAATATGTTACATAGAATTTGCCACATTAACAGATTAAGAAGAGAAAACATCACCATCTCAATAGATGCAGAGAACCATGTAATAAAATTCAGGCTGGATGCAGTGGCTTATGCCTGTAATCACAGCACTTTGGAAGGCCAAGGTGGGAGGATCACTTGAGGTCAGGAGTTCGAGACTAGCCTGGGCAACATGGCGAAACCCCATCTCTACCAAAAATACAAAAAATAAGCTGGGCGTAGTGTGTGCGCCTATAGTCCCAGCTATTCAGGAGGCTGAGGTGGGAGGATCCCTTGAGCCTAGGAGGAGGCTTCAGTGAGCCAAGATTGTGCCACTGCATTCCAGCCTAGGTGACAGACTGAGGCCCTGTCTCAAAATAAATAAATAAATAAAATAAAATTCAACTCCTATACATGATACAAACTAAAAATAGAAAGGATTTCCCTTAGTTTGATCAAAGACATCTATCAGAAACTCATAGCAGATAAGATTATTCATGTTAAAACATTAGAAGCATTACCATGAAAATTCAGGAATAAAATAAGGGTGCCAGCAACCACTCCTGTATTCAACATTGTACTGGAGGTCCTAGCCAATTCAGTAAGACAAGAAAAAGGAACAGTGTAATAATAGTGAGGTAGGAGGCAGAACTCCACTCCAGAGGCAGGGATCGGACATCAGGCCAAACTGAGGACTGGTTAAAACAGAGACCTGGCAGAAGCAGCTTTCCAGCAGACACTCCCACCAGTGTCCGTGTCAGCTTACTGTTGCCATGGTGACACCTGGGCATCACCGCTCTTTTCCATGGCAATGACCTGACAACCCAAAAGTTACTATCCTTTCCCTAGAAATTTCTGCATAAACTGCCCCTTAATCTGCATGCAATTAAAAGTAGGTAAGGGCCTGGCATGGTGGCTCATGCCTGTAATCCCAGCACTTTGGGAGGCCAAGGCGGGTGGATCACCTGAGGTCAGGGGTTCGAGACCAGCCTGGCCAACATGGTGAAACCCTGTCTCTACTGAAACTACAAAAATTAGCCAGGTGTGTAGTCCCAGCTATCTGGGAGGCTGAGGTAGGAGAATCACTTGAACCAAGGAGGTGGAGGTTGCAGTGAGCTGAGATGGCACCGCTGCACTTCAGCCTGGGCAACAGAGTGAGACTCGGTCTCAAAAAAAAAAAAAAAGCAGGCATGAATATGACTCCAGTCCTGCCCTGCCCTGCCCTGCCCTGCCCTGAGCTGCTACTCTTAGCACACTGCCTATGGGGTAGCCCTGCTTAGCAGGAGCAGTCACAGAACTGAAACTCCACCAGAGCTCTAACACTGCTGTTTCAATAAAGCTGTTTTCTTCCAACCTACCACTGGCTCACCTTTGAATTCTTTCCTGGGCAAAGCCAAGAACCCTTATGGGCTAAGCCCCAGTTTGGGGCTCACCTGTCCTGCATCAATAGGAAAGAAAAAAGCAACATATTGTGATTCTTTGCTGATAATAATATGATTGTTGACATAGAAAATCCAAGAGCTTCCACAAACTCTGAAAAGTGATAAAGGTTTGGCAGGGTTGCTGGATATAAGATTAATGTACATTATAAAAGATCAAGAATACTTCTATGCCCAGCAATAATTGACTAGAAAACATGTTATAAGAAGGCATCACTTACAATAGCAGCAAAAACAATGGGAACTGAGATTTCAAGAGAGGGAGTGATGTGTAGGATCTTTATGGAGGAAAGCATAAAATATTGCTGCAGAACACAGAAGTCATGAATAAATAAAGATCTATAGCGTGTTCATGGATAGAAAGACTCAACACCATAAACAAAACGATGCTTCCTAGATTAATCTATAAAGTTAACACAAGGCCAATCAAATTCTGAATGGGGCTTTTCAGGGAACTCGATAATATAATCCTAAAATGCAAATGCAAAATAAAGGGCCAAGAATAGCCAAAACAATTTCAAACAAGAGCAACAAGTCAAGGTATGAGGAGGGATTTCCCCTACCAGGTATCAAGACTTATAAAGCTGTGATCATTTAAACAATGTGATAGCAACACAGGATAGACAGATACACCCAGAATACTGAACCCCAGAAATCTGATTTAATAAAATCAGTAAGAAAGTGGATGGATAAAAAAAATCCTGTTTGGTCCATTGGTTGTCCATTTGGAACGAAATTAATGTAGGTTCCAGCCTCACACTATAGCAGACACCGGGGTGCCTAGGCCACTCTCCCTTCAATCCCCTGACCCAGTGCATATAAAGGTGTCCCCTGTGAACACCCATGGCCCTCTGAGACCCCAGGGCTTCCACTGACCTTGCAAGAACAGTAGCTGGAAGAACCAGGGAGTCATCGTCCCAGGAGTAGGGTCTGGTAGTGCTGGTGGTAATGGGCAGAGGCTGAAGGATAATACCACAGCTTCCTGGCCCCTCCAGAGGGACAGTTGTGGGGTATGTCTTACACCACCTCCCCACCATTCCCAGTGGCACCTGCTCATCAGTGCACCCTTCCTAGGACTTGCCTTCCCCTCTTCCACCCAAATCCTTGTCTCAGGATCAACCCCTGGGGAAACCCACCATAGATAACACTGGGCCAAAACCAAGGTCCATAAAGTTTCCAAAGATGAAAAGCAAAATTGTAAAACATTTATAAGTAGAAAGTACAAGAGAAACCTAATTTTGATCTCTGCACAGGGGAAGGATTTCTTAAATGCGATGTGAAAAGCACATCATAAAAGAAAAGATTGATAAATGTGACTATGTTAGAATGGGGTGTTTCTGTTCAACACAAGACACCATAAACAAAGTGAAAACAACAAACCACCGATTCAGAATAGATATCTGTAGCAAAAGATCGTGACCAGAAAATGTAGGAACATCCTAGGGAGAATGAAAATAAGACGAAAATGGGAAAATGGACAAAGGACAGAAATAGAAAATCCCCAAAATAGAAATACATAAATGACCAAGAAACAAAAAATACAGGTTCTGTCTCCATGATGTTTAAGGAAAAGCAAATTAAAACAATGAGATAATCATGTTTTATCTGCCAGTTGGGCAGAATTTTGAAAGATGGAAAAAGCGTTGGGGGAAGAACATACTCAAACTCTTTTGCTGTCAACAGGAATTGGTGTAACCTTTTGGAAGAACCATTTGACAATATTCAAAAACCTTTGAAGTGCTTATTTACAACCTATGACTCAGCCGTCTCACTTTTAGAAATGTCCCCTACAGAAATAATAGCATGAGTGTATAAAAAAATTAAAGGGTATGCTTTTCTAATTTGTTACTAAATAAAAAAATAAAAAAAGAAACCTAAATGACTCTCTGTAAAGAATTTTAACTTAAATGAAGGTAGGCCGAGCACAGTGGCTCATGCCTGTAATCCCAGCACTTTGGGAGGCTGAGGTGAGCAGATCGCTTGAGCTCAGGAGTTCAAGATCAGCTTGGGCAACACGGTGAAACCCCGTCTCTACAAAATAATACAAAAATTATCTAGGTGTGGTGGCGCTTACCTGTAGTCCCAGCTACTCAAAAGGCTGAGGTGAGAGGATCACCTGACCCAGGGAGGTTGAGGCTGCAGTGAGGTGTAATTGTGCCACTGCACTCCGGCCTGGGCAACAGAACGAAACCCTGTCTCAAAAAAATAAAATAAAATAAAATAAAATAACAAAAAATAAATAAATGAAGGTATACTACTCGGCCATTAAAAGGCAAGTGGTGAAATGTGGTCTACACAGACAGTGGAATATTATTTAGCCCTAAAAAGGGAGGGAATTCTGACATATGCTGCAACATGGTTGAACCTGAAAACATTAGGGCTAAGTGAAAGAAGCCAGTCACAAAAGGGCAAGTACTGTATGACTCCACTTATAGGAGGTACCTGGAGCAGTCAGATTCAGGGAGTCAGAGAATAGAAGAGAGTTTCCCAGGGCTGGGGTCGGGGACGGGCGGTCAGTATTTAACAGGCACAGAGCTTCAATCTGGGAAGATGAAAAAGGGCTGGAGATGGATGGATGCTGAGGATGGTTGCACAGCAATGTGAATGTACTTAATACCACAGAACTATGCATTTATAAATGGTTAACATGGTCAATTTTATGTTATATACATTTTACCACAATTTTTTTTAAAGGCAAGGAATGGATAAACATGTATTAACCTAGAAAGCACTGTGCAGTTGTGCAGTGAACACTTCCTGCGCACCTCGGTGTGGCAGATGAGGTTCTGGGGTGAGGCAGATGCTCTGGCAAGCAAGAAAAATGAGGTCCCTGCGCTCATGGGGCCGACTTCCAGTGGAAGAAAAGTCAGCAAGTGAGGTCATCCCAGAACCATCGTGTTACAGAGAAAATACAGGAAATGGAAAGGGGGTGGGGGTGCGGGGCGGGGCGGGACAGAGAGCCCAGGGGAGCCTCTTTGAGAGGGTGATGTGATCCCATGTCTGAGCACCAGTGGGATTTCCTGAGATTCCCTTCTTACTGCTCAGCTCCCAACACATTCGATCCCGTCTCCCCCTTCTCCATGGGGCTGAGAGAGATGCCTGGATTCTGAGGGGTAAATCCTTCTCAGTTAATAAAGAAAAGCTTTGTTTAAAAAAAAAAATAGGGGTTTAAAAAGAAGTGAATAATTTAGCCAGGATTAGTATTCACAAGAAAGAAAGTAAGCATTATGTTTACTTTCTTTTGGGGGGTTGGGGATGCTGTCTCCAACGCTGCAGAGGATTTTAGGAAGAAAAGTGACACCTCAGCGTGGCCAGTCCTGAGGAAGAACAGGACAGGCAAGGTGCAGGACAGGGTGATATTGCTTTGTCCTCAGTCTGTGGGGCTCCTTTCTCCCACCCCCGCTTGAGATAAATCTCAGGCAGGCACATGGTCCCAGGCAATGTAAGTCATGTCCTCACTTCTAGATCCAAGAACAGCCTTGGCTCAGTAATTATGACACCCAAGACCAGGTGAGAATCCAACTCTCCATCTCACTAAAGGCTGAGGCTCAGCCCACCGCAAGAAAGAAGCTGGCAGTGGCTGCCGGGGACGAAGGGGGAGGTCCTTTTTTTTCTTATATCTATTTCTTTAAATTGGGGTGAAATTCGTGTTACATAAAATTAACCATTTTAAAGTGTACTGTTTCTGTGCCATTTAGTACCCTCACGATGTTTTAAAGCCACCACCTCTATCAAGTTCCAAAACATTTTCCTTGCCTGAAAGAAAACCTCATACCTATTCAGCATCACTCCCTATTCCCCACTGGCTCCGCCCAGGCTCCATCAATGGGCTCTGTCTCTGGATCTTCCTGTTCTGGTCATTGACCAGGGACCGCTCTGCAGGAGAAGCTCTCAGGAAGTGAGGGAAGCAGATGAGGGAGGGGTGCAGGCCAGGCAGGCACGTGCCCTCAAGTTGAGTCTCAGGTTCTGATCCGAGGAGGCTCTAAAGAGTAAACCCCACTGCAGGGCTGTCCCAGCTTGAAGCAATGGAGCTGGTCTTTTGTCCCCTTGATTCCTCAGCCACTGGCTGTGGCCTGTCACTGCAGTGAGAAGGGGACTTTACACCGCAGGAAGAGCAGCTCCATTGGCTGAGGTCAAGTGTGGAGAAGACGGGAAACTCCCTGCCACTAGCAGTCCCTCTTGCAGCTGCTGATGGACGGACATGTGCCCTGGCCAGGTGAAGGGGTCTGGGCCAGGCACCAGACTGTCCACTACAGCCCACCCTTTGCACCATTCAGACCTGTTTGCTTCTCGCATAGAGTCCACTCTGTGCAGGCCCAGCTTCTCCAGGACGGTCAGAAACCCTCCCTGGGGAAACCGCCACAAGGCAGGCTCTTGCGAAGGACTAGGGACCCCATTGCTGCCACTGACCCCAAGGCCTTAACTGATCCATGCCATCGGCCCCCTTGACTCCTCCCTTACTCTCTGCTGGGCTGGGGCCTTGCCTGGTGGGGCGACCCAGACTCTCATCCCTGAGGGGTCTGAGGCCCTGGTTGCCATGGCCTGATCACGCCATGGTTGCTGTATGTGCCAATTTACATATAGGCCCCATCCTATAGCTGCATTCCTCCCTCTGCTGATCGGGATCCCTGGCCCGTGCTGTGTAGAACGTTCATTCCATACCTGCTGGGCCACTAGCACAGAAGCCCAAAGGCACCAGGCAGCAACCAGAGCTTCAAGCTTGGTGGGACCCTCACCATATCCCCTATGGAAGCCATGTTCCCTCAGGGACCAGGACTTCTTGATGGACAAAGCCTAATGGCGTGGGGATAGGAGGCACAGATTCCTCAATGTGGGTCACAGGGGAAATGGCGAATAGGGCCACTCCTAACCCTTATGCTGCCTGGAGTGAACACAGTGCCTTATAATTGCTTAGTTTAAGGAGCAATCACACCCTGAGGGATAGTGACCTGGTATCACCTCAAAGCTGTGATCCCAGAGGCCATTCTGCGGCTGCCCAGGCTGGCATTCCAGAAGACGTGATCTGCAGTAGGGCTGGCGGATCCCACGGTCACGTGCCCACTGCCGCACCTGCTTCCCCACAGAGTGAATCCCCTGGCCTTAGGTGATGTCATTCAGAATCCTGTGTAGGAGAATCAGCCACTTAGAGAGCGAGCCCTCAGAGAGTGATGTTGGCAGAGACCCCAAAAGTAGGAACTGCAAGCCCATTCCTGGAATCGGGCTGATGGAACTGAGTGAATCTCTGCCCTTTCCAGGGTGGAAGGGGTCCTGTGAAATCAGTTTGCTACTAAGTGGCTGGCCAGTCATTTCAAGGGAATGGGACAGTACTGGGAGCTCAGCGTTGGTCTCAGTTGCTGACGGATCAGACACGCAGAGGTGGCAGTAACCGTGTCAGCCTCGATAAGTAGAGGCACGTGCTCTTGGGCCCAGGAGTAGCCGCCGTCTCTGCCGCCATGACAGTTCCACTCGTGAGCCCATTGCCCAAGCCCTATGGCAGCCAAGGATGAAGGCCAACTGGGTCGTCCTGTCCATTTGGTTGTTCAGTGTCTCTTCCGCACGGGATACTCTCGGATGTTAATCTGAGATCAAGATTTTCACTCTTCATGCCTGTCCTACCAGCCTACACACATGCCTTTCCCCCAGCCCTTCTTGTTCCTGAACTTCCAATCTTTTTGTTTTTGTTTTGAGATGGAGTCTCGCTCTGTGGCCCAGCCTGGAGTGCAGTAGCACAATCTCGGCTCACTGCAACCTCCACCTCTCAGGTTCAAGCAATTCTCCTGCCTCAGCCTCCCGAGTAGCTGAGATTACAGGAATGCGTCACCATGCCTGGCTAATTTTTGTATTTTTAGTAAAGACAGGGTTTCACCACGTTGGCCATGCTGGTCTTGAACTCCTGACCTCAGTGATCAGCCCACCTCGGCCTCCCAAAGTGCTGGGATGACAGGCGTCAGCCACCGAGCCCGGCCTAAACTTCCAGTCTTGCTCCTTCTAGATCCCTGACCCACCAGCTAAGCCACTGTCCACTGTCCACAAGCCCATGTACATTCTTTCCTCAAGCCACTTCTCTCTTTGCACAAGTGCACACACCAGGTGCACTGCCGACGGCCTGCCGCTGTCTTTGAGGGCCTCCCTGGGAGGGCTGTGGTGCAGCAGCCACACGCGTTCAGCTCGCAGGAACACGTCCGCTGGGGTGAGACTGCAGCCTATCTCCGCTGGTCACAGGAAAACCCCCCAGGATGTGAGCTGAGGGGAGGCCTTGGTGCCGCATGGCCAGAGGCAGGGGGTCTGGACCACGTAGCTCCTGCCTTGGGGACCTTTGGGAGCCCAATCCCTGATGTGCCACTTGTGCCTCATGACGGATGCCTGGCCTTGTGATTTGGTGACTCGTCAGCTCATGGTGAAAAGCTGTGTCCACTTGATCACTTGATGTCCCCTGGTCAGATGCTCAGTTTCTCCCAGGGCTTGGGGACACATCCAGAGCCCTTCTCTGCTGCAGATGGCGTGGCGTTGTTCCAGCACCCTCGGGGTCTGCACTGTGGCTTTCCTATTGGGGCCTGCCAGGGACACCGTGTGGTGACCCTCTCCACTACAGACACCCCGTGTAGCACAGGGTCTGCAGAGTCACATGTCCCAAGCACACTTGCTCATAGAACTGCATCTCCAAACTAGCAGCCTTCTGTGTCACTCAAGAAATGGGCCAAAACTGGATTCCCAAGTGCTGAGTATGCCACCCCCAAATTCAAAGAGTCCCGCCAGAAGTCGTGCCTCCTTCCACGTGGTAGGAAGGACAGGTGCAGTAACCACCCTTTACTTTGCAGGAGATAGCCCGACATGGCCAGACCACTGGCCCCGTCAAACCCCTACAGCATGGCAGCCCCTGAGCCTTCCCATTAACCCCCCATCCTCCTCCCCCACATATTCTACGAAAGCTTCCAAGGGACCTGCTGCTTCTTGCTCTGTAGGTCTGGTTAACACGATGTTGCTCCTGGCACTGACCAATGTGGTGGCCTGGAGGCTGCCCCGATGGGCTGGATCCCTTCAGACTATGTTGTGATAGAGAACAGGAAAATTGACGTAGCCCTGGGGTAAGGCCGTGAATGTACACAGCTGCATCCTATAGATCCGTGATGACCTTACCCAGCTCCAGCAAAGATGCTCCATTTCTCAGAGAAGATGCACTCACGGGCCAGGCACGGTGGCTCATGCCCATAATCCCAGCATTTTGGGAGGACAAGACAGGAGAATCACTTGAGCCCAGGAGTTCAGTAGGGAGACGCTATCTCTACAAAAAATACAAAAATTAGCCAAGCATGCTAGTGTACACCTGTAGTCCCAGCTACTCGGGAGGCTGAGGCAGGAGGATCTATTAAGCCCAGGAGGTCAGGGCTGCAGTGACCCAGGATTGTGCAGCTGCACTCCAGTAGCCTGGGTAACACAGCAATACCCTGTCTCTGGAAAAAAAAAAAAAAAAGATACACTTGGGGAGAACACTCTGTTAAATTCGTGGTTCTCCAATAATGCCACAATGCATCAATGCACATGGTTTTTGCAGGGGCCACACTGGTGTGCTCAATAGAGTTATGACAAAGACCCTCCTTCTGCATTCTTTTTTTTTTTTTTTTGAGACGGAGTCTCGCTCTGTCGCCCAGTCTAGAGTACAGTGGCGCGATCTTGGCTCACTGCAAGCTCCGCCTCCCAGGTTCACGCCATTCTCCTGCCTCAGCCTCCCAAGTAGCTGGGACTACAGGTGCCCGCCACCACGCCCAGCTAATTTTTTTGTATTTTTAGTAGAGACAGGGTTTCACCGTGTTAGCCAGGATGATCTTGATCTCATGATCTGCCCGCCTCGGCCTCCCAAAGAGCTGGGATTACAGGCGTGAGCCACGGTGCCCAGCCTCTTCTGCATTCTTAAGTCTCTGAAGATGGCACTAATCTCTGTCCTTCCTCCACAAATGCAATATTGACTGTGTCGTATTCTGGGGCAGTGGGGAGGGGGATGCAGGAGAAAGGCAGTTTCAGGGGCTTCCATCGGGCCTAACGCTACAGCTCACACGCTATAGGTCAAGGAACCAACATGAAGGTTCTCCCACCTGCCAGGAATTTCTACTCCATTTACACATTCAGGAGCTGGGGGAATGACCACATGGTACGTCTCTGGACACACCGGAGGCCTATTGTGAGATGGACCTAGGCCAGGACTCCATTTATTACCTGGTTCCTATTACATCTTTACTCTATGGTTAACATGACAGCCTTTGGGTCCCTGGGTGTCAATGTCAATCTGAACCCTATATCCAAAAGTCCCTGAAAGATCTGGGAAACCCCCTTGTGGCAGCCCTGGAGATGCCACTCAGCACC
The DNA here is from genome assembly GCF_000001405.40 of Homo sapiens. Taxonomy (NCBI): domain Eukaryota; kingdom Metazoa; phylum Chordata; class Mammalia; order Primates; family Hominidae; genus Homo; species Homo sapiens. The sequence continues at coordinate 64,453,787 of NC_000011.10, read as the reverse complement.
CCCTTGCCACAGGGCAGTGAGCTGACAGCCTCCACAATGGGTGACAGTGTTTGAGCCAAGGTCATGCTGCCCCAGGCAGCTCCCAGCCAGTGCCTACCTGCAGCAGGGGTAGGAGACCCTGGCATTCCTTCCCAACGTGGGACTCCTCTTTGAGCAATCTTGGTTCCAGAGCCCCTGCTGGGCTGGCCAGACTCCCTCCAAGCTGCACTGCAGTCCAAGGCTTTTCCTACCCAATCCTCCTTCCTTCCTCATCTCCTCTCACAGGTGTCAGACCCTCCTCAGAGCCTGAAAGTCCCCAGCCCCCTCCTGCCCCCTCCTTTACCTGTCACAGGTACTACCTCCATAAATCCCCTGCTTTTCTAACTCCATCCACCCAATTCCCACAGGACCAGAGCTGGCCATGCCCTCTTCCCAGTGTACGGCTGCTGGAGAAAATGGCTAAGTTCCCTGTTATGTGTTGGATCATGCCTCCACCATTCCCCCGGTACTGGGGAAATCCTGATCCCCAGGACCGTGAATGAGACCTTATTTGGAAATAGAGTCTTTGCAGATGATCAAGCTAAGATGAGGTTATTAGGATAGGCCCTAATTCATTACGACTGTGTCCTTATAAAAAGGGGAAATTGGAGGTGGGAGGATCCCTTGAGGCCAGGAGTTTGAGACCAGCCTGGGCAACACAGCAAGACCCCATCTCTAAAAATTTCTAAAATTAGGCTGTCGTGGTGGTGCACAACTATAGTCCAGCTATTCAGCAGGCTGAGACGGGAGGATCGCTTGAGCCCAGGAAGTCGAGGCTGCAGTAAGCCATGATCGTGCCACTGCACTCCATCCTGGAGTGTAGACAGAGTGAGACCCTGTCTCAAAAAACAAAAAATGGGTGGGGCAAGGAGAGAATTTGGACGCAGAGACAAGTAAGCACATGGGCAGAACATCACGGGAAGATGAAGGCAGAGGTCGGGGTGATGCATCTCTAAACCAGGGAGCGCCTAAGACTGCCAGGGAGCTAGAAGAGAGGCAGCGCAGACACCCCTCACGGCCCTCGGAGGGAGCCAGCCCTGCTGATGCCTCAATTTTGGACTTCCAGTCTCCAGAACTGTGGGAGACAATGCATTTTTTTTTTTTTTTTTGAGACAGAGCCTCGGTCTGTCGCCCAGGCTGGAGTGCAGTGGCACGATCTTGGCTCACCACAAGATCTGCCTTCCAGGTTCACACCATTCTCCTGCCTCAGCCTCCTGAGTAGCTGGTACTGCAGGCGCCCACCACCACGCCTGGCTAATTTTTTTTTTTTTTGTATTTTTAGTAGAGACGGGGTTTCACCGTGTTAGCCAGGATGGTCTCGATCTCCTGACCTTGTGATCCGCCCACCTTGGCCTCCCAAAGTGCTGGATTACAGGCGTGAGCCACCGTGCCTGGCCAGGACAATGCATTTCTATTGTTTAAGCCACCCAGTCTGGGGCAGGTTTTTACAGCAGCCCCAGGAAACCGATACAGTCCTGGGGGATGGTATGGCTGCGGGGTCCTTCCTCTTGGGACCTGCCCCTCTTCCACTGATGGATTCTGAGATTGAGAACAAGTTCAGATTTGGAAACAGCAGGGGATCATTCCTTTCTGTTGGGGCATCCGGCCTTGGACTTCTGCTCATCGATTCTTGGTTGCTTTTCATTCTATTTGTTGAACAAAATCCTTGCCGGCTGCCTAGACACCTTCCCCCTGGAAATGCTATGTCCTATGAGCCATCTCCATAGGCTGGGCAGGGCAGGCTCCCCCGCGGCTGTCCCAACCCTGCTGTCCATTCTGATCCTCTCACCCCCTTGCTTGTGACAGACAGTTAAGTGCTGCCCTTTGACCTGTGCTACTCGGGAATCCAGTTGTCCCTGTGGCTATGGGAGAGCTCAGATCCATGGCAGCCCACCCCTGCCAGGCCCGGGCAACCCTCACAGGGCTGCTCAGCAACGCCAATGTCTCCTCGACAGCTCAGGCCTTATCATTTGGGTAAAGAGCTGGAACCTTCCAAAGAACATGGCCAGCTGGTGGGTTTTCCACCCTGTTTCGTGGTGAACAGGTCTGTGCAAATCTACCTGCAAAGGCCGAGGGAGCTGAGAGGCTGAAGAAAGAGGCTGACAAATCCAGTTTCTTGTAAAGAAATATTTAATAGGGACTTAGGAGCAGAAGCGATGTTCCGGGCTGCCACAAAATGGTAGATCCCCACATCTGCCCTGCAGAAAGTACTTTTATGTAGCAAGCTTTTAGGGTAAAACATGTGCAGGTGGCCATATCTCCGATTTTAATGCAAAACTCATAGCCACTTGGGGAGGGGGTTAGCTAAGCATCTTTACAAAGGGTTATGTATGGTACAGGCATTGTTTAAAGAGCTTACTGCAGAGCAGCTTGGTATATGGGGGTGAAACATTCATCATCATATGGCGGTTTTAAGATGGCATCACTCTTGTCACACTGTTTTCCTGTACAACCTACAATAGAAGAGCCATTCTGGCGTGTCCACTTCTCTGAGACTTTGCATACCTTCCTCCAGGGCTGTTCTGACATCTCCACTTCATCGCCTATGCACTATCACTTCTTCCAAGCTTTCAAGAACTGCCTCAAGTGCTGGGCACTGTGGCTCACACCTGTAATCCCAGCACTTTGGGAGGCCAAGGTGGACAGATCACTTGAGGTCAAGAGTTCGAGACCAGCCTGGCCAACATGGCAAAATCCCATCTCCACTAAAAAAAAAAAAAACAATACATTATCTGGGCATGGTGGTGCATGCCTGTAATCCCAGGTACTCGGGAGGCTGAGACAGGAGGATCGCTTGAACCTGGGAAGTGGAGGTTGCAGAGCCAAGATCGCACCACTGTACTCCAGCCTGGGCGACAGAGAGAAATTCTGTCTCAAAAAAAAAGAACCCTCCCAAGCAACATATTAGAATCTTCCCAGGGCCTTTTTAGGGGTTAGGGAGTCTTTCTGTACTAATTAACTCTCCAGTCTCCAGCTACTATGCAGCCTCCCTTGATCTAGAACCTTCAGAGTCCACATCTAGGAACATTCTCTAGACCCGGCTGGTCCCTGCTGGCTTGCTCCCACCACTCCTCTGCTTGTTAATCCCTCTTGGTCCCTGGCATGCAAAGCACATCCTTGGTCAGGTCATGCTGAGATATGATCCAGCTTTGAGCCTGGTGGTCAGGAGGGGAGGTGGGGACAGATGCTGGAGAGAGGAACTCCTTATCTTGTAAGGTCCCTTCCCTTAGTTTCTGCATGGTCTTTAAGCAAAAGAGGACCTCTGTCTTCCAACAGAGGCAATGGGTCACTTCTGCAGGCCAGGAGGTACAGGAGAATCTGGGGGTTCAATGTCTCAAGAGTGTCTCCTCAGATAGTCCATCTCAGATATCAGGGACCCCACCCTTCCCTTTGGGGCCCTGACTTTGGAGAAGGGACTTCCCTGGGCTGGAAATTTGGCCTTCTCTGGAGTCCTGCACCTTGTCTTCTGCCCTCTGACCCCTGGCTATAGAAGAGAAGCATTTCGTTAAATTCTGCCAAGGAATCCTGACTTTGCTTTAAATTGGTGATGCGTGGCCCTGAACTTGTCATTTTCCCTCTTCTAAGTGTCAGTAGTATTCAGTGACAGCCTCCCCACTCCACGTCCTTCTCACGGCTATTTTCCCATCTGTCTCTCAACATCAGTGATATTAAACGAGCCGGGCATCCCCGTCCACCTGAGTCCTGTCCCAGGTGACCACAGGCGGAGGCCTGAGCAGCTGCTCTGCCACCTCGTGCCAGGGGCCTCCGCAACGGGCTCCAGTCACCAGGGGCCAGCGGGGCATCCTCCTGCAGCATCCCGTCCTTGGGGCCAGCTTCCTGGGGCCCCTCCTGCTGTTCCCTGCCTTCAGCTGTCTGAAAACAGAGCCCAAGACAGGGATTTACTAGGGGAGGGCTCATCCTGGGACAAGCCGCCCAGGATGTGAGGGCAGAGGGGCGGGGAAGGAGAAAGGACTCGGTAAAGGCGTGGTCCCAGGGTAAATACAGCTCTGGCAGATATGCAGGGGGCCCTGGGGCAGAGGTATCGCCATCTAGAGGCAGGCGAGGGAACAGTCTTTTGTACAGTTAGCCGTGGGCTGTGGGCGTCGCCTGAACGTACCAGGTATTGTGGCTCCATTGGCTGAGGATGCTTCTCCAGCGAAGGAGGCAGGGAGCCGGGGAAGTGGGGTGGGGTCGCGACACCGACAGCAGCTGCCAGACCAGCCATGCTGCGCTCAGCTCCCTCAGGCTGTCACTCTTAATCATCATGTCACTATCTCTGGGGCGTGTCAGTCACCATCAACGACGTGTCCCCCAAGCTGCAGAGGACGCAAATCCAGCTCTCCAAGAGGCTCTGTTGGCCCTCTCCACATGGGCTTGAGGTCAGGGGTGGGGGCACGTTCGGACCGCCCTCCTGCCTCTCTGAAGAAGATCCTCCAAGTCCCGGCTCCAGCTCTCCGGCCTCTTTGGCAGCTGGGCGGGTGGCCATCCAGGAGGCCCGTTCTCCATGCCCAGTTTGGCAAGGCTCCTTGGGACGCCGGGCTCGCTGCCCCTGTTTTCTTAAAGCTTCGGCCCAAAGGGACCCAGAGTCTGAGGTTAACACTCCGTCATCCCAGCGTGAGCGGCGCCTGACTCCAGCTCTCGACTCCCCCACCTCCTATCCCCTGCGCCGGGCTCACCCTGCACTCCCACCTGCAAATCAGCAGAGCAGAGGCCAGCGCTCCCGACGTCCAGCACCACCCCAAGCGAGGCAGGGGGAGCTGAGTGGCCGGGAGCGCCATCTAGTGGGTGCCAGGGGCGAGTCCCCGAAAGAGACTGGAGAGCCACGACTCGGGCAGGGCAGGATGGTGTCCCAGGGAGGGCCGGGGCCCAGGCGCTGGACAGCAGAGGACATAAAGGGAGAGGCATGGGAGAGCGAGGAGCCAGGGTGCTTCCGGGGCGCATGAGCCCCACCCCAGCCTGCCCCTGCCCTCGTAACCAGATGACTCGGCTCAGGCAGGACACACCACGTCCAGTCTCTGTCCCCTCTCCAGACTCTTGGGAAAGTGTCACTTAAAATCCATTTGGGTCTGGTGTTTGCTTTATTCCAAGGAAAGGGGTAAGGAAAAATTCAGAAAAGGGGCGAGGGTCTCCCCTCTCCACAGTGGCAGTCAGGGGAATAGTGACATTCACCCCCTCCCCCAACCTGGTCTTGAACGTGGCAGGGAAGAGAACTGAGCCACCTGTCACCCAGAGGGGGAGGGGGAAGGTCAGAACTCCAGCCTTCCCACAGCAGACACGCCTGCGGGGCAGGAAGCAGGCAGGCTCCACGCAGTGTAGACATGTGCACTCACACGGATGTTAACAGTCTGGAAGAAACTGACCTGGCTGTGAATAGAGGCTCTCTCATGGGGAAGGGGCAGAAGATGGAGCTTTCACTTCTCCATTTATACACTTCTCCAAAATGTGGTGGGACCATGAGGAAACTGCACTTTCAGTTTTGATCTCTTTTTGTATTTTTTCAGTTAAAATGCAATTGGGAACAATGGGGTGTTAAGTGCCTCAGTGTGGAAGGCTGCGGCATCACCATTGAAATGCTGTATCAGACCTGGATTGGATCCACCCTCGACTCAGGGCTGTGCAAACTGGGACCCAGATCCCGCGCTGTGGGAACGGAGCCCTGCTCCGCTGTTTACATGTTGTCTCTGGCTGCGGCCTCGCTGTGACAGCAGAGTTGAGGAATTGCCACAGAGACTGTTATAGCCCACAAAGCCCAAAATATTTACTCGCTGGCTCTTTATGGAAAAAGTTTGCCAACTATCAAATTACAAGAAATACAGGGACTGGGGAGCCTGCTCAACAAAGCTAAGGGGACGTGACCAGCAAAATCCAGACTGCAGGCAACCATAGGACAAAGCGCCAGTTTCTTCAATACGTAATTTGCAACAGCAACCTGCTTACTAGAGGCCAGGAAGGGGAGGGGGAAAGGAGGGGATGAAGAAAGGTTGATGAGTGGGTACAAATACACACTTACATAGACGAAATAACATCTGGTGTTCAATAGATCAGTAGGGTGACATTAATCGATTGTACACTTCAAAATTGCTAGAAAAGAATAATCCTAATGTTCCTGGCACAAGGAAAAGATAAATATTTAAGATGATGGACATCCCAATTACCCTGATTTGATTATAGGAATGTATCCAATTATCATGCACATCCCGAAACTAGATACAGCTAGTGTATTTCAACTTTTATAAAGAAAAGAAAAAAACGGGCGGGGTGCAGTGGCTCGCGCCTGTAATCCCAGCATTTTGGGAGGCTGAGGTGGGCAGATCACTTGAGGTCAGGAGTTCCAGACCTGCCTGGCCAACATGGTGAAACCCCTTCTGTACTAAAAATACAAAAATTAGCCAGATGTGGTGGTGTGCACCTGTAATCCCAGCTGCTCCGGAGGCTGAGGCAGGAGAATCGCTTGAACCCGGGAGGCAGAGGTTGCAGTGAGCAAGACTCCATCTGAAAAGAAAAGAAAAGAAATGAAAAGAAAAGACAGAGGGGGCCCATAGATTTAAAAGAGGCTGAGCAGTGACAGATAATAGAAGTGTGGATGGTAAGAAAATAAAGTCTCATTTTTCATGGTAGCAAGTGAGATCTCAAATCCGAGATCAGAAAGTGAAGAAAATCAGGAATTAAGAGTAGAAGCCATTTCACTTAGAAATGAAGGTTTAAGAAAAAGATGAGGCCGGGCGCAGTGGCTCACGCCTGTTATCCCAGCACTTTGGGAGGCCGGGGCAGGTGGATCACCTGAGGTTGGGAATTCAAGACCAGTCTGACCAACATGGTGAAATTCCATCTCTACTAAAAATACAAAAATTAGCCGGGCGTGGTGGTGTATGCCTGTAGTCCCAGCTACTCAGGAGGCTGAGGCAGGAGAATCACCTGAACTCGGCAGGCGGAGGTTGCAGTGAGCCAAGATCGCACCATTGCACTCCATCCTGGGCAACAAAAGCAAAACTCCATCTCGAAAAAAAAAAGAAGAAAGAAAGAAAAAGATGAAACATCTACTCAAAAACTGAAAGTGGGTGCCCCTAATGAGGGAGTTTTGGGAATCAGAGAAATGGAGCAGAGAACTCTTTTTTATTTATATAATTTTAAGCCTAGTAGTAGTGTTTGAATTTTTTAATTTTGTATACGTTTAAACAAAATATTTAAATATTAATATTTGAATCCAATAACAACTTAAGTTTTTTAACTTAATTAAATATATTTATAATCTTGGATTAAGGAAAGCCTTTTTAAACATGACCTGAGGCTGGGTACTTTGGAAGGCCAAGGTGGGCGGATCACTTGAGGTCATAAGTCGAGACCAGCCTGGCCAACCAACGTGGTGAAACCCCATCTCTATTAAAAATACAAAAATTAGCCAGATGTAGTGGTGGTCGTCTGTAATCCCACCTACTCAGGAGGCTGAGGCAGGAGAATCACTTCAACCCAGGAGGCAGTGAGCTGTGATTGTACCACTGCACTCCAGCCTAGGCGAAAAAGCAAGACTCTGTCTCAAAATAAATAAATAAATAAAAATAAATAAATAAACCTGACCTGAAAACCAGAAACTAAATGGTTGATCTATGCGGCTGCATGAGAATCTCAAACTTCTCTCTGAGAAAGCTATTATATATTATATATATAATATATATAACTATACAACTATACACACACACACACACACACACACACACACATATATATATATGTATGGTTGAAAGACTACTGACAACTGGAAAAAAGATTTGTAACAGATAATACAGATGGAGGGTTAATATGATAGTTTTTTCTCGCAAGCAACAGAAACTGACCTTAGCTGATTTAAGCAGAAAAGGGATGAGTATCAAGTACCACCACAGACTTTCTGGGTGGGCTGGAGAACCAGGCTTGCAGGCCTCCCAGACAGGAACAGAAACTGTGCTCCAGCTGGTCAAGTAAAGACACCATGGCTACCTTTTTACTGGGTCCTGCGCACTGCCACGGATCAGCTGCCATTGCTTTCACTCTCTCTGGAATCAAGTCTGCACGGCTTCTGCTACCTCTGGCCATTAGCTTTTAATCCCATTCCTGAGGCAAGAGCCTCTGAATGACAGATCCTCAATCATAAGCCTGCAGCCTGCAAGGGAGGCTGGGAAAGTGGGCCCCTGGCGTCTTCTGCTTCCATAGCAGAAGTCAATGGATACCCCAAACATGGCAGACAAACAGGCAAAGGACATGAAGAGGCAATTGACAAAACAAGTGTGGAATTAGCCAATAATATATAAAAAGCTGTTCAGCCTCACTAATATGGCAGCTGCTTGTGGTTGCTTACCCGGAATCAGTTCCCACCTTCTTCCTGCTGGCAAACCTTGATATGGTTTGGATACCAATCCCACCCACCAGTGACTCAGTGGGGAGCATGCACCCAGTTGCCATCAATGAGCTGGCTAGGCAGGTCTGCCAGGGGGCTTCCAGGAAAGACTTCTGTATTAGTCAGCATAGGTTAGCTGCCGTAACAAGCATGCTCCAAACCTGTAGTTTAACACAAGTTTATCTCTTGCTCATGCAAGTTGAATATGAATGTCCTTGGTTGGGTGCTTCTCCCATGCAGTTCTCTGGCATTGCAGTGACTTTGAAACCTGAGATCCCTCCATCGTGGAGCCCTGCCATCCTCAACATGTGGCCTTCCAGATCACAGCACATAGGAATGCCACGGAAGGAGCACATGTTCCTTCTGCCCACATTTGATTGGCTAGAACAGGTCACATGGCCACAGGGACCTAGCCAGCTGCAGGAGAAGCTGGGAACTGTAGTTTGTGTGTCAGGAAGAAAATGAACCAGATTTAGCCAGGCAAGGTGGCTCACACCTGTAATCCCAACATTGTGGGTGACTGAGACAGGAGGATCACTTGAACCCAGGGGTTCAAGACCAGCTTGGGAAACACAGCAAGACCCCATCTCTATTAAAAAAAAAAATCAAAAGATTAGCCAGGCATGATGGAGTGCACCTGTAGTCCCAGCCACTCAGGTGGCAGAGGCAGCATCCAGCTTCATCTGCTGGGTTAAGCCATGCAGTCCTGGAGCCCACGGTTGTGGCAGCTGCATTCTGACCCCTGCGTCCAGCAGGGATGGTGTGGCCCTGGGCCAGCCTCTGGGACGGTGGTGGGCTGAGTCCCCAGGTTCCCGGCTGTGCCAGAAATAGCGATTCCCTTTCAAGCCCAGCTGAGGTGGGAGGATGGCTTGAGCCCAGGAGGTCGAGGCCGTAGTGAACCAAGATCATGCCACTGCACTCCAGCCTAGGCGACAGAGTGAGACCCTATCTCAAAAAAAACAAAAACAAGAGAAGAAAGAGAAGAAAGGAAGGAAGGAAGGAAGGAAGGAAGGAAGGAAGGAAGGAAGGAAGGAAGGAAGGAAGAGAGGGAGTGAGGAAGGAAGGGAGGGAGGGAGGAAGGGAGCAAAGAAGGAAGGAAGGAAGGAAGGAAAGAAAGAAAGAAAGAAAGAAAGAAAAGAAAAGAAAGAAAGAAAGAAAAAGAAAGAGAAAGAAAGAAAAAGAAAGAGAAAGAAAGAAAGAAAGAAAGAAAGAAAGAAAGAAAGAAAGAAAGAAAGAAAGAAAGAAAGAAAATGGGTCAGGTTTAGTGGACACTGAGCGCTGTCCACAGTTCCCCTCTGGTAAGCACATATCCATTTGGCTCTTCCTCCCACATAAAGGACCCACTCCTTGACTGGGGCCTGATCTTCCTCTCTAAGCAGAACTTTTCTTCGCTCTCTGCGCCCCACTGGCTCTTTCTGCATCAACCAACTAGGCCACATCTGATACGGGCATTGGGGTCATGGCTTCTTTGGGGTCCGTATAGCTTTTGCCACTGGACTTCTGCTCCTACAGCCAAGACCTGAGAGTACAAACGGTCCTCCCAAGGCACATCTCGGTGAAGGGTCCCAGTGTGGCCAAGTGGGTCGCCCCCTGCCCATGTCTTCTACTCCCTGTAGGTTTGAGCCAGCTGTGAGGCTTCTGTCACTCCACCTGCAGAGATGCCAAGGAAATCGTTGCTTTCGGCAGGTGGCAAAGGAACCACCTGGCCGGACCAGGGCCTCCTCTGCACACAACACACAGCAAGGCTCCTGAGAGCTCAGCACACACACGATTTCCAGAATTAAAAAATCAATCCAGGACATGAAGGGAGGAAAGATCCGCTAGAAAACAAAAGCTGCATTCTGGCAGATCAGATGGAAGAGCTCGCCCATGACGTCGGACACAAACACAGAGAAACGAAGGCAAGAATCAAAAGGTAAGAGGCTGAAGAATCAGATCTAGGACCCTAAATTGTAAGGAATAGCATTTCTAAAAGAAGAGAAAGGAACAAAAGGAGATATAGTAATTTAAGAAATAATAGAGTAGAAGAGAGACGTGAATCTTGTGACCTGAAAGGACTCTAGGCAGCCGTGATGAATAAAAAATACACACCTGGTGAGACGTCTGAGCTCCAGGATAAAGAGAAGTCTTTGGAGCTTCCAGCCAGAAAGGGCCCTGCGACAACAGACAGGCAGACTTCTCATTTGCATCCCTGGAAGTGAGAAGGGAGAGAACCAATCTGCCAACTAGTGAGAAAAGGCAGCAGACCAGGAAAAGAAACCAAGGGAAGCAGACCAGAAAACCCTCTAACAAGTTGAAAATCAAATTGGAACAAAAGTCTCAAAAGAGTGGAAGACAGAACACAGGAAATAGCAGCCAGCGCCAAAGTGTGTTTGATTACATTTCAATGGATGACAATATGCCCGAGAAATATCATGTAATTAAAGGAGGGATGATTGAAAGGCGGGAAACATACTATAAGACAAAATGTATGGCCAGGTGTGGTGGTTCACGCCTGTAATTCCAACACTCTGGGAGGCCGAGGTGGGAGGATCACCTGAGGTCAGGAGTTCAAGACTAGCCCGGCCAACATGGTGAAACCCCATCTCTACCAAAAATACAAAAATTAGCCGGGCGTGGTGGCAGACACCTGTAATCCCAGCTACTCAGGAGGCTGAGGCAGGAGAATCTCTTGAACCCGGGAGGTGGAGGTGGCAGTGAGCTGAGATTGCACCACTGCACTCCAGCCTGGGCGACAGAGCAAGACTCCATCTGAAAAAACAAAAAGAAGAGAAAATATAATAATAAATGGGCTGAGACTGGAACTAAACATTCTCAGTGCATCTGCAAAACTCAGACGTCGAGTTGGGGGCAGCAGTAAGGGAGCGAGGGAAGGGAAGTAAAAGTTCTAGGCTTCTCTTTTGAGGTAGTGTAGGCAGAGCGGCCAAGTGAAACCTTAGGGGGTTGGGTAGTTTTCATAGTTAACTTGGATTAGTAAGAGAGAATTCGAGGTTTAAACAAGGTTATTTAAAAGATGCAAATGTGGAGGATGGTGAGGATCCAAGGTCCCAGGGCAGAGGCAGCATCCAGCTTCATCTGCTGGGTTAAGCCACGCAGTCCTGGAGCCCACGGTTGTGGCAGCTGCGTTCTGACCCCTGCGTCCAGCAGGGATGGTGTGGTCCTTGGCCAGCCTCTGGGACAGTGGTGGGCTGAGTCCCCAGGTTCCCAGCTGTGCCAGAAATAGCAATTCCCTTTCAGGCCAGTTCTGAGGTGGCAGTCAGTCACTCCTGAAAGCTCATCGCCAAACCTCCTCCTCCAGTTGTTCTAAGCATCGTGTAAGCACCCAGTTCCTTGGATGACTCTCTCGCTGCTTCAACTGGGTGATTTCTGTTACAAATAGTAACCATAAAATAAGATGAAAAGGATAAAAACAAATATATCAATTGTCACAATAAATGTGAATGTACTAAATTCCCCTTTTAACTTGGAAGTTCAAATTGGGGAAGAAAGAAGGAAGGAAAGAAAGAGAGGGAAGGAGAGAAGAAGGAAGGGAGGGAGGGAAGGAGGGAAGAAGAGAGGGAGGGAGGGACGGATCGAAAAAATCTCATTATATACCACTACTTTGGGAAACCATTTTCTCTCTCTATCTACTAAAGCTAGACATACGTCCACCCTATGATCCAGCATTTCCACTCCTAGGCAAATATCCAAGAGAAATGAGTGCGTATTTCCCACCAAAAGACATGTGCAAGAATGTTCATAGCAGTGTTACTTAATATAGCCCCAAACTAGAAACCACCCAAATGTCCATCAATGGTAGAATGGATACATAATGATATATTCATGCAATGGACTACTACAGAACCAGGAAAAAAGAGCAAACTGCTGCTACACGCAGTAATACGGAGGATTCTCACTAACAGTAGAAGAAAACAGGCAGACACGAAAGAGCATATCCTGTGGGATTCGGTGGTGATGAAGTTCCAGAACAGACAGTAGAACACACAATGGCAACAGAAGTCAGAATGGAGCTTCCCTCCGGGAGGGGCATGAGGGGCCTCCCCGGGGATGAGGCACGTCCTAGGCCTTGATGCGGGTGTTGGCTGCATGGGCATGGGTGTGGTCACCCGCAATCAAGTTGTCCTATTAAGAGCAATGCATTTTGCACACTGTTGTACCTCAATAAACGTTTCATTCCAGTCATGCTATTTATAGAAAGATAAATCTAAAACAAAATGAAAGGAAATACTGAAAAGGAACTGACTTGCTGGGGAAAAAAAGAAACCCCCGAAGGAATACATTTCAAGACCGAATATAAACTCCTTTTGTTAACCTGCTCTTTTTCTGCTCTCTGTGGGAGTCAGCAGTGCTTCCTGGGGGCAAGAAAGGGACATCAAAGCCCCCCAGGCCTCCACCCCCAGCCTCCTCCCTGCCTCAACCCAGAGAAAATCTGCTTCCCTCACTCCTGGATAGAAGACAGTCTACATTCCTCCATCGAACACTGAGTAAGCACCTACTGCATGCACCACACTGCCCTGCTAGGCCCTTCTCCCCACTCCCTACCCCTATGCACAGAAATGCTGGCTCGAATTCTTGCTAATATGTCACTTGGGCTGCTGGAACCTCTCCCCCAGAGATGGCTCTCAACAGGGTCCCAGGCCATTCAGGAAGGGTCCTGTCCCCATGAGTCAGCCACTGCAAAAAGGCACTCACCTAAAACTGTTTCCGTCCCTGTGGGCTCGGCGGGGCGGGGCTGAAGTCCTAACTCACCACCTCCTACGGCGTCCACACCCTTGCTGTGGCCTTGTCATGGGCAATGGGTACTTCCCTGCTCCTTGACTTTGAGGTTGTCCATGGGATTTGCTTTGGCCAATGGCACATAAGCAAAAGTGACCACCTGCCAGGTGCCAAGAAGCCTTGTATGTTCTGCTCTGAAAGAAGCATGTCCCAGCTGAGCCACTCATGCAAGGAGGATGAGAGACTCGTGGAGCTGCACTGCCCCACTGAGCCACAGACCAGCAGGGAAAAGTGGAGCTGCCTGAGCTGCCCCAGCCAGAAGCCCGCACCAGCCAAGCTCCAACCAATCCACAAAATCATGAGAACAAATCACCATTGTTCTAAGCCACTGAGTTTGGGGACCATTTGTTACATGACACTATTGTCCAGTAGCTAACTGATACATCCCATCACCTGAGAAATGTGTGATCAGGACCACATGAGGGGCACAACACCATGACAACCATTCAGAGGAGGGGGAGATCAATGTGGAAGAATCAAGAAGCTTCCTGAGCCACACACAGTGGCTCACGCCTGTAATCCCAACACTTTGGGAAGCCAAGGCAGGCAGATCACTTGAGCCCAGGAGTTCAAGACCAGCCTGGGCAACATAGTGAGACCCCAACTTTACAAAAAAAAAAATACTAAAAATTAGCCAGGCATGGTGGTGCATGCCTATAGTCCCAGCTACTCAGGAGGCTGAGATGGGAGGATCGCTTGAGCCCAGGAGCTCGAGGCTACAGTGAGCCGAGATTGCACCATTGCACTCCAGCCTGGGCAACAGAGCAAGACCCCATCTCGAAAAATTTTTTTAAAATTTAAAACAGGAGGCCTCCTGTTGCATGTCAGGTGCTGTGTAAGAGGCTCGTGCTTATTTGCATCAGCATCCCTGTGGTTAAGTGCCACTGCACTGGCCCCACTGAGGCTCCTTATCCCTACACGGCAGCTGGAGCTCAGCCGTCCTCGCCCAGTACCCAGGCACTCTCCGTCCAGCTGACTGCACCCTGCCCCTCCCTCCTGGCCCAGGCCTCTCCTCTGCACACCTGCCTGGCCCTTTCCAGCACTGCAGTTTGAGACCCCTGCTCTTCAGGGTCCCCGAGTCTCCCCAGCTCTGCGGGGAGTGGCTGTCTGTCCCTTTCAGGGAGGACGGTTTTGGTGCTGGAGAATTCACAGCTTCCCAAGGCTGTCCACCCACATTCCAGAGAGACAGGATCACTGAAACCATGGAACAGGTGAAATTGCCGAGGAAGCCCCTGGAGGCAAAAGAGCCAAGGACAGAACCTACGGGGAGACATCAAGGGGAGGAAGTGAGCCCCAGCCCCCAGGAGAGAGAGAAAACGTCTCAGAGGCCATGAAGAGGCCGTTTCCAGATGCTGCCGAGGGAGCAGAAGAGGAGCCTCCCCCCAGCGCTGGGCAGCGAGAGGGCGACGTGACCTTTGAGAATTCTGCTTCCCCAGCACAACCGGGCGAGAAGCTGGCTCCAAAGGGCTTTCTTCAAAGACTAGTACAAGCCCCTGAGGGCTCCGCTGATTGGACACGTTTCCCAGCCTGGTCCAAGGCCGCTGATGGTGTGCGCCCTCCCAGACAATACCAAAAGCATGGTCTCCATTCTCTCCAGAAAAATTGGGCTAAAATTGTACTGTTTCCTCTTTTTTCCCCTAGGTCACTGTATTCTGCTTCACTCCACATTCTTCTGTACAAAAGAGACCAAAGCTTATGAATAGGGTTGGGAGATGTCCCAAGGAAAAAAAAATTCAAAGCGCTTTGGTTTCTCTAGCTGTGGAATGGTCGCCCCTGGCTACCTGGGTCCATCAGTTCTTTTCTGGGAAAGTCCCAGGGGAATTGGCCAAAATCCTGCTCAGACCCATCCAGTCCCACCTCTGCCCCAGATACCAGAGTCCCTGGGGCAGCGGGGACATCAGTGGACTCATATTGCCCAATCCAGCTACTGTGCAGAGCCAGATTTGTGTTCCAGAAGTTGTTAAAATATCCTCAGAAAACAACAAAGGTGGCCGGGGGCATGGTGGCTCACGCCTGTAATCCCAGCACTTTGGGAGGCCGAAAGGGTGGATCACTTGAGGCCAGGAGTTCCAGACCAGCCTGGCCAACATGGTGAAACCCCGTCTCTACTAAAAATACAAAAATTAGCTGGGCATGGTGGCACGTGCCTATAGTCCCAGCTACTTGGGAGACTGAGGCAAGAGAATTGCTTGAACCCAGGAGGCAGAGGTTGCAGTGAGCCTAGATCACACCACTGCACTCCAGCCTGGGTGACACAGTGAGACTCCCTCTCAAAAAAAAAAAAAAAAAAAAAAAGAAGAGGCTGGGTGTGGTGGCTCATGACTGTAATCCCAGCACTTTGGGAGGCCCAGGCAGGCAGATCACTTGAGGCCAGGAGTTCTAGACCAGCCTGGCCAACATGGTGAACCCCATCTCTACTAAAAATACAAAAATTAGCCGGGTGTGGTGGCGGGCACCTGTAATCCCAGCTACTCGGGAGAGTGAGGCAGGAGAATTGCTTGAACCCAGGAGGCAGAGGTTGCAGTGAGCCGAGATCGCACCACTGCACTCCAGCCTGGGCAAGAGAGCGAGGCTCCGTCTCAAAGAAAAAAAAAAAGAAAGAAAGAAAAAAGAAAAAAAGAAAACCACAAAGGAACTCCCATGTTGAGAAATTGCCCCTTCATAGCCTGTGGGTGTCCCTGGCCTCCCGCCTCTCGCTGTCTCCTCTCTCCTCTCTTTCCTCTCTTCTCTTTCCCATCCTTCTAACTTTATATCACAAAAGGGCAAAAACAGGGCTCATCTCTAAGGGCAGGGGAGACTGAGAAATGGACCCTTTTGGGGCAGCATCCCCTCGGGAGGCAGGAGGAAGGGGAAGGTCCACCCGGCAACACTCACAGGCTAGAGAATTTTGCTCTTTGACAAAAACAGCTCTGCTTGCTCCACAGTGGCCGGGGGCTGAAGGTCCTCACCTGGCATTTGTGTTGCCTTCTGTCAATCACCCCAGGGCCAGGGTGCAGCATTTAGGATGCTCTCAAGAATGCGGAAAAAATGTAACCAAAAAGTCCAGAGGTGAGGCATGATCAGGCATGTCATCCGCAGCCATGCTCTTTCTGTCTCTCTGCACTGTCCTCCTGCCGTCAGCCCTCTGTGGTTGTGCGGTGGCCACCAGCAGCAGCTGGCTGCCTGGCTCCTTTATCACAATTAGTGGGAGAGGGTCAGTGGTGTGTAGGTAAGCCAGCTCTCTGGGGTGGGGACGGGTGTGAGGAAAAGCTCTAATTTATAGCATGTGCCATTTTCTGTGGTATAAACACTCCCCATGGTTGATTTTTTTTTTTTGACTGGGTATTGCTCTGTTGCCCAGGCTAGAATGCAGTGGCACAATCTCAGCTCACTGCAACCTCCCCTCCCCATTTCCAGTGATTCTCCTGTCTCAGCCTCCCAAGTAGCTGGGATTACAGGCACCTGCCACCACATCCGGCTAATTTTTGTATTTTCAGTAGAGACAGAGTTTCACCATGTTGGCCAGGCTGGTCTCAAACTCCTGACCTCAGGTGATCTGCCAGCCTTAGCCTCCCAGCATGCTGGGATTATGGGTGTGAGCCACCGCGCACGGCCACCCCATGGCTGATTTCAAGCCACTAACCTGACTACACAGTTGGGAGGAGAGGCACACACTAGATGCCCACACAGCTCTGGCACAGAAACCCCATGGGACAGAGGACAGGATCACATGGATTGTTTAGACCCATCAGGGCCCATCCCTGGAGGCTGAGTCAATTCCCCCCAAACTATTTTAGCAAGGGCAGGGGGAGGGAGGAGAGGGTGTCAGGAGAGGCAGCAGTGAGGGTCGCAACCCGGCCCTCTCATCTTCCTTGCATTCCCTTCGCAACATTCCTGCCCAGACAGCCTCTTGCAGTTTCCAGCAACTACCCTAACACTGAGCCCAAAGAGCGACCCCACTCAGGGCAGTGGGCAGTGGCCGATTCCTGGCTTGGAGACAATGAACCATGAGGCTGACAGCCAAGGAGACCTCAGGGATAACCGGAATAGCAAAAGCCAGCATCCCATAGAAGGCCCCAGGAACCCCCTCCAGGGCCTTTTTCATGCCTGTGTGGTGGGCAGCCTGCCTGCCTGACAATAGCCACAGCCATTGCCTGATGCAGTCCCAGCCTGGCCACCCCCAGGCAAACAGGGGAGAGCCGGGGACACTCACTCTGCACCAGCTTGGGGTCTCTTGGTCCACTTCTAGAACCCACTGAGGGGGGAAGATGGTGCAAGTCTGGAGAGAACAGCCCTGCATCCCTGAGTACCTCTGTCCTAGTTCACAACCATGTTGTCAGATGACTCATTTTTCTTATAAGCTAAGTCCAGAGCTTTTGGAAGCCAGACAGAGAGCTTTGTAAGAGGTGGACACACCTGCCCGAAGTTGGAGTTTCCTGCACCTGCACCGAGGAGAGGATGGTGGATCTGAAAGGTGCCCCCTCCGCTGCCCGCTTCCTGGCCCAGAGCCATGTGGTAGGCTCTCAGTGATGCTTCCCACATCATCTGTGCAGAAAACCTGTTTCTCTTTGCTGCCAGCAAAGCTAATTGCTGAGTTAATTGGCAATGTGTTGTTAGGTGAAAAAGAGCAAGTTATAAAACTGTATTTATAGTTTGACATTATTCTCAAAGAAAAATATGTATGTATGTTCATGTGTGTTCTGCATGTGTGTGCATGCATGTGTTCATGTGTATATGTGCATGTGTGTGACGGAGGAGTGTCTCTCTGTGCGAATATAAATGGACATGGAAAACAAGAATAGAGGCCAGGCGCGGTGGCTCACACCTGTAATCCCAGCACTTTGGGAGGCCGAGGTGGGTGGATCACCTGAGGTCAGGAGTTCGAGATCAGCCTGGCCAACATGGTGAAACCCTGTCTCTACTAAAAATACAAAAATTAGCCGGATGTGGTGGCGGGTGCCTGTAATCCCAGCTACTCAGGAGGCTGAGCCAAGAGAAGCGCTTGAACTCAGGAGGAAGAGGTTGCAGTGAGTCAAGATCACACCACTGCACTCCAGCCTGGGTGACAGAGCGAGACTCCATCTCAAAAAGAAACAACAAAAAAAGAAAACAAGAATAGAACAGGACTGCTCACTGGGAACAGTTTTGCTCCCCACCCCAGGGGACATTTGGTAATGTCTGGAGACATTTCTGGCTGTCACAGCTCAGGGGGAATGTGCTTCTGGCATCTAGAGGGTAGAGGCTATGGACGTTGCTAACCACCCAGCAGTGTACAAGACAGCCCTGCAGCAGAGAACCCGCAGGCCCCAAGTGCCAATGGTGCTGAGGTTGACAGACCCTAATCTAAGCAGTTGTCCCAAAGAAAGGAATCACCCAGGAATCATTAAAAACATAAATCCTTAGCCCTTACCCAGGTCTACCGACTCAGACACTCAGGATGGGGCCAGGGAATCTGTGTCTTTAACAAGCCCTCCAGGTGAGTCTCACACGTGCTCCCGTCGGAGAGTCACTAGTCTAAGAATAGGCATCTTTTATCTCTGAATAGGGGCACAGTGACTTTTATGTTTTTCTTTTTCTCTATATTTTCTAACGTCTCTATTTTAGAAATCACGACATATTACCCTTGTGATCAGAGAAAATATAATCTAAGGTCTTAATGAATCCGTGATAGTGAAGTTTCCTTGTCAGTTGGGAAGAGAACAGAAGGTTCCCAGACCAGCATGTTAATCCTGGCTCCATTTAGGAAAACACCTACGTGACCTTGAATGGGCAAGGTGAGCGGAGCCTCAACTGCCTCACCTGTGAAATGGGGATTACAATGCTCCCTGCCTCGCAAGGTTCTTGGAGGGATGTGTTGAAATCCCAGACAAAAGCACCCAGTGCTGTTCTGAGTTCCTGAGAGGTGGCCAGTAGGTCCACCCAAGCCCACCTTGGGTGGAGGTGATCTTGCCCTGATGTGAGCCAGGCTCGGCATGGACAGGAACCTCCCGGGCCCACCCTGGACCCCTTTCCTTGTAACCAGAGCTCACACGGCACAATCATTGTAGGGAATGGTGTTCCCTCCCCACATTCGTAAGAGCTTGGTTTGCTTAAGCAACACCTCCTAAATGTTCACACGTGTCCAGCCATTGTTTCTGATGAGGGGGACACTATGTTTAGGGGTATTTCCTCCATGCATGCATTAAACCGGATGCTGTCAGATACTATTGCAGAACAAATAAAGTCTGTTCCACACTGGGGAGAATGCCAAAGACAGCACCAGCTCCACTGCCCAGGCAGTGACTGCACTGAGCACTTCTGTGAATGTGCAAGACTGACCACGTCTAGACCAGCCCCACCCAAAGCCAGTCCAGCCAATCAGAACTCAGATCTGCCTTGAGTGCCCCAGGGTGGGGTGGGGGGCAGGGGGCCCCACACACAATCAGGACTCAGGCACCAGCCTGGAGTAGGACTCCTCCATCCTTTATGTCTTATGGGTCACCCAACAAATCCAGGTGCACAGCTGGAGGTAAATAATAAAACAACAAGGAGTACTCATTGCCAGAGCAACTCCCAGCAAGACGGGGCTTGGCAAGGGCGAATGTCTGAATTGGTTCTGCAGTTAGATGGCAGGCGGCACTTTGCATGACCTTGGACAAGTGGCTCGACCTTGCTGGGCCTCCATCCCTACATCTGTGAAGCAGGTTGAAGGGCACGCCCATTCAGGGAGCTCTTACAAGGATCTGTGAGGTCACTGGCCTGCAGCGCTGAGTGGCCCTCGGTCTGTCCCACACATAGTAAGTGCTCATTAAATGGTGGCTCTCGGACGGGCGCAGTGGCTCATGCCTGTAATCCCAGCACTTTGGGAGGCTGAGGTGGGTGGATCACCTGAGGTCAGGAGTTCAAGACCAGCCTGGCCAACATGGTGAAACCCCATCTCTAGTAAAAATACAAAAATTAGCTGGGTGTGGTGGTGCATGCCTGTGGTCCCAGCTACTCAGGAGGCTGAGGTGGGAGAATCGCT
Source organism: Homo sapiens (assembly GCF_000001405.40). Lineage (NCBI taxonomy): Eukaryota > Metazoa > Chordata > Mammalia > Primates > Hominidae > Homo > Homo sapiens. The sequence goes on along the minus strand of NC_000011.10, from coordinate 64,433,640 downwards.
TGAACTCAGGAGGCGGAGGTGCAGTGAGCCAAGATCGTGCCACTGCACTCAAGCCTGGGCTTCAGAGCAAGACTTCATCTCAATCAATCAATCAATAAAAATAAATAAATAGTGGCTCTTAACTGCCCCTGGCAGCTCTCGCACCATGGCCAGGCTCACTCTGGAGTCACCTCTGATCACTGGACACAGGGTCATTGTTCATTTTTCTTCTGAAGGATTTGGAATTCAGGGCACCATCACCCCTGGGACAAGGCAGCGTCCTCAGATTCAATGTTCTCACAGATGAAGGCCCAGGACACGACTCTGAGCAAAGTCATCCTGTCCCTTGGAGCTCCTGGGAAGACAGCTTTGCATGCAGCCCTCAGCCCAGAACTAGGCACTCCTCATGGCCTGAGGAAGTTTGGGGTAAGTGGTCTGTCTTTGAGAGGAAGGGGTGAGGACCTACAGGCCCTGGAGAGGGAGCCAGCCTGAGGGTGGAAGCAGCCACCCCACAGGGTCTCACGCCCATTGCCTCCCCTAAGGACCCATTTTAGTGCCTGCCCAAGCATCTGAGCTGGCTTAGAAGGTGACAGCATCTGGCTTTTAGCAAGAGAAAGAAATAATGATCCTCAGAGGGCCTGATGATTACCTGGTGGTTTCCTTGGAAACCAAGTCTCCTATTCACCTTCCACCTCTTATCTGTCTTCCTCTTTCTCTCCTACCTTGATCTGGGCCAAGGATCCAAGAAGGGTCAGATCACCACTTTCAAAGGAGAGTGGGCCATCCATGAAAAGGAGAGAATCCCATAATTTCCCCATCTTTCATCTAGGGACCATATCTCAGGGTAACCAAGCAAATAAATGTGAGAGGAATGATGGAATTAGAAATTCATTTTTGTAACTTCTAATAAAGTGACTGATTCAGGCAATGGTTAAAACATGTAGGGGAAAAGTTGATTGGTGTTCCCAGTTAATAACAAGCCATCCCTAAATGTGGTAACTAATGACAACAATTTCATATTACCTCTCACATTCAGAGTTCACTGAATATGAGCTGACAGGGCTCAGCTGGGCAGATCTCACCTGGGGCCTCTCATACAGTTGGAGTCAAATGGCAGCTGGGACTGCGGTGATTTGAAAACTCAACTAGGCAGGATACCCAGGATGTCTTCAGCAGTCTGGTGTCTGGTGCCTTGGCTGAAACTGCAGGAGGCAGCAAGGGCTGGTGGGTCTCTCTCTCTCTGTCTGTCTCTCTTTAGGTGCCTCTCCCCATGGTTAGCTTGGGCTTCCTCACATCATGGTGGTCACAGAATAGTGTCACTCCTTCCATGGCAGCTAGCTTCCCCCAGAGTACATGTTCTGAAAGACCAGAGACTTTCAGAGGACAAGGCTTCTATGACCCAGCCTCAGATATCACACGAGTTCACTCCACCACACCCTAGTGGGCAAAAGCAAGTCAGCCAGCCAGCCGGGATTCAGCCCCGGGGAGGAGACTACCTAAGGGTGAGAACACTGGGAGGCACATTCGTTGGGGGCCATCTTTGAAGATGAGCTACCAGACAAGGAACTTTACCATGGACGGGTGGGGCTGTCACCCTCTGGACCCACAAGTCCTTTTGACCATCACGAAAAGAGAGACAAGCCGACCAGGCATGCCCCCGATAAGACAGTGAGAAGCACCCAGAACCACCTGTGGCCTGTTCTTGGGGAAAGAAAAGGTGAATCTCATTCTCATTGAGCCTCTAATGCTGACATCCATTTACAGGAAGCACAGGGGAGGTAGGTAGGTAAGTCCAACGCCATGAGGAAGCAGATAGAGGAGTCCAGGATGTGGAGCAAACCTAAGCAAAAATAGCCAGGTTTCTACAATAAGTCAATGTCATTAAATTTATAAGAGGAAGGGTGGGGATCAGCCCAAGACTGGAAGGTCCTTAAGAAACTTAAGGACCTGGGCAGGTGCAGTGGCTCACGCCTGTAATCCCAGCACTTTGGAGGCCAAGGCTAGAGGATCACTTGAGCCCAGCAGTTTGAGAACAGCCTGGGCAACATAGCAAGGGCCCATCCCTACAGAAAATTTTAAAATTCGCCAGGCGTGGCAGCACATGCCTGACTACAAGTCCCAGCTACTTGTGAGGCTGAGCGAGGAGGATCCCTTGAGCCTGGGAGTTGGAGGTGGCAGTGACCCATGATCGCGCCACTGCACTCCAGCCTAGGCGGACAGAGTGAGACCCTGTTTCCAATAAAATAAAATAAATAACAGACCTAAATGACCAAACACTGCACATGAGCCTTTTCTGAATCCAGATTCCAACAGTATAGAAAGCCCGTTTTAGGGCAAACAGGGACATTTGATTATGGACTGGGTATCAGACGGCCCCGAGGGGTTAATATTGACTTTCTCAGGTGTGGTCCTGGCTTCGTGGTTATGTAAGAAAATATCTTTTTTTCAGAGGAAGATACAAAGGTGAAGCCAGGTGATGGTTGAGATTTTATTTTAAATACTCCAGCAGAAAGAAAGAGAAGAAAGAAAGAGGAGATAGTGAAGCAATGTGGCCAAATCGTGCTGATTATCTAATCTGGGTGAGTGATGGGTATATGGGGCTTCATTGTACTGTTCTCTCCACTCGTGTTTGTGTTTGAAATAGCTCATAATAAAAAGAAATGTTTTAAAGGGGAGCCTTAGAGAAGGAGCCTTTTATCCCCTACTGCTCCCGACAGCGTGGCCTCGCGCTGAAATCATTTGTCACCGTAAAGCTCAGCTGCCCAGACCTCGTCAAGCACAAATGCAGCTTTTCAAAGTCACCTTTCATGAAGCCAGAGGCCGCATTTCTAGGCTGTCGGCGGCCACCTCTTCTATTGTGAACTGGGGTCTCTGCTAAGCGAAATGGCAGATTTTAGCTCCCAAAGAACAGCGGGGCCCCGGCCGACTCAGGATCACACATCCCCAGGGTCTGTCCCCATCGTGGGGTCGATGTCGGCATCAAGCAGACCCTGCAGGCCACACGCTATATCAGGGAAGGCTTAAAGCAGAGAGGGAAGGTTATCTACATGGCACGTACGAGTCCACATGTTCACACCCCCTGAAACACACACCAGCAGGAGAGGGAGAGAGAGAGAAGGTGAAGGTGGTGTTGGGGGATTCATTGGCTATGGTCAGTCTCCTCCTTCAGGCTGGATGTTGCTTCTTCCTCTGTGAAAAGAGGGGGCCAGAACAGTGGTCCCTCACCTCCTGGCTGACCCAGGAGAGATGTCTCAATGTAGATTTGGAACCCTGCCTGTTTTTGAAATTCCCTGGTGATTCCAAGGTCACGGCTGTAGATCAGCTGTTGGGGGCCCCAGGGCCTAAGCATATGGAGTCTGGGCCCCGGTGGAGCTCAGATGGGCTGACTCAGACCTCTCCTGGGAGAGAAAGGAGTGGAGAGGGCAGATTGCCCACCTGCAGATCAGAAGCCCAGGCTCAGCCCCGGCCAAGCAGAGCGACCATTTCTCAGGGCCTCACCTGCAAACTGGAAGCCGGTCGCAAGGCTGGGCCAAGGCGCCTACCTCTGATATTCCGCAAATGGTAGAGGGTGAGAAGTAACATACTGAACACCTGTTCACCCTGCCGTGGCTGAGCCTCAGCGCCTTTGGGTGGCTGGCTCAGCCTCTGACACCGACATGCGGCAATGCACAGCAATTTTGAGCAAGTTTGATTTCTTACGGAGAGGCCTGAAGCTTATATCTGCTACCTTTCCAAGGAGAGCCCAGGCTAAGCCAGTGTCTCCTCCGGGAGATGTCATCTGAGCCCCGGGTCTCGCCTGAGTACACAAGAGACAGAGCTTTACAAGGGAGACATGTGAGATCAAGGTGTGACAAATGCTGAGGGGACAAATGATGTCTGTGTTTGGCTGCAGCAAGGGCACGTGCCCTGCCTGGGCTGCCCTTGGCCCCAGAAAAACATTTGGGACCTACTACATAATCAAACAATGCAACCCAAGTGGGCCTGCCAAAATGAACCCAAGTTGTATTCTTTCCCGTAACTAACCAGGCTACAGAATCGAACGTACTGGTCTACGTTCCAGCTGGGTGGTGACTCGGGGACATCCTTGTGCACACACATCTAGATGCACACGGAGTTCAATGGAAAGACGCCAAGCCACTACAGACAAACCAGGGGCCCTGCTCACCCTCACCTGACTAAGCCCACCTTCTAGGGACTGCCTCTGCTCTTCATCAAGAAGGAGGGAGAGACCATCTACAGACTGGCCGAGACCTGAACCAGCACCGCACATATTGTGTCACACCACGAGCAGGTGACATCGCTGGGAGGAAACTCAAAGGAGCCAGAATATTCTCAAAACATTCCTATTTCTAAAATAAAAAATACTCCTTCCTAACAGAAGTTCTTTCAATGTGGCAAGATTATAAGAGATTTTTCTTCTTTTTCTTTTTTCTTTCTTTCTTTTTTTTGGCTTAACTATATTTTCTACTCTTTCTACAACAATCATGGAGAGCTGTTTCCATAGAGACTTTAGCACTACCATTTAGCGCCAGATAAATCTTTGCTGTGGGGGGATGCTGTGTGCATTGCGGGGTGTTTAGCAGTGTCTGGGGCTCTTCCTGCTGGTAGTCAATCGCATGCCCTTGGTGGTGACACCAAAGATGTCTCCAAACATGGCCAGAAGTCCCCAGGGAGGTAAAATCATCCCCAGCTGAAAGTCACTGGCCTGAAGAATGGCTGCTGAGGCCGAGGGTGAGTAGCCAGAGCTGGAGGCAGCCGGGAGGGTGAGGACGAGAGCGAGCAGGCGCTTAATGCTTCCCCAGAGCCAGGCGCCACATTCCACACGTCCCAGGCACCGCTCATCTGACCCTGACGAGCACTCAACGGGGGAGCCCTCTCATCGTCCCCATTCTAATGAGGCCAAAGTCACAAGACTATTAAGAAAGCACATCATGAAAATCAAAAGGAAGAGAGATTCAAGGAGGAGCCATCAGCAGCTAGAGTGTAAGGAGCTCTTTCAAATAAATATAAATGGTACACCGGCAAATTAGTAACTTAGGTGAAATGAACAAATCCTAGAACAAGCTTGTCCAATCTGCGGCCCAACACAAATTTGTAAGCTTTCTTAAAACATTATGAGATTTCTTTGCCATTTTTTTTTAGCTCATTAGCTATCGTCAATGTTAGTGTGTTTTATGTGTGCCCCAAGACGATTCTTCTTCTTCCTGTGTGGATCAGGAAAGCCAAAAGATTGGACACCCCTGTCCTAGAAAGACACAAACTATAGGAACTGACTCTAGAAGAAACAGAAAACCTGAATACATTTATGACAGGTAAAAAGATTGGATTGATAATAAGAAAACTATCCACAAAGGAAAGCCCAGGCCAAGAAGGCTGCGTTGGTGAATTCCACCAAACATTTAAAGAATTACTACCAACTCTTCACAAACTCTGCCAAAACGTAAAAGAAGAAAGAACACTTACCAACTCAGTCTGAGGCCAGTATTACCCTGATACCAAAACTAGACAAAAACATCATAAGAAATGAGAACTACAGACCGATATTTCTTGTAAATACAGATGTGAAAATTCTCCACAAAATACTAGCAAAACAAATCCAGCAACAGATAGAAAGGGCCAGGTGTGGTGGCTCATGCCTGTAATTCCAGCACTTTGGGAGGCTGAGGCAGGAGAATCTCTTGAACCCAGGAGTTCAAGACCAGCCTGGGTAATATAGTGAGACCCTGTCTCTACAAAAAAATTAAAAAATTAACCAGGCATTGTGGCGCACGCCTGTAGCCCCAGCTACTTGGGAGGCTGAGGTGTGAGAATTGCTTGAGCCAGTAGGTCGAGGTTGCAGTGAGCTGTGATCATGCCAAGGCACTCCAGCCTGGGCAACAGAGCAAGACCCTGTCTAAAAAAAAAAAGAAAGAAAGAAACATATAAAAAGGATTATACATCATGACCACGTGATGAAAGGTTGTTTTAACATCTGAACATTAATTAATGCAAGTCACCCTTTCAGTAAAATAAAGGACAAAAACCCACGATCATCTCAATAGACACAGAAAAACTCATTGACCAAATTACCACCCCTTCATGAAAAAGGCATTGAACAAACTAAAAATAAAAGGGAGTTTCTTCAACCTAATAAAGGAGATCTATGAAAAATCCACAGCTAACATCACTTTGGGTTTTTTTTGTTTTGTTTTTGAGACGGAGTTTTGCTCTTGTTGCCCAGGCTGGAGTGCAATGGCATGATCTTGGCTCACCGCAACCTCCGCCTCCCAGGGTCAAGCGATTCTCCTGCCTCAGCCTCCCAAGTAGCTGGGATTACAGGCATGTGCCACCACACCTGGCTAATTTTGTATTTTTAGTAGAGACGGGGTTTCTCCGTGTTGGTCAGGCTGGTCTCGAACTCCTGACCTCAGGTGATCCGCCCGCCTCGGCCTCCCAAAGTGCTAGGATTACAGGCATGAGCCACCGCACCCAGCTTGTTTTTGTTTTTTCGAGACAGGGTCTCACTCTGTCACCCAGGCTGGAGTGCAGTGACGTGACCACAGCTCACTGCAGCCTCCACCTGCCACACTCAGGTTATTCTCCCATCTCAGCCTCCCGAGTAGCTGGGACTGCAGATGAGCACCACCATGCCAGCTTATCTTTTGCATTTTTTGTAGGGATGAGGTTTCGCCATGTTGCTAAGCTAACATTTAATGGTGAAAGACGGAAAGCTTTCTCCCTAAGATCAGGAACAAGGCAAGAATGCCTGCCTCGACCACTCCAATTCAGTGTTGTACTGGAGTTCTAACCAGGGCAATTAGACAAGAAAATGAAATTAAAATCCTTGGTGGTATAGTGGTTTGAGAAAAAATGAAATAAAAGGCATATATATACAGAAAAAAAGAAATAAAACTATCTCTATTTGCAGATGACATGATCTTGTATATTTAAGACTAAGAAATCCATTAGGCCGGGTGCGGTGGCTCACCCTTGTAATCCCAGCACTTTGAGAAGCCAAGGCGGGTGGATCACCTGAAGTCAGGAGTTCGAGACCAGGCTGGCCAACATGGTGAAATGTGTCTCTACTGAAAATATATAAATTAGCCAGGCATGGTGGCAGGCATCTATAATCCCAGCTACTCGGGAGGCTGAGGCAGGAGAATCACTTGAACCTGGGGGCTGAGGTTGCAGTGAGCCAAGATCACACCATTTCACTCCAGCCTAGGTGAAAGAGTGAAAATCTGTCTCAAAAAAAAAAAGGAATCCACTAAAAAACGTTACTAGAATTAATAAACAAGTTCAGCACAGTTGCAGGATACATGATCAATATATAAGAACCAAGCCAGGCACAGTGGGCCGCGTCTGTAATCCCAGCTGAGGGAGGCTGAGGCAGGATTGCTTGAGGCCAGGAGTTCCAGATCAGCCTGGGTAACAACATAGTGAGACCCCCATTTCTAAAAATAAAAAATATGTATATAAGCCAATTGTATTTCTATATACTTGCAGTGGACATTACAAAATGAAATTTAAAGGCCAGGCATGGTGGCTCATGCCTGTAATCCTAACGCTTTTGAAGGCCTAAGCAGGTGGATTGCCTGAGCTCAGGAGTTCAAGACCAGCCTGGGCAACATGGTGAAACCCCACCTCTACTAAAATACAAAAAAAAAAAAAAAATTAGCTGGATGTGGTTGCGGGCGCCTGTAGTCCCAGCTACTCAGGAGGCTAAGACAGGAGAATTGGTTAAACCCGGGAGGTGGAGGTTGCAGTGAGCTGACATCACACCATTGCACTCCAGCCTGGGTGACAGAGTCAGACTCAAAAAAAAAAAAAAAAAAAAAGAAATTTAAAAAGAAACTTCATTTACAATAGTATCAAAAAGAATTTAAAATTTCAGAATAAATTTAGCAAAAGAAGTACAAAACTTATACATTTCCATACATGTATATCTCCTAGAAATCAAGGTGTGAATAGACAGTAACAGGTTGCAATTATTGAGCACCTACTGTGTGCGAAGCCTGTGCTTGGCACCAGATACATATTTTCTAGTGTAATTCTGTAGCACCCCTGGGGTTAGTGTTTTTATAGATCCACTGACTTTCTCAAAAAGCCCTGGGGCCAGATGTGTTTCAGAAATCTGATTTCTTCACATTTTAGAAAGAGAATGTGATGCATACACACTGTGCATTATATAACAGCCCCCAGTGGGCCTGGGGCACTACGCTGCGATCAAACATATTAGTATTTTCACAGTGAGATGCATGAATATTCACACTGAGTGGAATAAATAAAGGCTGAAGTAGCCTCTCAGCAGCTCAGCTCATGTTTTGCAGAGCTGAGTCTAACCAGGTCTGTCTGCTGAGGGGGATCTGCCCTCACCTCCTTCATGGACCCTTCTCTACACATACTCTTGAAACTTCCGCCACCTCAATTTCCCACTTCCATCTTTCCATATAAAACCTGTCTTTGGCCGGGCGCAGTGGCTCACGCCTGTAATCCCAGCACTTTGGGAGGCCGAGGTGGGCGGATCATGAGGTCAGGAGTTTGAGACCAGCCTGGCCAACATAGTGAAACCCTGTCTCTACTAAAAATACAAAAAATTAGCCAGGCATGGTGGCACACACCTGTAGTCCCAGCTACCCGGGAGGCTGAGGCAGGAGAATTGCTTGAACCCAGGAGGCGGAGGTTGCAGTGAGCCGAGATCGCACCACTCCAGCCTGGGCGACAGAGCAAGACTCTGTCTCAAAAAACAAACAAAGAAACAAACAAAACTGTCTTTGCCATATTCTGTGGCCCTAACCCACATACCCAGTTCCATGGGACTGAAGACGTTTGTGCATGGACTCCATCCCTAATCTCTGACCAACCCCTGCCTCCGAAAGCTCCCTGTGTCCACAAATCCTGCTTAGGCTGAATCACAGGCCAAGTGGGCACCAGTGTACTATTTTGAAAAAGGAACGCTGGGCGGGTGGCTCACGCCTGCAATCCCAGCACTTTGGGAGGCCGAGGTGGGTGGATCACCTGAGGTCGGGAGTTCGAGACCAGCCTGACCAACATGGAGAAACCCTGTCTCTACTAAAAATACAAAATTAGCCAGGCTTGGTGGCTCATGCCTGTAATCCCAGCTACTCGGGAGGCTTAGGCAGGAGAATCGCATGAACCCGGGAGGTAGAAGTTGCAGTGAGCCGAGATCGCACCATTGCACTCCAGCCTGGGCAACAAGAGTGAAAACTTCATCTCAAAAAGAAAGAAAAAGGAAATACCCGCTTATCAGCTACCTCAGGAAAAAGGCTCAGATCTCCTAACCTGCTCAAGGTTTCACCTCTTCAGGGAAAACAAAAGGCCAGACGTGGCAGGGCAGATCCTGTTTTGACTCCGAGACCTGCCATCGATATCCTGCTCCTGAACCTGTGTGTATCCTGTTGCCTGTTATTTCCAAAAACTTCTTCCTTGGATGCCTTTGGAGAATCCCCTCTGAATCCCAGCGTGAGCCTCGTCTACCTATGCTGGGTGCCTCTGCAGAGGCTGCTTAATGCCTTCATTCAACAAACATTTATTGGACAACTGTGACATGCTAGGAATTCTTCCAGGCATTAGGACTGCAGCTACGAATAAAACAGACAGGACCTCTGCCCATGTGAGCTTGAATTCTAATGTAGTGAGAGATAGTAAACAAATAGATATATAACATGATGTCAGGTGGTGAAAAGTACTATGAAGAAAAATAAAGCAGAGTCAGTGTATAGAGAATGGGGACCCTTTTTTTTTTTTTTTGAGACAGAGTCTCGCTCTGTCGCCCAGGCTGGAGTGCAATGGCACAATCTCGGCTCACTGCAACCTCCGCCTCCCGGGCGCAAGTGATTCTCCTGCCTCAGCCTCCCGAGTAGCTGGGATTATAGGCATGCGCCACCACACCCGGCTAATTGTTTGTATTTTAGTAGAGATGGGGTTTCACCATGTTGCCCAAGGTGGTCTCCAACTCCTGAGCTCAGGCAATCTGCCCGCCTCGGACTCCCAAAGTGTTGGATTACAGGCATGGGCCACGGCGCCCAGCCTGGGACCCTATATTAGATTGTCACAGATGGCTTCTCTGAAGAGGTGACATTTAAGTGGTACCTGAATTAAGGAGAGCAGTAAGCCATGAAGATATCTGGAAGATATTACAGACAAAAAGAAAAGAACACTCCAATGCCCTAAGTAGGAAATGGGCTTGAGGAAGGGGGAGAAATCCGTGCACAAAAGAGTCAAGCAATTCTGGTATCTAGCCAGAACTTCACCTGTTTCTTGTTGTTTGTTTCTTTGAAACAAGGTTTCCACTCCTGTCACCCAGAGAGGAGTGCAGTGGCATGATCACGGCTCATTGCAGCCTTGACCTTCCAGGTTCAAGCAACCCTTCTGCCTCATTTTTTAATTTGGGGAGTTGAGGTCTCACTATGTTGCCCAAGCTGGTCTCAAACTCCTGGGCTCAGGTGATCCTCCTGCCTCGGCCTCCAAATGTGCTGGGATTACAAGCGTGAATCACTGCGCTCGGCCAGGAACTTCAACTGTTAATTGAAGCCAAGTGGCCTTAGAGGGTGTTGCAGATGAAGACTTCAAGGAAAATGGAGAAAGTATTATTGGAAACTGGAGGAGAGAAAATTATTGTTATAGTGTCTGAAAGTTTAGCAGCACTGTTATCTGTAGTAATGTGGAAAGTAGAAAATGTACTTAATGGGCTAGGTGATCTTGTTAGGGAGATTTCCAGGCAGAGTATTGGAAGTGCCACTTCACTTCTTCTTGCCTGTTTTAGTAAAATGAGATAGGAGAGAAATAAGCTAAAGGAAGAACTGTTCAACATGAAGGTGCCAGGACTTTCTGGTTCTGAAAATTCCCATTTTCTACAGATGGCAAACAATGCTAAATTTAAGAAATAGTTTCTGGGAAAAGATCAAATCCAGGACAATATCAGGAAAACATAGTCTAATGATGAAGCTAGAGGAGTGATTATAAGCTCTTGTATTATATCTTCAGAAAATGTAAAGGGTGCTTCAGAGAATCATTCATAATAAGGTTCCTAAGAAGTTTAAAGATATTCCTCAGCAGTGTCAGCAGAATGCCAAGGTAGAGACAGGCTTATCTCAAAGAGACTTGTTAAATAGAGCAAACCTCAAAAAGATTCATAGGGGACCCAAAAGGGCTTTACAAGAATTGTATTGGCAGAAGCACTGCTAGTTTGGACTGAAAGAAACAGACACAATACAAAATAAAAAGAAGACTTTGGACTTCTTTTCTATAGGTAAGAAGAAAGCTAAGAAAACCAATCATCTGCTAAGATAAGCCACCTTTCATGAAAAAGAAAAGGTGACTCAGCCCCCAGACAAAGCCAACAGTCCCTAGGGCAGAGCCAAGAGCCAAGGAGAATTATTTCCAGCCCTGAAGTCCTAGTGTAGTAACTTCCAATGTGTGGTCTGCTAGATTTAAGAATTGCTATGTGCTAGTGACTCCTGTGTGCCTCCTTTTATTTTTTTTCTAAACAGGGCCTCACTATGTTGCCCAGGCTGGCCTTGAACTCCTGGACTTAAGTGGTCCTCCTGCCTCTGCCTCTCGAGTAGCTGGGTCTACAGGCACACACCACCACAAACAGCTCTATGTGCCTCTCTTCTCGAATTGGGAATGTCTATAATGGTTATCTTATGCTTCTCACACTGTTGTATGTTGCAGGGTACAGAGATACAGAGATACAGATAACTGCCTCTTTAGTTCACATGTCTTCAGATCAAGCAAAACTATTCTCAAGAGCTGTACTTGAGGAGCCTTACCCTAGAAGCCTCATCTGAACCTGATTTAGATGATGAGATTCTGGACTTTGAGCTTTAATAAGATGAGAATTTTGGAGGCTGTGGGAGGAGGTAAGAGTATTTACATGTGGAAAGGATATAATTTATTGGGGGCCAGAGGGTGAGCTATGATAGACTGCCTCCTACATGGCCCCATATGATATCCCCTCCTGCTATTTACACCTTTATTTAGTCCCTTCCCACATCGAATAGGGAAGACCTGTGTAGCCAGTAGGATATTGTAGAAATGATAGTGTGTGCCTTCTGAAGCTTTAAAGACATTGTGGCTTCTGTCTTGTTCTTTCCAGGATTACTTGCTCTGGAGGAATTCAGCCACCATATTGTGAGGACACTCAAGCAGCCCTGTGGATAAGCCACATGGTGAGGAAGTGAGGCCTCCTGCTAACAGCCAGTCCCAATTCCCCGTCTATGTCAGTGACTCATCCTGGAATCAGAGCCTTTTGGCAGTGGAGCCTATAAATGGCTGCAGCTCTGATCAATAACTTGGCTACAATCTCATGAGAAACCTCAAATCTGAGCCATCCTGCTAAGTAAACCATTCCAGAATTACTGCCCCACAGACACTATGTGAGATAATAAATGTTTATTGTTGCTTTAAGCCACTAAGTTTTTTAATAAACTTTTTTAATAGAGATGAGGTCTTGCTCCATTGCCCAGGCTCATCTCAAACTCCTGAGCTCAAGCCATCCTCCCACCTCAGTCTCCCAAAGTGCTGGGATTACAGGTGAGAGCCACCACACCCAGACTGTTTTTTAATAATTTGTTATGCAGCAATAGATAGGTAATACAAATGGTCATCCATTCTTTATTTAAATCCTTCCAGGATCAGAGAATTCATCTATTCATTCATTCAACAAACAGTTTAATAACTGTTGGTATCTACTCTGTGCTGGCCAAATAGTTACCACCCCTCCCTGTGGGAGCATGGTATCTCCCTAAGCCCATCAAGTCTGAAGACATATTTGATCATGTGATTCTCTGTGGCCAATAAAATGTGAACAGAGGGATATAAGCCACTTCTGAGCAGAGGCTTTAAAGTCATTTCTCAGTTCTGCCATCACTCTTTTTCCTGTGCCTCAAAACCAGCAGTTTCATAGCTGATCTTTCAGCCTGAATCCTAGAATGAAAAAAACATAGAACAGGCTCACACCTACTGCAGGCAATGTGCAACATTAATAAGAACAACCCTTTTTATTATAATTATTATAAGCCACTGAGTTTGGTACCTGTTTGTTACTTGGCATAACCCAGCAAAAGCTGACTGATACAGTCACACTGCATCCAGACCTGGTGGGATGACTTTTTTATCTGAGTCTTCTTTATCCTGGCTTTCCTCCTCAGAATGCTTCCTGGTTCCTAATTGTTTCTCAAAAATGTGCCTCCCAGGAGTCAACATGATGGAGTCTGATCAGCCCAGGGCATGTTGGCCTTCCTTTCCAAGACCTGGCTGTCAAACACTCACAACATGGCTCCTTGAGACTTGGGAAACTTTGTTGCCTGGCAGCCTCACAGCCTGGAACACAGAGCTTCCCACATACAGCTAGAGAAGAATGCCTCCAGGGACCAAAATGACGTCATGAGTCCACATTCTAAAGCTTGAGAACTTGTCCCTGAGGACAGATTTCTAACCTCCTTAGAACCTAATTAGGCTTCCCAACCTGCAATCTAACGAGCTTGGTGATGTGGCTGCCAAGTTTACAGCAGATTCAAAGGTATGAATTAAAGATAAATCAAAATGCCAGGCAACCCAGCAGAATCGACGAAACAAACAAGAGTTGGCTGAGCGCCAAATGGTGTCAGGCACGACCCATCTCACAACCATCTGTAAAATAGGTATTAATGTGCCCATTTTACAGGAAAGGAAACTGAGGCTCAGATAGGTCACTAATTTGACAAAGGTCACAAGCTTGTCAATAAGGATTCAAATGGGCATATGGTAGAGACGATATGAATGGCAGCTCCTGGTGCTGATTTTGGCATTGGTGCTGGTTGAAGGGAAGGCAGAGCCAGCGGGGAGGAAGAAAACCATGAGATGGGAGGGTAGGGGGAGATTTTCAGTGGAACAAGGACCCAAGTGGAGAAGGGATGAGCCCCGGGGTATGGAAGAGTGGGGTACAGGGGAGGAGGGAGCACCTGGGAGCCCAGGGAACCCTGGAAAACCATCCCCACCTCAGAGAGGGCCTTCCTTAGGGCAGGCCATCCCTCGCTGTGCTCCCCAGAAGGCCAAGCCCTAGCCTGGGTGACATGACCTGGCCACTGCACTGCACTGCCTTCCCGGGCTCACACAGCGCCAGGCTCTCACAGGACCATTTGTTGAGCTCTAGGAGTCTGGACCGATTGGCACATATGTATGGACCAGGACAACATCCAGTGCCAGGTTTATTGCTGCCAAGCCAGAATGGAGACTGCTTATGCCCATGGAAATGAACTTGCCAGTGCCGGCCCAGGCACAAGAGCTGGACAACTGCCCCTGGTGGGGGCTGCCCCTTGGAAGAGAGCAGAGGTGCAGCTGGCAGACAGGAGGGCCGAAGAGAGACGGACGGAAGCAGCTAGTGATCCCCTGCTCGGGACCCTGCTTCTGTCCAAGATCGCCTGGGTCCCGTTTCCTCCCGAGGAGGGCACAGAGAGAGCCCCAGGCATTCCTTCACCTGTTCTCTCCAGGGAGGCCCAGAGGCTGCACATTCCCCTCAGGACAGACAAGTGTCCGGCCCAGCACTGCGTGTGGGCACAGACAGGAGGAGGAGTTGGGGCACCAGCATTCTCCATCCAGACACCTGACTAAGACCAGGACCACCTGGCATTTTGGAAACCTTGATGAACACCTTCCCAGGGTTTATCTAAATTATTCTTTTTAACTTTTATTGTGGTGAAATATGTATATCGTAAAATTTATCATTTTAGCCATTCTTAAGTATACAGTCCAGTGACATTAAGTGCATTGTTGTGTGACCATCCCCACCATTCAGCTCCAGAACTTTTTCATCTTCCCAACCAGAACTCCACACTAACCCCCCATTTGCCCCTCCCCCAGCCCCTGGCACCCACCATTCCACTCTCTGACTCTATGCATCTCACTCCAGGTGCCTCCTATAAGTGGAATCCTACAGTATCTGTCCTTTCATAACTGGCTCGTTGCACTTAGCACGAGATCCTGAATGTCTATCCACGCGTAGCATGTGTCAGAATTTCCTTCCTTTTTAAGGCAGAGCAATATTCCACTGTATGGATAGGCCACATTTTGCTTAGCCATTCATCTGTTGATATGGTTTGGCTGTGTCCCCACCCAAATCTCATCGTGAATTGTAGCTCCCATAATTCCCACTTGCGGGAGGGACTCAGTGAGGAAATAGTTGAATCATGGGGGCGGTTTCCTCTGTGCTGTTCTCGTGGTATTGAATAAGTCTCATGAGATCTGATGGTTTTATAAGGGGAAACCCCTTTTGCTTTGTTCTCATTTCTCTCTCTTCCTTGCCGCCACATAAGACATGACTTTGCTCCTCCTTGCCTTCCACCATGATTGTGAGGCCTCCCCAGCCATGTGGAACTGTGAGTCAATTAAACTTCTTTCCTTTATAAGTTAACCAGTCTTAATTAGCTGGGCGTGGTGGCGGGCACCTGTAATCCCAGCTACTCAGGAGGCTGAGGCAGGAGAATTGCTTGAACCCGGGAGGCAGAGGTTGCAGTGAGCCGAGATTGAGCTGTTGTACTCCAGCCTGGGCAACAAGAGCAAAATTCCATCTCAAAAAAAAAAAAAAAAAAAAAAAAAGTTAACCAATCTAAGGCATGTGTTTATCAGCAGCATGAAAACTGACTAATACATCTGTCAATGGACAACTGCACTGTTTCCACCTCTTGCCTATTGTGAAGAATGCTGCTAGGAACATGGGTGTACAAATCTCTTCAACGTCTTGCTTTCCATTGTTTTAGGTATATACTCAGAAATGGAATTACTGGATTATATGGTAGTTCTATGTTTAATTATTTGAGGAACCACTATACCATTTTCCAAAGCAAATTCATCATTTTACACTTTCCCCTGAAGGGCACACAGTTACCAAAGTCTCCACATCCACGCCAACATGTGCTGTTTTTTTTTTTTATTATAGGCATCTGACTGGGTGTGAAGTGGTATCTGGCTGTGGTTTTCATTTGTGTCCTAATGATTAGCGATGCTGGGCATCTTTTCATGTGCTTTCATGTTTTTCTTTGGAGAAATGTCTATTCAAGTCCTTTGCCCATTCTTTAATTCATTTGTTTTTCATTGTTGAGTTGTAGGAGTTCCTTATACATTTTGGATATTAACTCCCTATCAGGCTGGGCGCATTGGCTCACACCTGTAATCCTAGCACTTTGGGAGGCTGAGGCGGGTGGATCACCTGAGGTCAGGAGTTCAAGACCAGCCTGGCCAACATGGCAAAATCCCGTCTCTACTAAAAATACAAAAGTTACTCGGGTGTGGTGGTGCTACTCAGGAGGCTGAGGCAAGAGAATCACTTTAACCTGGGAGCTGGAGGTTGCAGTGAGCCAAGATCACACCACTGCACTCCAGCCTGGGTAACAGAGCAGGACCCTGTCTCAAAAAAAAAAAAGTGTCTGTTGATGCACAAAATATTTAATATTAACAAAGTTCCATTTATCTATTTTTTTTCTTTTGTTGCCTGTGCTTTTGGTATCAAAACCAAGACGTCATTGCAAAATCCAATGTCATGCAGCTTTTCCCCTATGTTTTCTTCTAAGAGTTTTATAGTTTTAGCTCTATGTTTAGGTCTTTGGTCCATTTTAAGTTAATTTTTGTCTATGGTATAAGGTAAGGGTTCAACTTCATTATTTTGCATGTAGATATCCAATTTCTCAGAACCAATTGTTGAGTAAATCATTCTTTTTTTTTCTTTTTGTGAGATGGAGTCTTGCTCTGTCACGCAGGCTGGAGTGCAGTGGCACTCACTGCAATCTCCACCTCCCGGGTTCAAGCAATCATCCTACCTCGGCCTCCCGAGTAGCTAGGATTACGGATGTGCACTACCATGCCCAGCTAATTTTTTTGTATTTTTAGTAGAGATAGGGTTTCACCATGTTGGCCAGGCTGGTCTAGAACTCCTGGCCTTAAGTGATCCACCCACCTTGGCCTCCCAAAGTGCTGGGATTATAGGCGTGAGCCACCGCGCCCAGCCTCATTCTTTATAATTTACTTAAACACAGATAAACACAAAAGCTATGATTGTTGTTCTTACAGAACTGTAAGCCAATACAAATTAAACACAAAACAAACGACCAGTAAAATTCAAACAGCACTAAATTAACATAAGTGATGATGTCATTTTGCTGAAACTAAGTCCCCCATTACTCAGCAGTGGCACAGTGGGTTTGGTGGGTTGTTCCACCGGGGTTCTCCATTGGAACCATGGCCAGAATGCATCTGTCCGTGGTAGCCTGCCTCTGTTCTGCTGAGACAAACACAAACACCTGTGACCACGAACCCACGTGGCAGTGTGCACTCACACATGTGTGACCAGGAACCCACATGGCAGTGTGCACTCACACCTGTGATCATGAACCCACATGGCAGTGTGCACTCACACCTGTGGCCACAAACCCACATGGCAGTGTGCACTCACACCTGTGGCCACGAACCCTCATGGCAGTGTGCACTCACACCTGTGTGACCACAAACCCACATGGCAGTGTGCACTCACACCTGTGTGACCACAAACCCACATGGCAGTGTGCACTCACACCTGTGATCATGAAACCACATGGCAGTGTGCACTCACACCTGTGATCATGAAACCACATGGCAGTGTGCACTCACAACTGTGACCATGAACCCACATGGCAGTGTGCACTCACACCTCTGACCACCAACCCACATGGCAGTGTGCACTGACACGTGTGATCACGAACCCACGGGGCAATGTGCACTCATATGTAGTCATCCGGGTGGACCAGCATCAAGCATTTAAGTTATCAGTGACATGAAACTCCCAAAACTATTCTTGTAAGGGAATTGAAGGTGTTGAAAATATGCCTGAGGCCCTCGGGGAGCCCAGGTTAGAAACCCTGAGTTAGGCAGATGTAGCACACAGGCCTTCTAGAATGAATTAGGCGCACAGTGGCTTTTCCACGGCGTTAAAGGGTTCCGTTTACAAATGTAAACAATTGTCCTTACGGTTACATAGCTGTGCCCTGCAGATTATGTGTGCGTAAGACACAGCTGTCTTTTCAACATCTCGATTCCTGAGCTAACTTCAAATGGGCCACTGTAACGCTTCCCGGCAAGCATGCTGCACCCCTGGGCCCACGCTCCCCTCCCACCTCCTCCCCTCTCCTCAGACCCCTATCTTCCTCCCCCACTCCCCTCAGAGCTGGTGCATCCTTTTAAGCTAAGAACTTCCTCCACCCCCACAGCACATCTGCCCCTCCCCCAGGCTCCAGGGCATCGGTCAGGCATCCCGTCAGCTCTGCGTCCTCCCTGCTTACATCTTAAACTCTCTTCATCTCACTCCTTTTTCAAATGCCATCTTATTTCCCTCCTTCCCTTGACAGCAAAGGCCCCGAAGCCTCTGAAGAGCAGTCTCTCCCCTTTCCACTCACACACTTCCTGTCCTCTCGCAAAGCCCACTCAAGGCAGGCTTGCAGCCCAAACTGCCCTTGTCAAGGTCACCTTGCTCTGCCAAGTCAGCTGTCAGCTCTGTGGTACTCAATCACCAGAGCATAGGACCCAGGTGCTCACCCTCCCTTCTTTGAAACACTCCCTCCAGGGCCTCCAGGGGCCTCGTGCACCTGGTCTTCTCCCCACTCTTGCCCCATCTTCCTCCTCATGGGCCGGCCTGTACTGTGGGTGTGCCCGACTCACGCTTGCACCTCGTGGATCACATCCAAGTTCATACCTCTAGCCCAGGCCTCCCCCGAACCCCCTGAGTCACAGCCAACTACAGTTGTGTTACAGGAAGGGGGTCCTGATGCAAACCCCAAGAGAGGGTTCTTGGATCTCATGCAAGAAAGAATTCAGGGTGAGTCCGTAAAGTGAAAGCAAGTTTATTAAGAAAGTAGAGGAATAGGCCAGGCGTGGTGGCTCACGCCTGTCATCCCAGCACTCTGGGAGGCCGAGGCAGGCGAATCACGACGTCAGGAGTTCAAGACCAGCCTGGCCAACATGGTGAAACCCCGTCTCTACTAAAAATACAAAAAATTGGCCAGGCGCAGTGGTTCACGCCTGTAATCCCAGCACTTTGGGAGGCCGAGGTGGGTGGATCACCTGAGGTCAGGGGTTCGAGACCAGCCTGGCCAACATGGTGAAACCCCATCTCTACTAAAAATACAAAAATTAGGTCGGGGGCAGTGGCTCATGCCTGTAATCCCAGCACTTTGGGAGACCGAGGCGGGCAGTTCACCTGAGGTCAGGAGTGTGAAACCAGCCTGGCCAACATGTTGAAATCCGTTTCTACTAAAAATACAAAAAATTAGCTGGGCATGGTGGCATGCACCTGTAGTCCCAGCTACTCGGGACGCTGAGGCAGGAGAATCGCTTGAACCTGGGAGGTGGAAGTTGCCATGAACCGAGATCGCGCCACTGCACTCCAGCTTGGCCAACAGAGTGAGACTCCGTCTCAAAAAAACAAGAAAAAAAAGAAAAATTAGCCAGGTATGGTGGCGGGCACCTGTAATCCCAGCTACTTGGGGGGCTGAGGCAGGAGAATCACTTAAACCTGGGAGGTGGATGTTGCAGTGAGCCAAGATCACGCCACTGCACTCCAGCCTGGGCGACACAGCGAGACTCCGTCTCAAAAAAAAAAAAAAATGTCGTGGAATAAAATAATGGCTACTCTATAGACAGAGCAGCCCCAAGGGCTGCTGGTTGCCTATTTTTATGGTTATTTCTTGATGATCTACTAAACAAGGGATGGATTATTCATGCCTCCCCTTTTTAGACCATATAGGGTAACTTCCTGACATTGCCATGGCATCTGTAAACTGTCGTGGCGCTGATAGGATTGGAGCAGTGAGGACAACCAGAGGTCACTGTTGTGGTCATCTTGGTTTTGGTGGGTTTTAGCCAGCTTCTTTAGTGCAACCTGTTTTATCAGCAAGGTCTTCAGGACCTGTATCTTGTGCTGACCCCTATCTCATCCTGTGACTTAGAGTGCCTTAACTGTCTGGGAATGCAGCTCAGGAGGTTTCAGCCTCATTTTACACAGCTCCTATTCAACATGGAGTCGCTCTGGTTCACAGGCCTCCAACAGTTGGACCTCTCCATTTGGGGACATCAAACTCAGCCTGTCAAACCGACCTCCTCTCCCTCCACGTTCCCCATCTTGCTTCTTTGCAGCTCCATCCTTCCTCTGGTTGCTCAGGTTAAGCCCCTTGGCTCCACAAATGGCCAAGAAGCACATGAAAAGATGCTCACCATCATTAGTCATTAGGGACTGCAAATCTAACCTGCAATGAGATACCACCGCCCACCCTCCAGGATGGCTATAATTTAAAAAAACACACACAGACAATAGCAAGTGTTGGCGGGGATATGGAAAAAGAGGAACCCTTGTACCTTGCTGATGGGAATGTCAAATGGTACTGCTGCTGTGGAGAACAGCTTGGCCGTTCCTCGCAAAGTTAAGCATGGAATTACTATACCATCCTACAGTTTTACTCCTGTGTATACATACCCCAAAGAATTGAAAACAGGTGTTCAGGCCAGGCACAGTGGCTCAAGCCTGTAACCCCAGCACTTTGGGAGGCTGAGGTAGGGCAATCACTTGAGCCTAGGGGTTCGAGACCAGCCTGGGCAACATGGCAAAACTCTGTCTGTACAAAAAATTAAAAAACTAGCCAGGTGTGTTGGCACATGTCCATGGTTTCAGCTCTCAAGAGGCTGAGGTAAAAGAATCACCTGGGGGCTGGGCTCGATGGCTCACGCCTGTAATCCCAGCACTTTGGGAGGCTGAAGTGGCCGGTCACCTGAGGTCAGGAGTTCAAGACCAGCCTGACCAACCTAGAGAAACCCCCGTCTCTACTAAAAATACAAAATTAGCCGGGAGTGGTGGCACATGCCTGTAATCCCAGCTACTCGGGAGGCTGAAGCAGAAGAATCGCTTGAACCTGGGAGGCGGAGGTTGTGATGAGCCAAGATCGTGCCATTGCACTCCAGCCTGGGCAACAGGAGCGAAACTCAAAAAAAAAAAAAAAAAAGAATCACTTGGGTCGGGAGGTGGAGGCTGCAGTGAGCTGAGATCATGCTACTGCACCCCAGCCTGTGCAACAGAAAGAGACCCTGTCTCAAAATAAATAAATAAGTAAATAAAAGGGAAAAAAACAGGTGTTCAAAGAGAAACTTGTACATGAATGTTCACAGCAGCACTATTCACAGTAGCTAAAACATGGAAACAACACCCATCTCCATGGATAGATGAATGACTAAACAAATGTGGTCTAGCCATACAGTGGAATATTATTCAGCCTTAAAAAGGAAGGAAATTGACACATGCTACCACATAGCTGAAATTTGAAGACATTATGCTAAGTGATTTACCAGAATAGGTAAATCCATAGAGACAGAAAGCAGATTCATGCTTGTCAGGGGCTCCGGGAGGGGGAAGAAGGAGTGACTGTTTAATGCATACAAAGTTTTCCTTTCAGGCTGATGGAAATGTTTGGGGATGAGACAGAGGCGATGATGGAACAACACTGTGAAGGTACTAAATACCTCTGAATACACTCTAAAATGGTTAAATTAACATTATGTGAATTTTACCCGAATAAATAAACCAACTAATCAGCCTTGGCTCTTCCTTGGCTTCTCTCCCACTCCCATACATCCCACCTGTCAGTCAATCCCATCAGCTTTGCACTCAAAATATATACAAATATACCCAGAATCTAGGTTGGGTGCGGTGGCTCACACCTGTAATCCCAACATTTTAGGAGGCTGAGGCGGGCGGATCACCTGAGGTCAGGAGTTGGAGACCAGCCTGGCCAAGGTGGTGAAACCCTGTCTCTACTAAAAATACAAAAATTAGCAGAGCATGGTGGCAAGCGCCTATAATCCCAGATACTTGGGAGCCTGAGGCAAGAGAACTGCTTGAACTCGGGAGGCGAAGGTTGCAGTGAGCCGAGATCTTGCACTCCAGCCTGGGTGACAGAGCAAGACTCCGTCTCAAAAATAAATAAATAAAAATTTAAAAATTAAAAAAAAAAGACACACACACACACACACACACAATTTGTCACTTACCACCACCTCGCTGCCTCCATGCCAGTCTTAGCCACTGTCACCTCCCAACAGAGGACAGCAGGAGCCTGCTGACCAGCCTCCCAGTCCAGTTCCGACCCTCAGAGGCCTGCGTTCCTCGAGGCAGCCAGGGGGATCCTGTTAAATCGAAAGTCAGGTCCCATCTCCCGCCCTGCCCCTGCTTTAAACCTCCCCAAGCAGCATCGCATCGTGGTCAAAGCCAAAGTCCTTCCTACAACCCACCAGGCCACTGTGTTCCCCCACCTTGTCCCCACTGTGATCCTGGGTTCTCTCTCTCTCTCTGGCCACCCACTGGCCTCCTGCTGCCCCCACATACCTGCTACCCCCAGCTCTTTGTTGGATCTCCTGTCCTGACATCTGTGGGCTTACTGCTCACTTCCTCATGCCTTTAGGCCTCCTTGGCTGGTCCTTCCTGAAGTTTCAGCTCCATCCCAACACTCCCACCCCTTCCTTGATGTAGTCTTGCCTAGCATATGGCATATTTTATTCCTTAGGCTTGTATCTATGGACTGACTCCTACCCCAAAATATAAGCTCCATGAGGGTGGGACTTTTCCCTTTTTTGTTCCTTGCTATGTCCTCATTGTGTGGGACAGTGCCCAGCATAGAGAACATGCCTAAGAAATATCTGACAAATGAATGGATTCCAATTCACCTAAGCCCATGTATTTGTATTTGCTTTGCAGAGGTGGGTGTGCATGTGTGCGTGTGTGTACACATGCATGTGTCAGACAGGCATCCATCCTATCCAGGAGATAGGAAACCAAGAATGCAAAGACAACTCAGCAGATCTGCTGGCATGGAGGCGAGGCTGCATGGAAGGATCTGGATTGGATAGGAGTGTCCCATTCAGGACATGTGTCACTCAAAACCACACAACTCAGACTTGGGGAATATTCTATGCCAGTCACATCTGTTTACAACACGTGTGGCATCTCCTGTGGACGGAGTTGACAGTCTCATCCTGAGATAGGCAGAGCCTGGCGTGGAAGTGAGAGCCTTCATCTGGGATGAGACAGCAGGAGGCAGGGAGGGGACACACTGGGGGACATCACGTGGGGCCAGGCAGTGTCCACCCAGCTCTGGCACAGCCTGAGAGTCATCACTTCCTCAGTTTTCACACCCTGGGCACCTCCACCTCGCCTGCCTCCCCCGACCCCGGCCCCATGGCCAGACCTTTCTTCCACATAATTCCCAGGAGTGCTATATGCATGAACCAAGCTAAGGTGTCAATCTCGTTTCAGAACCACAGCACGGCTCCCCATAAAAGTCATCTTTATGGACAGATATTTCATGGCGGCAGCTTGAGAAGGCTCACGTTTCTTAGGCAGCTGGTGCAGAGCCAGGAGAGCTAATCATGAGATCTTCCAGTCCCAGGACGTGGGCTGCAGCTGGCGGCTGTGGTCGTCTTATATCAAACTCTCAAGAGTCACAGGGCAGCAGCATTGGCCCCCTCCCAAGTCATTCCAGATGGGATTTAAGGTGGCTTAATGAGCATTCATAAAATACAGCAAGAGAACATAAACTGAAAAGGGTGTGCAAGAAGAAATCAAATGGGAACTACATGAAATGAGCCAGAGACAGGAGGGAGGGGGAAGAAGAGGGAGGGGGAAGAACAGGCGGGAGGGGGATGAACAGGGAGGGGCCCCCTAAGCCACTGGAAAGTGTGGCAAGACTTCCCGGAGCCGGACAGAGCAGATTCTTGAGGGGTGCGCAGGAGTCTCGTAGGCCAGGATGGAGAGGAAGGGCCTGTAGGCAGAAGACTGGTGTGTGCAAAGGAACCAGAGAGAGAAGGAGGCGGGGAGGGGAGAGGGGGTGCCGGGAGGAGGGAGAGGAAGCTCAGTAGTTGTGGGGGATAGCGAGGGGGATTGGGGAATGAACTGTTTCCCGCAAATGCCTCAGCCATAGTTGAAAGGATTCCCACTCCCTTCCCCACTCACAAAGTCCTGGTGCCCTTGGCCCGGCTGCGCAGGCCCTCATTCCCTGAGCTCCCAAGAGGTGCAGTGATTTATCCGATGCGAAGCGCGAAGCTCGGGAGTCCGACTGCACCCGGAGGTGGTGGGGGCGGGGGGACGGAGGGGCGGAGGGGCAAGAGTACTACAAGAAAAGGCCGGGGCCTGCTCTCTGCTCTCTCCTCTCTCTGGACCTGCCTGAGCCCCAGGGGCACGGTCTGCACCATCTGCCTGTGAACAGGAGCGCTTAATTCAGAGTGGCCGGCAGAGACCCTGGGTCCGATGATCCAGAAGTCTGACATCGAGCTTCTGCTCATTAGCCGCAACCCTCCCCTGGGTCCTGGAATCTGTTCTCAGGTGACCGTGGAGGAGGCGATGCTGAGTGATCAACACCTCGGATCTCCAGCTGTCGGTGCAATGACCAAGAAGGCCTTGGTGAATGTTAAAGAAACAATTATTCCATGACATTGGTAAAGCATGGCCGAGCCAACTTTATCCAGGACCGTGGAGATTGATACAGGGACCCCCACAATAAGATCTTGCGGTAGGGGAGAGAGATTAGGCTCCACTCTGAATATAGCACAGGCAAGTAGGAATTTATGGCCAAGGAGTGTGGGGGTCAGTGGATGGAAAATTACCAAGGGGTAGGGGAGATTCTGCTTAACCCGACCTAACAGGATTCTTGCTGACACAGGCCAGGGTTCTTTCGCTAAAACTGGATTTTTTTTTTTTTTTTTTTGAGACGGAATCTCACTCTGTGGCCCAGGCTGAAGTGCAGGGGCATGATCTCAGCTCACTGCAACCTCCATCTCCCGGGTTCAAGTGATTCTCCTGCCTCAGCCTCCCAAGTAGCTGGGATTACAGGCATGCACCACCACGCCCAGCCAACTTTTGTATTTTTTTGGTGGAGACAGGGTTTCACCATGTTGCAAGCTGGTCTCGAACTTCTGACCTCAAGTGATCCGCCCACCTCAGCCTCTTAGAGTGCTGGGATTACAGGCGTGAGCCACCGCGCCTGGCCTAGAACTGCATTTTACAAGGAAGTGCACAGATGGGCCTAGCAGAAGATTCAGAAGCCTGACTAAAGTTTGGCCGAGCAAAGAATCTTTATCTGTAACTCTCATTCAATGACCAAGACGCCCTTTAGGAGCTCTTGGAAGAGCCCTCATGATGGGGTGAGTGTCCTTATATGGAGAGATCGGGGCCAGGCGAGGTGGCTCACACCTGTAATCCCAACACTTTGGGAGGCCATGGTGGGAGAATCACTTCAGCCCAGGAGTTCGAGACCAGCCTGGGCAACATGGCAAGACCCTAACTCTACAAAAAAATTTTTAAATTAGCCTGGTGTGGTGGTGTGCACCTAGCTATTTGGAGGCTGAGGAGGGAGGCTCACTTGAGGCTGGGAGGTTGAGGCAGCAGTGAGCCGTGATCTTGCCACCACTGCACTCCAGCCTGGGCTGTTCTGTTGAACGAGATCCTATCTCAAAAAACAAAAACAAACCTTGGAAGGACTGGCTTTTGGGGCTCTGAGGACTATGAGGAAGGATCAGTGTTTCTGGCCACCTACAGGTCTTGAGCCTGTGCAGGATGCGACTGGCTTTTATCGCAATTCCAGCTGATATTGAAGGGTGTGCCACAGCAGATGGAGTGACAGAAAAACAAAGAATTTAGGAAAACACACACAGACATACACACACACACACACAGAGACACACAGAAACACAGACATACGCAGGCACACAGGCACACCCATACACACATAGACACAGACACACACACACATACACAGACACACAGACATATACACAGACACACACAGACATATACACAGACACACACAGACATGAACACAGACACACACACACAGACACAGAGACACACACATTCACACACACACAGAGACAGACACACACAGACACACACACTCCCACACATAGACTCACACACACAGACACACACAGGGGAAGGGTTTCATCTTAGGATGAGTCAAGGCTTGTCCAGGAGCTCACACTCCACAAGCGCAGAAGGCCCCTGAGCTGAGACCCAGTCCAAGCTCGGTGCGTGGGTCTTTTGTGGGGCGCGAGGCCCTGGGAGTCCACTGCGGAATTTTGCTCATTAATTTGCTTTCCCTCCTCACTCAATTTCTAAGTCAGCTTAGCAAACCTGGAGTTTAAATTGCAAAAGCCCCAAGGGTTCAACTCTGACCTTTGGCAGGGACGGGATTTACCCTGAAGCCCATGGGCCCTTCTCCTGAGCCGGCCCTTCCAGAGGCCAGGAATTCCGGGTGGAGCTAGGTTTTGTGACCCCTGAGCCTAATAGAATGGAGGTGGGGAGCTCTTTAGAAAAAGGATGCCAGGCCAGATGCAGTGGCCCACGCCTGTAATCCCAACACTTTGGGAGGCCGAGGCAGCCAGATCACCTGAGGTCGGGAGTTCGGGACCAGCATGGCCAACATGGAGAAACCCTGTCTCTACTAAAAATACAAAATTAGCCAGGTGTGGTGGCGCATGCCTGTTAATCCCAGCTACTCGGGAAGCTGAGGCAGGAGAAACGCTTGAACCCAAGAGATGGAGGTTGTGGTGAGCTGAGATCGCACCATTGCACTCCAGCCTGGGCAACAAGAGCAAAACTCCATCTCAAAAAAAAAAAAAAGAATTTTAGGGGGACACAGAGATTCAGTCCATAGAGGTGTGACAACACATACGAAATATTGCAACCAGAGATGCTCAGCCAAGCCCTAATGTCCCAAGTCTTATTAGGGGTCAGTCATAGAGGCATGTGGCACCCACGTGACTGACCTTAACTATTTCATCTCCAGCCCTAGCTTAAGGCAGACTGATACAGCCTGGCCCAGGGCCCCAGGCGAAAAAAAACAGGCATTCGCCATAAATCACATTGCTGGCATAAACTGTCTCAGGTGGCCCAAGGCCCCAGGTGAAAAAAACACTCCTGTTAGGCAGGATATTCCAAGGGCGCAGAGCTTATCTCCCAGGGGCCAGGCAAGGGCCAGTCCTCTCTTTGGAATGTGCAGGGTTTGGGCAGCCCAGGCCTGTTGAGTTAACCCCTTACTCCACAGGGCCCCTGCTGTATACATGGCATTACACAGAGTTAGATTCCAAAGCAGGAGGCAAAAATCACGTGGAATCAGTGACCCTCGAAAAATCCCTCTGGAAGATGCTATTTTGGAGTCCTCATCTCTCAGGAAGTCCGGCACAGCTGGGCTTCCCTCCAGGGCTGCAGCTGGCTCGCACTGAGGCTGCACTATGTGGAAAACGTGGTCTGCAAATCCTCCACTGGCAGTCAGCTGTGACACGCTGGCCCTGGGGTCATGCTAGGGAGCTGCATCCCAGAGGGGCCTCTCCTGCCCACTCCAGGAGGCCCATTGAGGGACCTGCCTCCAACAGGAGCTCAGCAATATGTAAATGATTCTTTCTCCTTTTTCCACCAGCTACATTTAATACAATCTGCAAAAGCTAAATGTGTATTTGATTCAACTCCCTTCCGGGGAATGAGTCTTCTTCTTGGGGTGAAGTCAAGAATAATGATCACAGTGAATACTCAGTGGGTGCTTGCTTTGTGACGGGGACATTTCTCAGCGTTCTGTGGGTTAGCCCATCAAATCCTCACACCCTGCCTCTGAGATAGGGTAATCTATTATATGCATTTTGCGATGAGGAGACTGAGACATGAAGACCTTAAATAATGTGCCCAGGCCAGGTGTGGTGGCTCACACCTGTAATCCCAGCACTATGGGAGGCCAAGGCAGGAGGGTCACTTGAACCTAGGAGTTCAAGATCAGCCTGGGCAACATGCTGAGACTCCTTGTCTACAAAAAAAAAAAAAAAAAAAAAAAAATTAGCTGACCGCAGTGGGAGTCTACAAAAAAAAAAATTAGCTGACCGTGGTGGTGTGCCCCTATATTTCCAGCTACTTGGGAAGCTGAGGTGGGAGAATCACTTGAGCCCAGGAGGTCAAGGCTGCAGTGAGCTATGATGATGCTGCTGCACTCTAGCCTGGGCGACAGAGCAAAACCCTGTCTCAAAAAAAAAGTAAATAAATAAATAATGTGCCCAAGGTCCCACAGCTAGTTGGTGGAAGGGGCCACAGTTTTAACCTAGGCAGTCCGGCTCTGGACTCTGCCTCTTAACCGCTATCTTCTTTTGTCTCTGAAAGGCAAATTAGTGTAATTATTGTAAACCCGAAAGCTAAGAAGGAGATGTGAATGCATTCCTGCAGGACGCTGTCACCAGCTACTAGCTGTGCATACAGACTCAAGCAGAAATGGAATTGGCTCAAAAACAAATGTTACAGCCAGAACAGGAGCTGGGAAAAAGTGACTGAAAAATGGCCCGGCGCGGTGGCTCACACCTGTAATCCCAGCACTTTGGGAGGCTGAGGTGGGAGGATCACCTGAGGTCAGGAGTTTGATACCAGCCTGGCCAACATGGTGAAACCCTGTCTCTACTAAAAATACAAAAATTAGCTGGGCGTGGTGGCAGGCGCCTGTAATCCCAGCTACTCGGGAGGCTGAGGCACGAGAGTCACTTGAACCCAGGAGGTGGAGGTTGCAGTGAGCCCAGATCACGCCACTGCACTCCAGCCTGGGCGACAGAGTGAGACTTTGTCTCAAAAAGAAAAAAAAAAAAAGAAGAAGAAGAAAGTGACTGAAAAATTAAGGAAGTCATCCTGGCTGAACTGGAGGAAGAGGGGAATTGCCTTAGGAGAAGAGTTGGGCCCTTAGAGGTCAGGGGAGGCAGGTAGGAATGGGGGCAAGGGAAATTTTGCCATCCCACCCTCCTAAGTGCCCTGGCAGAAGGAACTAGGAGAAGGAAGCCTTCTTTTATTGTCACTGGATTGGGGAGGTGACTTGGAGATGAGAAATCTAACAGGGGTAACTAGAACACCTCCAGAGTCAGCTGGAATGGCCCACCCGGGAGATTCCAGGACAGGTGCTCCTCAAAAGCCTCCCTCCTCCTGAAGCTCTCATTGTGGGGGGGCCTCCTTTAAGGAGCTGGAGACCCCAGGAGTGGTTACAGAAAACTTGGCAGTTGTGAGAAGAGTCCAGAAAGATAATCACAGAACAGGCTGGACCCTGAATTTCACGGTGACCCTGTGATGTTAGGTGGGGAAGCAGGAGTGGTCTGAGCCCTGAGGCGATGTGCCTGGTCCATCCTAGGAGCTGGGGGTTCAGAGCCAAGCAGCACTCTGGGTGCAGTCACGACTGGCTTAGATGTTGGGCAGGGAGAAGGTGTTGGGCTGAGGATGGGGAGGGCTTTTTGGAACAACAGGTACTTTCGGCAAAATCAGACTCTAATTATTTTATCTCTCTCATTATGGGGAATCCACAAGGCAGAATCTGCAATGATCCAGGTCTATATCAGTCATGGTCCCATCAGGAGACAGAAACCATGTGTTGTGTTAACAGAGGAAATTTAATATAAAAAATTATTAACTAGGCATTGAAAAACTAAAAATGCAAAAAAGAGAACTCTAAGGGGAGAACCTTCCAGGAAGCAACACACACCCCCAGGGCTGGAGGAATGAAGAAGGGACTGGAATTATGAAAACATGGAAGGCTAGAATGCAGACCTCTAAGGAGCAGACAGGGTCAGCAGGTGCTGTGATGTCTCCAGAGGGGTTTGAAGGGGCTGGTGTGCCTGCTGGAAAAACTGCAAACTGGATCCAGCAGCTACTGCAGGAAGGAACTGCCGCTGCCACAGTGAAGAAGCTGTGTGAGGGTGATGCCCACAGGAAGCAGACCGAAAGGAGCAAGAACCTTCGTCTTGTTCTAGCCTCAAAGCTGCTCTTTCTTTCTTTCTTTTCTTTCTTTCTTTTCTTTCTTTCTTTTTTCTTTCTTTCTTTCTTTCTTTCTTTCTTTCTTTCTTTCTTCTTTCTTTTTTTTTGAGACAGAGTTTCGCTCTTGTTGCTCAGGCTGGACTGCAATGGCACAATCTCGGCTCACCACAATCTCCACCTCCCGGGTTCAAGCGATTCTCCTGCCTCAGCCTCCCGAGTAGCTGGGATTGCAGGCATGCGCCACTATGCCCGGCTAATTTTTGTATTTTTAGTAGAGATGGGGTTTCACCATGTTGACCAGCCTGGTCTCAAACTCCTGACCTCAGGTGATTTGCCCACCTTGGTATCCTAAAGTGCTAGGATTACAGGCGTGAGCCACCATGGCCGGCCAAAGTTGCTCTTTCTAACATCCCCTATTGTCAGAGCCCAGCAGGGAAACAGCAGACAAAGCAGAAACATGGTTTGCAGAATTCCAACTCCATCATCACAACACAGAGCGTATAGAAGGCTGGGCTGGAAGCTGGAAGACAGTAACTTGATAACTGGCAAAGTCTACCCCTTTGGCTACTCTGCATTCGTGAACACCCCTCTGCATATATTTTTGGAGTTCTGTACAACAACAAAAATAACTCTGTGTCTCTACATAACAAGATGAAACTATCCTTCATACAAAGAAAGACATTCTCACTCTGTGTTAGTCTGCTCAGGCTGCCATAACAAAATGCCACAGCCCGGGTGGCTTAAACAACAGAAATTTATTTTCTCAGAGTTCTGTAGGCCAGAAGCCCAAGATCAAGGTACTACTATCAGGTTGATTTTTGGTGGGAGGAAGCCTCTTCCTGGCTCATAAACAGCCGCCTTCTCACTGTGTCCTCACGTGGCCTTTCCTCTGTGTGCACAAGGAGAGTGAGGTTGGGGGGAGATCTGAGTCTCTTCTTTTTCTTATAAGGACACCAGTCCTATAGGATTCAGGCTCACCTTATGACCTCATTTAATCTTGATCACCTCCCTAAAGACACTATCTTCAAATGTCTTCATTAAGAATTAGGGCTTCGGCATATGAATTTTGGGGAGACACAATTCAATCCATAACGCACCGTCTCCCCAAAATGAGAAGATGCGAAGTCCCAGCAGTCACTGGGTTCATCCTGGGAGATAAACACACCATCCGTCTTCAGGACGCGTTAGTTATTCCTGAGTCAGTCACCATCCCATCTGAAAATTCTGCTACCTAAAGACTAAATCAAAAAGTTAAAATTTGTAAAGCTTACATAAAATAATATAATCACATGATGTAATGATAAAATAAAATGAGGAAGAGGAGGGGAGGAAATATGCCTCACACAGCAGGAACCCCCTTTCCCCTTGGTATTGGGGCCAGTAATCCCAGTCAGTACAGTAACCCTGTCTTTTGCCTGTTGATCCAGTGGCTGAGAACCCCATCTCAACTTGTTTTTTTTTGTTGTTTGGTTTTGTTTTTTTTTTTGAGACGGAGTTTCGCTCTTGTTGCCCAGGCTGGAGTGCAATGGCACAATCTCGGCTCACTGCAACAACTGCCTCCTGGGTTCAAGCGATTCTCCTGCCTCAGCCTCCCGAGTAGCTGAGATTACAGGCATGCGCCACCACACCTGGCTAATTTTGTGTTTTTAGTAGAGACGGGGTTTCTCCATGGTGGTCAGGCTGGTCTCGAACTCCTGACCTCAGGTGATCCGCCCACCTCAGCCTCCCAAAGTGCTGGGAGTACAGGTGTGACCCACCGCGCCCAACTCATCTCAACTTTTGATTCAATAAAACAATGGTGTCCCCTGGGGGAAGCATTCTCTCCTTGGGAACTAAGATTTTCAAACCAGTGGGGTTCAAAGTTGCTGACACGGGAGAAAATAAAATCTATGAATGGGATATTAGTTTTAATGAGAGAAGCCACTCTCATTCCATCCCTTGATTCCTGGACCATGTTTTCTGGCCATGGAGAAGCAACAACAACATAAATTGGTCACTGATTCAAAGCATATCTGTCTCATGTAAGACAGAACTCCCTCCTGTCGGGGTGTCGTCTCCCAGCTGATGATGACTTACTGAATAAGTCTTCCCTGAGCTATTCCACCATTCCATGAGGCCAGCTGCTTCTGGGTGATGGAGTATTTGGTAGGACCGGAGAACCTCATGACCATAAAGCTATTGTCACATTTCTTTTGTCATGAAATGGATTCCTTGATCAGAAGCAATGTTGTACCATGATGGTGAATAAGACTCACAAAGTCCACAGATGATGATGCTGGCAGAAGCATTACGAGCAGGGATGGCAAACACATCTCCAGAGTATGAGTCTTTTCCAGTGAAAACAAATCTCCATCCCCTCCATAATAGAAAGGGTTCAAGTAATCAACCTGCTAGCAGGCTGCCTGGTGCACTGGATGCACCGTATCAGGGGCTCAGTGTCAGTCTCTGCTCTTGGCAGGCCGGGCACTCAGCAGTAGCGTTATCCAGAAGCCCTGGTGCCGAGAAGTACACATTCGCCGCTGAACCCCTGCATAACCTCCATCTCTGCCACCATGGCCACGTTGAACATGGACACAATGGGCAAGCACTGGGCTGGCTGGGGAAAGAGGATAACTGACATCCACAGAGAAATTCTCCCTCACGCTCTCATCATTGTGTCCACCTGGCTCTGAAGAGCTCCTCTGCCGGGGGTGCCCTCTGCGGGGCATCCGCATTGGAAACAAACATCTTTGCATTCTGTGCCCATTCTCAGCGCTCCACGTATTTCCTACCCACACTGCATGTCACCATCTTCCAATTCTGTTTTTCCCAAATCCCTGACCATTCAGCTAAGCCAGGGGTTAGCAAACTTTTTCTATCAAATTTATAAATGTTTTAGGCTCTGTGGACCATTTGTTCTCCGTTGCAACTATGCAACTCTGCTGTTGTCGCATGAAAGCAGCACAAAAAGCAAACACATGGGCGTGGCTGAGTGCCAAAAACACCTTTTATTTACAAAATCAGAGGGTGGCCAGACTTGACCTGTGGGCTGTGGTTTGCCAACTTCTGAGCTAAACCATTAGCAATTGCCCATGAATGACTGTAGATCCAGATCCTCTGTCAGTCCAAAGTGG
The DNA here is from genome assembly GCF_000001405.40 of Homo sapiens. Lineage (NCBI taxonomy): Eukaryota > Metazoa > Chordata > Mammalia > Primates > Hominidae > Homo > Homo sapiens. The sequence goes on along the minus strand of NC_000011.10, from coordinate 64,400,742 downwards.
GACCCCTAGAGTTCTGCTTGACTATGTCTTTCAATATCCTTCAGAGCACCCCCTGAATGAGGCTGTCACATGGCAGGCACCCACTTCCAGTCAATGCCAGGATATTATGCAAAATCACCTATAAACTAAACCCAACAAGTGTTCTCAATCACACATCCCTAAGGCCATAGGTGGGGATCAGCGGTGTCAAAGGAGTCTGAGCCACCTGCTCCTGCAACTTACCTGTGCCTCTGCACATTCCCACTTGAGGATAGATTCAGCCTCACCGGCTGACCTCAGGGCTTGGTGGGTCTGATAACACCCACTTTCCACTGGACACCTTGGATACTGAGGTGTTCAGGGAGATCCCACCTCCAGGACTGGGGCCCTCGTTCCCCAGCTGCCAAGACGGTTCACAGCTGAGTCACCCTCTGGCCCTGGCCCTCAGCAGCAGGGAGTTGCCTCACCCACGGATGTGACCCCACCCTGGAGGAAGCCTGCTTCCAATGGCTAGTCGATGTAGGGGTGCAATGGCTTAACTCTCTTGCCTGAATCTGGGATATGGCTGAAGAGCTAACCCAGTTCCAGAGTTCCCCGGGGAATTAGCTAGCCCTCTGTTGCAACTTTGTCATAGTTCAACATTTCCCTCTTCACAATCCCATCTCCTTCACTCCCTTATGGGTGTTATTTCCAAGAGTACTTCCCAATAAACCCCTTGCCCACAAATCTTCACCTCCCGGTATGTTTCGTGGGAACCCAACCTTCTGAAACAGATGCTCAGGCCACATGGTCACTTGATGTCCAGTGTTCAGTCCCTACCAGGGCACAGCTATAAGCCAGAAACTGTTTCTTGTTTTTTTGTTTGTTTGTTTGTTTTTGAGATGGAGTTTTGTTCTTATTGCCCAGGCTGGGGTGCAATGGCACAATCTTGACCCACCGCAACCTCCGCCTCCCGGGTTCAAGCGATTCTCCTACCTCAGCCTCCCGAGTAGCTGGGATTACAGGCATGCGTCACCACGCCCGGATAAATTTTTTCTGTATTTTTAGTAGAGACGGGGTTTCTCTATGGTGATCAGACTGGTCTCAAACTCCCGACCTCAAGTGATCTGCCCACCTTGGCCTCCCAAAGTGCTGGGATTATAGGCATGAGCCACCATGCCCAACCCAGGAATTGTTTCTGTAAAGGAGAATACTCTGTTGCAGAAGAGGGCATGGACTTGCACGAGAACCCTGGAGGCCTGCACAGTGATCCTCTTCCTGACACTTGCCTGCAGCCCATGCTTGACAGCAGCATCCCTGTTCACAAGCACATTCTGAGCATCATCAGTCTGTGGAGTCACAAGGCCCAAAGGAAGAGCACTTGCTGTGCAGGCTGGACTGGCTGCAGAGTCTTCTCTTGATTTGGTCCCCACTCAAAACTGGCACCTATTGCATTATTATTATTGAGGGAGTGGGCTTGTTATTGAGGGAGTGAGTTTGCCCCCTCTTGCCCTTTCTCACTCACTCTTTGCCCTTATTCCATGTTATGATGCAGCAAGAAGGCCCTTGCCAGATGCTGGTCCCTTGATCTTGTACTTTCCATCCTCCAGAACCATAAGCCAATACATTTCTGATCAAATGGGTTGGAGTAAAACTCTCAAATGTGATGTATGCAAACCTCCATTATTTTTGTGGTAGGTGGTCCAGATGCAGCAACATATCCTTCACTTTGGAGGGGATATCTTGACATGCTTCAGACTATTGGTGCCCCATCAACCTCCCTGAGGTGACAGACCCCTGAATTATTATGGGGTTCATCTCCCCCATCTCATTTTCATTTGTCTTACTAATGTACATGAAAGTATCTGCTGCTTCTTGCTCCTCAGGCCCTGTCTTGGTCCATTTTGTGCTGTTAAAACAGAATACCACAGACTGGATAATTCATAATGATCAGAAGTGTATTGACTTATGATTCTGGAGGCTGGAAAGCCTGAGATCGAGGGACCAGCATCTGGCAAGGGCCTTCTTGCTGTGTCATAACATGGTGGAAGATCAAAGAGAGAGCGAGAGAGGGCAAGAAAGGGCGAACTCACTCCCTCAATAACAAACCCACTCTGCCAATAATAGCATTAGCCCATTCATGAGGGTGGGGCCCTCATGACCTAAACACCTCTTAAAGGTCTCACCTCCCAATACCATCCCAGTGGCAATTAAATTTCGACATGAGTTTTGGAGGGGATAGACATTGAGATCATAGCAGGCCCAATCAACATAATGTTTCCCAGGTAGTAGACCAGTATCATGTCCTGTGGAATGCAGAGAATAAGATCTCTGCCAACTATACTGTGGCAGAAAGTAGAAGGGTTGACGTGGCCCTGAGGCAAGACTGTGAAGGTGACAGATAAAAGCAAACTGCTTTTGGTGGTCCTTGAAAACTGCTATACAGAAAAAATACTTGGATGGGTCAAAAGCTGCATAGCAGGTGCCAGGGGTATGCTGTTTTGCTCCAGGGAAGATACTGCACCTAGAGCCGCAGCTGCAGGTGGAGTCACCACCTGGCTACGTTTACAGCAACGCACAGTCCTCCAGGACCCAGGACCCTTCCACCTTCTGCACAGATCAAACAGACATGTGAATGGGGCTGTGCTAGGAATCACCTCCCCTGCCACCCTCACGTCTTTCATGGCTGTGTAATCTCAGAGCAGCTGCCCAGGAATTCGCATTGCTCTGACTTCCTAGCTCAGAGGGAGGGGAAGCTCCAGGGTCTCCCACATGGCCCTTCTTATCTTCATGGATCTTTCTTTGCAGGTCAGAGAGCCCAAGTGGAGATTCTGCCTGTTGCCAGGAACGCCTACTCCAACTGTACATTCAGGAACTGGGGAAATATATTAGCATGGGGTAAGTTCACGGACCTGATGGGTCCACAGTGATTCAAATTTGGGCCAAAAACTCCATATATCACTGGACCACCATGAGTTGCTACTTTAACTGTGGTCTACAGTAAATAAAAGAGAAAAAGGGCCGGGCACGGTGGCTCACACCTGTAATCCCAGCACTTTGGGAGGTCAAAACAGGCAAATCACTTGAGGTCAGGAGTTTGAGACCAGCCTGGCCAACATGGTGAAACACTGTCTCTACTAAAAATACAAAAATTTGCCAGGCGTGGTGGCGGGCGCCTGTCGTCCCAGCTGCTTGGGAGGCTGAGTCAGGAGAATCACTTGAACCCAGGAGGTGGAGGTTGCAGTGAGCCAAGATCGCACCACTGCACTCCAGCGTCAGCCACAGAGTGAGACTCCGTCTCAAAAAAAAAAAAAAGGGAGAAAAAGGAGAGAGAAAGACTCCACAATACAGCAGACAGTGTAAGACTATGTATCGAAGGAAAGGAAAGGACCAATACGGGGTGGGTTGGTTGTTTGGTTTGTTTGTTTGTTTGTTTGTTTGTTTGTTTGTTTTTGAAACGGAGTTTCGCTCTTCCACCCAGGCTGGAGTGCAGTGGTGTGATCTCGGCTCACTGTAACCTCCGCCTTCTGGGTTCAAGTGATTCTCTTGCCTCAGCCTCCCAAGTAGCTGAGATTACAGGTGCCCGCCACCACGCCCGGCTAATTTTTGTATTTTTAGTAGAGACAGGGTTTCACCATGTTGGCCAAGCTGTTCTCGAACTCGTGACCTCGTGATCTGCCCACCTCGGCCTCCTGAAGTGCTGGGATTACAGGCGTGAGCCACCGCGCCTGGCCTTATATGGGTTTTTATGTTTAAAAAACTTAGCTGGGGCTGGGCATGGTGGCTCATATCTGTAATCCCAGCATTTTGGGAGGCCAAGGGAGGAGAATCACAGTTCAAGACCAGGCTGGGCAACATGGTGAAACCCCTCCTCTACAAAAAATACAAACATTAGGCAGGCATGGTGGTGCACGCTTGTGGTCTCAGCTACTTGGGAGGCTGAGGTGGGAGGATCACCTGAGCCCAGGGAGGTCCACGTTGCAGTAAGGCGGAGACTGCATCACTGAACTCCATCCTGGGCAACAGAGTAAGACCCTGACTCCAAGAAAAAGAAAAAGAAAAACAACCTAGCTGCACCCCTGGAAAAGCCTCGGTTTTCCATCTGGCTGCTACAACCACTGAGGAATTTTAAGATGCTGATGCAGGCCCCTCCCCTGCTCTCACCCCAGATCAATTCATCAGGATCCCTGGAGTGGGGTCTGAGCATCGGTAGACTCGCGATTCCAATGAGCTGCTGCGGTTGGGAACCTCAGTTGGGGAGGAATCATGGATGGAAATAAACACCGGAAGCCTGACCCACTGCTGCAGAGACGGAGTGGCAGAAAGGAGGGCTTCTGTTGCAGCTCTAAAAATAAGTCCTAGGAAATTCAAAAGCCCCTGGGAAAAGACACACAGCTGCCCCTGGCCCTCTGGGGGCACAGGCGTCTGAGGCATTGGCAGCTGCTTTGGATCAGGAATATTCCACGGTGACTCTGCAGCGGAGACACCTCGGGTCTGAGGCCCCTTGGAGGGCCCCGGGAATTCCTGAGCAGCTGCTGAGACTTCACGGCCCAGAGCTGTAAGCCTCCTGCAGATCTCGCTGAGGAAGGAGAAGCTTAGAGGGCAAAGCAGGACACCACCGGAACTGCAGAGAATCAAGCATGCAGCTCTGAGAAGGGCCTGCCGGAGGAGTGGGAAACTCATCAAAATTAAGAGCCTTTGAATAAGCAGGATGAGCACAAGGTGGGGGAGGGGCGGGGAGCCCTAGGTAAGGGCTCCAGGAATGACTTCACTGCAAATGTTAAGTGACCCAAGAAGACAACTGTCCCCCCGCTGCTCTCAGAGGAAGCTGTGAGCCTGGGTGGATACGGACGGCAGGGGACACAGTTTGCCTCTCATTGGGCAATTTCCACCAGTGGAGTTTCAATTCCTGGGTCGTGGACTCTCGTCTCCTGGTGAAGTGCAACATCATTCCTCTTGTCGCCGGTGCGTTGTGCCTGCATCTTTGCTCCAGCTAAGCCAGCTCCTCTAGGCCTCTGGCTGCCCACCGCAGTGGGCTCTGGACTGGACTCTGGACCATGCGTTGCTGGGTTTGCTGCTGTGATGATGGAGGTGCTGCTTTTGTCTGTCTGATGTTTATACTTTGTGGGTGTGGAGTGTGCTAGGAACATCTCATATGTGCCAGGAACTGGCTCTTTGGAAAAGTCAGTCCAGGTTAGAAACATAGACTGTGGCCGGGCATAGTGGCTCACGCCTATAATCCCAGCACTTTGGGAAGCCAAGGTGGGCAGATCTCTTGACTTGAGGTCAGGAGTTCGAGACCGGCCTGGCCAACATTGTGAAACCCCATCTCTACTAAAAATACAAAAATTAGCCAGGCATGGTGGTGCATGCCTGTAGTTCCAGCTATCCGGGAGGCTGAGGCACGGGAATTGCTTGAACCCTGGAGACAGAGGTTGCAGTGAGCCAAGATCACGCCACTGCACTCCAGGACTGTATCAAGTTCACTCCAAAAGTGGAGAAGAGCCATCTGGACTGCAACTGCCACCAAGGGAAGCCACACTTCAGCCAAGTGGGGCCCTCCACCTAAGGCCGAGCATGGTAAGACACTGCAGAGGAAGGGGTCTTGACTTGAATTCATCTGGGCTTTGCCTTAGAGGGAGAAAGGTATTGCATTTTTGGACTTCAATCATGGGGGCTCCTGTTTACCTTGCAGCTGTCTTATGTTGCAGGTTTTGATGTGGTTCTCAATGTTCAAACCCCACTGGGAGTTATATTACACAGTGTCGTTTGACCTAATTTAAGATAGGAAATGGAATAAGAAATGAATTTTCTTCCTAGGTGTCACACAGCTGTAGCCGTTAGGAATGTCTCTGGATGCAATGAATAGAAAATCTACATATCAGAGGCTGAAGCAATAAGAGGCAGCAGCGTGGGTATGGGCTATTCTGGGTTTGGGGAAATAGTTCAGAGATGTTATCCGGGAGCCAAGTCCACTTTTATTGGCCTTTTATTGGGAAGAAAGGAGTGTTCCTCTCATCAAGAAGTAAAGTGTTTCCCAGAAGCACCCCCTCCTCCTCACATTTCTTCACATCTCTTTGGCTAGAACCGCATCACACGGCCACCCCCAGTTGCAACAGAGACTGGGAAGGTGGAGTATCAGATGGAAATCCTATTGTCAGGACCCAGGCTGAGCATGCTGCCTCCCCACACGAAACCAGACTTCTGTTAGCAAGAAAGATACAAGATCGCCGGCCACTATGGTTATTGACATGTTGTGCTGTCATCTTCCAAAAACTGACGAGGGCCAGGTGCGGTGGCACACACCTGTAATCCCAACATCCTGGAGGCTGAGGCAAGAGGATCACTTGAGGCCAGGACTTTGAGACTAGCTTGGGCAACATAGCGAGACCCCCATCTCTACAAAAAATAAAAATAAAAATTTTAATAAAAAAAATAGCCGAGCATAGTGTCATGCACCTGTAGTCCTAGCTACTTAGGCGGCTGAGGCTGAGGAACTCCTGAGCCTGGAGTTCAAGGCTGCAGTGAGCTGATTGCTTCACAGCACTCCCTCCTAGGTGACACAGCGAGACCTAGTCTCTTTAAAAAACAACAACAAAAAATTACAAAGAATTCAACAATTTAAAAGTACAGCCCAAGGCAACCTACAGAATTGGAAGAAATATTTGCAAATCATGTATCTTATAAGAGATTAATATCCAGAATATAGAAATAACTCCTGCAACTCAACGACAACACAAAAATCCAGTTAGAAAGTGTGCAAAGGGAGCTAGGCGTGGTAGCTCACACCTGTAATCCTAGCACTTTGGGAGGCTGAAGCGAGAGGATCACCTGAGGTCAGCAGTTTGAGACAAGCCTGGCCAACATGACAAAACCCTGTCTCTACTAAAAATACAAAAAAATTAGCTGTGTGTGGTGGCAGGCGCCTGTAATCCCAATTACTTGGGAGGCTGAGGCAGGAGAATCTCCTGAACCCAGTGGGGGGAGGTTGCCATGAGCCGAGATCATGCCACTTCACTCCAGCCTGGGCTAAAGAGCGAAGCTCCATAAAAAAAAAAAAAAAAAGAAAGAAAGTGTGCAAAGGACTTAAATAAAAATTTATCCTGGCTGGGCACAGCCAGGCACAACTACTCAGAAGGCCGAAGCAAAAGAATCACTTGAACCCTGGAGGCAGAGGTTGCAGTGAGCCAAGACTGTGTCACTGCACTCCAGCCTGGGCAACAGAGCAAGACCCTGTCTCTAAAAAAAAGAGAGAGGCCAGACGCGGTGGCTCATGCCTGTAATCCCAGCACTTTGGGAGGCCAAGGCAGGTGGATCACCTGAGGTCAGGAGTTCGAGAACAGCCTGACCAACACGGTGAAACCCCATCTCTACTAAAAATATAAAAATTAGCCAGGCGTGATGGCGCATGCCTGTAATCCCAACTACTGGGGAGGCTGAGGCAGGAGAATGACTTGAACCCAGGAGGTGGAGGTTGCAGTGAGCCGAGATCAGGCCACTGCGCTCCAGCCTGGGCGGCAGAGAGAGACTCTGTCTCAAAAAAAAAAAAAAAAAAAAGAATTAGGGACAGTGTCAAGTCCGTCCATTCTGGCCACAGTGTCCAACTTCAGGGACAGTAGGTGGCTTTTGGGGCACAGAGCCAGAGGCTGCAGTGGGGCCAGGCGTGGCACCCAGTGTTCAATGGTGGCAGCGGCCGATCGCTCCCGTGGCCTGACTTTGCCTCGGGTTCTGGGAGCTGCACCCTGTTTCTGTGGTTCTCCAGCCTTCCTGGTACCTCCTGAATCCCTTCCAGCCCCCATGGATAAAGTTAAGTGCCTCCCTCTCATGTGCTCCCTGGAACCACCTCCCTCGCGGCCTCATCAGCTAAGGTCTTTGTCCCCACACCACATGAGCACCCACTGAGGGCAGGGACAAAGCTTCATCTTGTCCACTTCTCTATCCCTGGGCCCAGCTCCAGCCTTACATGTAGAGAAAGTTCTCGTTGTGAGTGAATGCATGGCTCTTTGGAAACAGAAACAGAACCAGGAAAGGATTGACCCAAAGTCCGCTGCAGAGATTGAGCTCCCCCAGCCCCAACAGGGCCCCCCGCTACAGAGGCCTGGGGAACAACCCCAGAAGGGAAATCAGGAACCAGCCCGGGAATGGAATGTCCTAGATCTACCTGAGATCAGGACCCTCCTCCCCTTCCCAGCATGCAGTGACCTGCAAGAGTCACACAGGAGGGAGTCCTGGGACCATTCTCCCTCCTAGAAAAAAACCCTAAAAGACAAAGCTGTAGCAACTGCCTTAGAAGGACAGGCTGAGTGGCCGGGCGCGGTGGCTCATGCCTGTAATCCCAGCACTTTGGGAGGCCGAGGCAGGCAGATCACCTGAGGTCGGGAGTTCAAGACCAGCCTGACCAACATGGAGAAACCCCGTCTCTACTAAAAATACAAAAATTAGCTGGGCGTGGTAGCAGGTGCCTGTAATCCCAGCTATTTGGGAGGCTGAGGCAGGAGAATCGCTTGAACCTGGGAGGCGGAGGTTGCAGTGAGGGGAGATCACAGCACTGCACTCTCCAGAGCCTGGGCAATAGAACGAGACTCCGTCTCAAGGAAAAAAAAAAAAAAAACAGGCTGAGCTCCCTGGCTTGTGGGGAGAGAGCAAGGGGCCTGCCCAGAGCTGAGTGATCTGGGATGATGGGTGCAAGGGAAGATGACCTCCCTGCAAATTAATGAGGCAGCTTTCTGTTCATAAACCACCTGCCATGACAAGCCTGGCCTGTTCCCAAGACAATGTCCAGGCTCAGAGCAAGCCAGATCCAGAACAGTTTCCAAACTACATTCCAGGGAACCCCAGTGCTCCACAGGCATTGCTGGGTGTGCCATGGGGAGCCTTGAATTAAACACATATAACAATGCAGGACTCCTCAGAGCATTTAATGCGCTGAGGCCCTTGATGACTTTCCAAGAGGCAGCACAGTACACGGCTGATGACAACATTTTTGCTGAGCATCTATCATAAACTTCCAACCTCCTTGAGCTCCAAGGAACATAGCTTGCAAATGCTGCTGTGGGCAGCACCCCACTACCTGCCACTGAGAAACTGAGGTCCCATCTCTTAAGTCTCACTCCCACCCTCTGCTGGGGGCAGTGGGGAGCCAACCTGTCCTCCCCTTGCGGGGCTCTGCACACATTGCACACGTCTCCCTCTGGGGAAAGGGGTGCCAAGGAACTTCTGGGCCAGCTGAGCCAAAATACAGACTTGGAGTGTGAACTGGCCAAGTCACTGCCTCCTCCCTGAGGGTCCCTCCCTTTGGCACCCGCCACCTTATCTCCAGAGAGGCCACCGTGGCACAGAGCCCCAGGCTCCACAGGTGGCTACTGACCGTCACCCACCTCTGGGCCAAGTCCACTCTCTTTTTGTTTTCTTTTCTTTTCTTTTTTTTTTTTTTTTTTTTTTTTTTTGAGACAGAGTCTTGCTCTGCCCCCCAGGCTGGAGTGCAGTGGTGCAATCGCAGCTCACCGCAACCTCCACCCACTGGGCTCATGTGGTTTTCCTGCCTCAGCCTCCCAAGTAGCTGGGACTACAGGCGCGGGCCACCACTAAATCTTTGTATTTTTTTAGTAGAGATGGGGTTTCACCATGTTGGCCAGGCTGCTCTCGAACTCCTGACCTCAATTCATCCACCTGCCTCGGCCTCCCTAAATGTTGGGATTACAGGTGTGAGCCACCACACCCGGCCCCAAGTCCACTCTCATTCTTGCCCTGCCCCCTGTGGGCCACAGGACAGCCCTCTGTAGTAACCACTGAAGTCTGGTAAATGAACAACCTCAGCCCCTTGGAAGTCCCAAGAGATCCCAGCAGCTTCCCCTGCCTTGTCACCGCACCTGAAGAATGGTGGTGTGTGGTGGAAGGAGTACAGCCCTGCTCTGGGCCATCGGCTACCTGCATGTCCCCTCTGCTGGAGCCACAGGCCCCTCTGTTGGGCCAGTGTCCACATCCCACACCACAGCCAGGCCAGGCTTCTTTAGAAGCTCCCCATCACTGAGCCAACTTCCTCTGCCAGTTACACATATCACCCAGATGGGGTGATTTCTTACTGCAGAACACTTTGTTAATTGACACACCATTGAACTGAGCTGATGACTCCCGTGACTTGGTATCCTTAGTCCCTGATATGTTTTGGCTGTGTCCCCACCCAAATCTCATCTTGAATTGTAGTTTCCATAATCCCCACATGTAGTGGGAGGGACCTGGTGGGAGGTAATTGAATCATGGTGGTGGTTACCCCCATGCTATTCTCATAATAGTGAGTGAGTTCTCATGAGATTTGATGGTTCTATAAGGGGCTTTCCATCTTTGCTCATTCTTCTCTCTCCTGCTGCCCTGTGAAGAAGGACGTGTTTGCTTTCCCTTCTCTCATTATTGTAAGTTTCCTGAGGCCTCCCCAGCTCTGGGAACTGTGAGTCAATTAAACCTTTTTCCTTTGTAAATTACAGAGTCTCAGGTATGTCTTTATTAACAGTATGAGAACAGACTAATACAGTACCAATATCTTTTCCTGATTCACTCATGGCACCTGAAGATGGGAAGAAGTAGCACAGACACAGCTGTGATTTCCGGCCCCTCTATGAGCTGCATGCTGACCCTTGGACATGAAGATTCTCTCTCTTGGCTCTGGAAGGTGCCAAGAAATAAAATGATAAATGGAGATGCAGCCTGGCTAAAGGACAGTTCAGCAGTAGGGTGGACTTCAGGGTTGGTTCGATCCAGCAGCTCAGCTGTGTCCTCAGGACTTGACCTCTTCCCTCTCTCCTCTGTCATCCATAGCCTCAGCTGGACCCTGAGGTATGGTGTCCTTGGGGTGACAGGCTGGCTGCCAGCTGCCATTAGGGCTAGGTGCTTCCTCATCTGTGACCAGCAGAAATGGGTGAGCATCTATCCCAGCATCCCGTGCATTCCAGCAACTGACCTAGAGCAAGCTTGGAGGGACCAGAAAGCACAAGTGGGAGGAACAGGAGCTGGGTAAGCTACACACACTACACAAAATCACAGATCAAAGCCACTTGGTCCTGGGCCAGGCTCAGAGTCCATGCTCAAATATCAGCTACCACTTTTATTCTATGTAAGTCAATATTTGGGCTAATAATGAGCCCATCTTCCCTTGAAGCTAACAGTCTAAGGGATGGTGAGATGACATAAAAAGACACCTGGAGTCTCCACCAATGACTGGCCTCATCATCACATGCAAGACCTCCCCGTACCTTCTCCATCTGCAAAATGAGGGTTAAAATATCTCCTCACCAAACTCACAGGAGAAATCATGCTTTATAAATGCAGAGATGTTGGCCATGAGGCTTCTGATCCTTGCTACAGGCTTTCAGATCTTTATTCTGAGCATTGGCAACAACACGTTTCTGAGAACATCTCCTTTGGCAAATGGTAGGTCAGGCAGAGCTGCTTCAACAGAAGATGTTTTTGCTTTCAAAAAAAAAAAATTGTGTATGCCTTTTAATCCAAATGGCTGAATTGCTGATTCAATCAGCAAACATGGAACAGACTGAGAAAGTGCAGCGTGAGCTCCGAGACAGCAAAGAGGGCCATGAACTTCAAGGATGTTTATGGAGCGATTGCTGAAACCAGCTTTCTGAAGAGGTAAGTCTCCACCAGGCAACAGGGAGGCACGATGCGGGAGTGCCGTGGGATTTACGATGTTCATTAAGTCCATCAGCTTCCAACTCCCTCTGCAACCTGCATGTCCAGCTCGGCTACCCGGGGCACAAACAAGCTCTCCAGCTAAATTACCAAGATTCTTAGTGCCCGGCTGCACACCCACAGAGCACAGCCCACCTCAGCACCTGCCACCCCTGGGGATTCCAGGGCATGTTGAGTGTCTCCCACATGCTCAGGTCCAAGCCCACACCTGGCTTCCACCTGGCCCCATCCTCTCTGCATCCCCTGCTTCTGCTGGCCTCCAGTGTTCCCAGGCTGCCAGTCCTAGAGAGTCAAGGTTAGGCTAGGGTTGGGGCAGAAACACACGACTTTGTGCTGTCCCATAGCTGCACTGTTCTTTGTCACCCAGGCCAGAAGGGACACTGCCTGAGCCCAGAAGTTTGCTACCACTCCCAGAAACAGATCCCCAGGCCCCAGCCCAGCCGTCACTTCGCAGCATCCACCTCCACCATTCTTGCTGCCCCTTCCCCTCCCAGGGCACCTCTGCACCAAACGACTTCATTCTCCTCCTCCAGTTCTGAGAGATAAAACCAGCGGGCATGCCCGTTCCTGCAAACAGGACCAAGCCAACACAAGGCCCCCAGGCCCACAAAAAGCAGGCTCTGTTCCCAGTACAGATGCCTCAGGGACACCCTGCTATATCCATGTCAAACTTCCCTTTATTCATGAATAGAGATGGGAAGTGAGGCATCAGGTGTGCTCAAAAGCTTTGCTATCGGTTAAGAATTGCACCTGGCTACAAGCTACAGAGAATCAAAATAACAGTGGCTATAATAAGGGAGAGGTTAAATTTTGCTCTCATGTGAAAAGAAGTCTAGAGTTAGCCAGCCCAGGGTTGATACAGCAGGTCCACAGCCATCAGTGACCCAGGCTCATTCTATCTTGCTCTCTGCCATCATTAACATGAGGCTCCCATCCTTGGGGCTACCTCATGATCCCAAAATGGCTACTGCAGCTCCAGACATCACATCCACATTTCAGGCAGCAGAGAGTAGGAAGGGGCAAGGCAAAAGGACATGCCTCTCAGCTTAGCCTCCTTTGGAGAGCTTTCCCAGAAACCATACTCAATAACCTTTGCTTACATCTTATAGGCCTATTTCTGAAAGGCTAGGAAATGTGATATTATAAAAAGCCCATTGACACCCAACACTATAGCTTTTGTGTTGCTAAGGAAGCTAAGGAAGACAGGAGTATAGAAAATACCAGCCTTGGCCATACTTTTTTTTTTTTTTTTTTTTTTTTTGAGACAGAGTCTCGCTCTTCCGCCCAGGCTGGAGTGCAGTGGCACGATCTCGGCTCATTGCAACCTCCACCTCCCAAGTTCAAGTGATTCTCCTGCCTCAGCCTCCAGAGTAGCTGGGATTACAGGCATGCACCACTATGCCTGGCTAATTTTTGTATTTTTGGTAGAGACAGGATTACACATGTTAACCAGGCTGGTATGGAACACCTGGCCTCAAGCGATCCGCCCACCTTGGCCTCCCAAAATGCCAGGATTACAGGCATAAGCCACTGCACCTGGCCAGCCATACTTTCTACAGAGCTAATAAAACTAAGAGGATAGGGGCCCAAACTAATCTCCCTCCTGGATGCTTGTGGAGAATAATACAACAGTGATTATGACATCAAAAAAGAGGAGGCAAAGTGTCAGATGTTCTCAGCCCATTCTACACCTGGGATGCAGCACTGTTTTGTGGTGCTTACCTTAACAAATCTGCTATCATATTCCGCTGCTGACAGCCGGTGGTCTACTGGGACCTCAGCGTCTTCATCTCTTGAGTGTTCACACAATTGATTCCTCCTCACCCATCTTTCATTTGTGTTCTTTGCTTTTCTCCTTGAAACAGTTTAATTTCATGGGCTGCATGATGATGTTTTGGACAGTGTGGGACCATATATTCCATGGTGGTCCTATAGGATTATAATGGAGGCTGGGTGTGGTGGCTCACACCTATAGTCCTGGCACTTTGGGAAGCTGAGGTGGCCAGATCACTTCAGGCCAGGAGTTCGATACCAGCCTGGCTAACATGGTTGGGACTTGGGAGGCCAAAGCAGGAGGATTGCTTGAAGCGAGGAGTTTGACTACAGCCTGGGCAACATAGCAAGAGGTTGTCTGTATGCTTTTATTTTTTGAAAGAAAGGAAGGAAGGAAGGAAGGAAGGAAGGAAGGGAGGGAGGGAGGGAGGGAGGGAGGGAGGGAGGGAGGGAGGGAAAGAAAGAAAGAAAGAAAGAAAAGAAAAATAACAAAAATAAAAGATTATAAGGGAGCTGAAAAATTTTTCTCATCTAGTGATGTCATTCATAGCCATCATATCATCATAGTGCAATGTGCCACCTTTTCTATGATTAGATACATTTAGATACGCAAATACCATTCTATTCCAATTGCCTCTGCTACTCAGCACTTCCTGCCATACAGGCTTGTGGTGTGGGAGCAATCAGCTGTACCATCTAGCCTAGCTGTGTTGCGGGCTACCCATCCAGGTTTGTGTAAGTGCACTCTGATGTTCACACAGTGATGAAATCACCTAACAATGCATTTCTCAGAACGTGTCCCCATGGCTAAGTGACTCATGGCTGTATTCTGGAATCTTGTCATTCCAGACCACAGTCTTCACATTGAGGTACCAAGTTGTGGATCAGAATGGAAAGCTAGGCTATGATGAGGGACAGTGCGCTGTCACATGACTGACATGATTTATTTCACAAAGACAGCAAATGGAGCTGCCATGCCACCTCCAGCAAAGAGAGCCCGGGGCTGGCGTCTATGGAGCTCTAGGCTCTGCAGAGTCGGAGCGAGAACCAGATCCTTGGGGCAAAGAGAGCTAAAACGGATTGCAGAGGAAAGCGAACCACCACACATCTGCTAGAAAGAAATATCTCTTAGGCAGGAGATAACCTTGAGAGGCAGCATAACCGCTCAACCACTGTGGTTAAGGGCTTAGTTCTCAAGTAGGGAGGCCCAGGCTCTAGGGCCAATGCCTGTGGATGCCTTTGTGTGACCTTGGACAATTTACTTTCTCTCTCCAAGCCTCATTTTCTTCATCCACAACATGGAAACAATTGCAGATGATGATAATGTAGAACCTGTTCATGAAAGGAAATTATAGACAGTGCTGGGCCCGGTGCCTGGCTCCTGGTACAGAGAAGGATTCAGTAATAACATTGGCCATGACTATTAACAACAGCAGCAGCAGGGATCCTATGTGTGACCTTCTACCTGTGTGGCACAGGGCCTGGCACATCATGAGGCTCAATAAATGGGCTCAACGTCATCGCTACTCTTGTTGTTATTAAAGGAAATAGCCAGAAAGTGCTTCCTCTTTCCACAGGCAACCACGGACACTTTCTCTGGACTTGACTCACTCAGGCAAGAAGAACCTTCCGGGCTGAGCTTCCAAGCCCCAGCCAGGGGAGATGCAGGGCACGGAAGACCCCGCTGAGGCAGATTGGAGAGCTCGGAGCTGCAGAGTCTGTTTGGCATCTGCAACTCTCTCGGTGGAGAAACGCCTGCCCCCGCTAAGCAGTCAGTGCCTGCCTGGTCTCACTGGCTCCCAGGCAGCTTCTCCCCACCTCCCCTCTGTGTCCAGTGTGCTCCCGGCAGCCTGCCTTATGACAGGTCTACAGGGACATCTGTTGGTGAGCAGGCCCTGCCAGATACCTGTTGACCCCCGCTGGGCAGGAAAAATAACACAGAGAGGCTCTGAGGACCTGTGAATGGTGTGGTGGGAGTGGGGGACATAGCAGACACCCCTTACTCTGTAGAATACCAGCTTTCCACTAAAGTGGGTGATGGCAGGGAATTCTGGCAGAGAATACTGGTTTCTGAGAGCTCCTAGTATAAAATTGGATCTGTGTCCCTATGGAAAATTCCACATTACAGCAAGTGTGGCCCAGGGAGGGAGAAAGCCTCAGCTGGGCATCACGGGAATTGGTTTTGCCAGTCGGCAGCCCTGTGGCTCTGGCTAAGTCCCTTCCCCTCTGTGCCTCGGTCTCCCCATTAGGAAAGTTCAGGAGGTTCATGAGATGAGATCTGTGGCTCCATAGCTTGAATATACACCATGGAAGGTTGCTTTTTGGTTGTTTTTGAGACAGAGTCTTGCTCTGCCACCCAGGCTGAAGTGCAGTGGTACAATCATAGTGCACTGTAACTTTGAACTCCTGGCCTCAAGCAATCCTCCTGCCTCAGCCTCCCAAAGTACTGGGATTACAGGAATGAGTCACTGCACATGACCCTGGGAAGCTTTTTAAAAAGCAGATTCCCAGACTGCACTCCCTGAAATTCTGATTCAGCCGGTTACAGGGGGCCCAGAAACCTGCCTGAGGCTCCTCCCAGAGGACCCCACTCCCTGGCTGCCTCTCAACCTGCAGTTTCAGGCATCCCAGGGTGTCCCACTGTCTCCCAGGCCCCAGGGAGAATCAGAAAGAGTGGGGGCACCGCAGGGAGCAGGCAGGAGGGAGGGGTCACAGAGGCCCTGGCCTGGTGACTGCTGTCTTCAAACCGCCCAGAGCAAACCCACAGAGCTGGCCCGCGCCCCGCCCACCTTCGGTCCAGTGTTATGGGGGAAGCTGTCAGACGCCAGCATCAGTGTGAGGTGCACTTATGGAAACTGCCCTCCCTGACTTTCCCGCTGAAAAGTCCTTAGCTCTGAGGTTTTCAGGAATCTGAAAGGAAAGGCTTCTTTCCATGAAAATGTGCTGAAAGACCACTTCACACCTGCACCTACGCGCCGTCCTGTGGGAGCCAGCCTGAGTCGGCCTGGCTTGAATGGCAACAACCTCCATGCCTCACTCATCCCAGGGGCCCTCCTGCCCTCTGCCTAGGAGGTGTTCCAAGTGCTTGGCATGCATTACTTGACCTTATCTTTGCAATGCCACGAGGCGGCCAACATTATTGCCTCATTTCGTGGATAAGGTTACTAAGGCACAGAGAGGGTCGGTAATTTGCCCAAGGTCACTTAGCTAGGAATTGATGGAGATGGGTTTCACACTCCTTCAGGGAAACTCCTGAAGCTAAGCTTTGAGACCCGCTTCATCTTCTAGCTTAGAGATATAGTCACTACTATTTTCAGCAGAGCCCTTTCCAAACAGAATCTTATATTTGACCCCAGCATAAGAAACACATCAAAGCAAAGCCACTCTGGTTGAAGCGGAGGGACTATCCAGCCATCCAGCCTCCCCTTACCCTGCTCATGGAGACCTCCTCAGAGCACCAGGGTTCTGCAGAACTGAATCTAAGAGTCAATAAAGAAGCCATGGCTCAGAGAGGGAGTGTGCCTTGCCCAAGGCCACACAGCCTGCAGGTGGCAGAGCTGTTGTGACACATGCAGCATCCAGAGAAACACGGGATGTGCAGGGCAGCCTGAGAAAGGGGCCCTGCACACCTGGCCAGCCCACCCTGAGCACCTAGATGGGGAGAGGAGAGCAGTGATGGTCTGGGTTGACCCCAGGCAGGGGGCTTAACTGGGGTTGCTAGGGAATGGCTGAATCTACAAGTATATTCACTTGTTCACTCAACAAACATCGCCAGAGTACCTACTATGTGCCAGGGATGATGTGGCACCAAGGATACAATGGTGAATGATGAGGACAGTCTCGTCCCTCCCCGCCATGCTCATATCCCAGGCAGAGAGACTGATAATTAAACAATGACAACAGGCCAGGTGTGGTAGCTTATGCCTGTAATCCCAGCACTTTGGGAGCCCGAGGTGGGTGGATCACCTGAGGTTAGGAGTTCGAGACCAGCCTGGCCAACATGGTGAAACCCCATCTCTACTAAAAACACAAAAATTAGCTGGGCGTGGTGGTGGACACCTGTAGTCCCAGCTACCTGGGAGACTGAGGCAGAAGAATCGCTTGAACCTGGGAGGCGGAGGTTGCCATGAGCTGAGATCATGCCACTGCACTCCCGCCTGGGCGTCAGAGCGAGACCTTGTCTCCAAAAAAAGAAAAGACAATGACAGCAACACACAGGGACGGCTGCTTCGGTGGGAACTGCTGCCTACTGACGGCACAAAGAGTCGGGGCTTGTAGGCTAGTGGAGGGGTCAGGAGGGGCTGCTCTGAGAAATAAAGCCATCCGAGCATTGACGGATGACATGGCATCAGCCTGGCCAAGAGAAGGGGAAAGCGTGCCCCACAGAGGGAACAGCAAGTGCAAAGGATGAGCACAATGCATTTGAGGACCTGGAAGAGGTTTGATTTGGCCAGAGCAGAGCCCATGGCAGGAGATGGTGAGAAAGGGGACTGGAAAGGTAACAGGGGCCAGGCTGCATGAGTCATGGAAAGAGGCGTGGGCTTTATCCTACAGAAGTTGAAAGATTAGATATGTGTTGCTCTCATTGTTTTAACTCCCCTGGCTTCTATATGGAGGACCGTATGGAGGAGGGGTGGGAGATGCTGGGACATCGTTCGTAGGGAATCGTGGTGTCCAGAGAAGACATGATGGTGATTTGATGTGATGATCACGGGAAGGAGAAGAAGGGACGGTCTGCCAACATCCATCCCTTTCTCCACCTCCTCTGCATCGGGGGAGGGAGGTGAGGAGGGTAGGTGACAAGTCTGGCCAATGACACGGTCAGCAGTGATGTACATCACTTCCAGAATATCCCCACACTCTCCTTCACCCCCATCTCCCTGGGATGGTAATGCTCCCAGGGTAAGCCTGGGAGCCTCGGGCCAAGTCCCTAGAGCCTGGGTCCAAGAGCCCCTGGTTCCCTTTGCCCCACTGGGCTGCAGCAGGAGGGACCTACCACGCCTCTCTGCCCTGAGACAAAGACCAGTCCCCTCTCCAGTAAAAATCCTTATCTCTGGAGAAGGAAGCAGGATGAATGGGGAGGAATCTACAACCACTCCCACATTAATAATGTTCATGCATGCGTACATGCCTGATCGTTCTTTGAGCTCTTCATCTGTTTTTTTTTTTCTTTTTTCTCTATTTCCCCCTTTTCCTTAAACCACGGCCCATTCAAACAGGCAGTACTTGCCTTAGGCGAGGCAGGTGTTAGGTAAAAACACCTGTGGGTGCCGGGCACGGTGGCTCATGCCTGTCATCCCAGCACTTTGGGAGACCGAGGCGAGCGGATCACGAGGTCAGGAGATAGAGACCATCCTGGCCAACATGGTGAAACCTCGTCTCTACTAAAATACAAAAAGTTAGCCCGACATGGTGGTGTGCACCTGTAGTCCCAGCTATTCGGGAGGCTGAGGCAGGGGAATCGCTTGAACCCGGGAGGCAGAGGTCACAGTAAGCCGAGATCATGCCACTGCACTCCAGCCTGGCAACAGAGTGAGACACAGTAAAAAACAAACAAAAAAAAAAAACAAAAAAACTAAACAAACAAACAAAAAACACCGATGGGTCTTCTTAACTTTTGTCCTCCAAAATCCTTTGTCTTGGAGAAAAAAGGAGAGCCAGCCTTGGGCATCCTGAGAGCAGAGATTCCTGCCTCTACTCACAGCAGCCTGCCAAGAGAAAGCCTAGGCCCCAGGGAGGAACCGTGCTGGGGCCTCTCAAAAGGGGGCCCACTAGTGGCTCACCCAGGGTCTCCTGCCCTGAGCGCGCCATGGAAGGATCTTGTGGGCTTTAAGGACTGGAGTGTGGACGTGTCAGAAGTTCCTGTGTGCACCCATGATGGGGGCCCTCCTGGCCCCTACTTGCTGCTCTGGTCCCTCAGAGGTCTCTGCCGCTGTGACAGGACCCTGAGCAGGGTAGGAAGTTCACCAGGAAAATTGGAAGCTACTTTTTCTCTGCCAGTTCAGCCAAGGTCTTGATGTCAGAAACACTGCTGAGTGGTTAAAAACAAGTGGTGGGAGGCGGTGGCTTACACCTGCAATCCCAGCACTTTGGGAGGCCGAAGCGGGCAGATCACTTGAGGTCAGGAGTTTGAGACCAGCCTGGCCAACATAGTGAAAGCTCGTCTCTACTAAAAATACAAAAATTAGCTGGGTGTGGTGGTGCACACTTGTAATTCCAGCTACTTGAGAGGCTGAGGCAGGAGGATCACTTGAACCCAGGAGGCGGAGGTTACAGTGAGCTGAGATTGTGCCACTGCACTCCAGCCTAGGCAACAGAGTAAGACTCCATCTCAAAAAAAAAAAAAAAAGTGATTTTTCTTGCACACCTGAGTCAGTGCCCTGAGCTTCTTACACTTTACACAACAGTTATTAGGGATACCCTCCCCCAGTGACATCTGAGGGCAGCTGCGGAGGGCAGAGTCTTCCCCACAGCAGAGCCGGAGCACCCCTTCTGGGAAGGCTCAGCTTTGGGGAGGAAGGGCTTCCCTTTCCAAGCAGGCCAGGGACTCCCCACACACATCCCAGGCTGCGTCTGCCCTGGAGATGAAGTCACAAGCCAGCCTCAGGGTTACCTCCGGGCTCCAGTCCCCCCAGCCTAGTCCTGCGGTGCTTCTCCCCACAGCCCTTCTTTCCCCACTCACAGGCAAAGCAAGATCCCTGGAGATTCCAGTTCCCGCCTGGCCCTGGTTCTGTCACCGCTCCCCTGACAGCCCCTACATGCCCACAGCGTCAACCAGCACATCACTTCACGGCCAGCGGCCGCCCCGTGCCTGCCCGCGGCTCCCCTCTGCAGCCTCCAGGCCGGCCCCACCCAGTGCGGAGAGTCAGGCCTTCCTGGCCGGGTCTGAATCCCGCATCCCCCGGCTACAATACAGTCCCAGTAGGCAACAGGGTCCCCGTGGAGGGGAATCAACTGAAGAACGAAGTGTTTACTTCAGAGCTTCTACCACGGCGCTGTGTGCTTCCCTCAGAGAGCGACACACTCACACACACTCTCACACTCACGCTCACACACTCACACCCACATACACACACACGCTCACACCCGCACACGTTCACACGCTCACACCCACACACACGTTCAAACCCACACACTCACACGCGTTCACACCCACACACGTCCACACGCTCACACCCACACTCACACGCTCACACCCACGCGTTGACATGCTCACACACACACCCACACACACACGCTCACACCCACACACATGCTCACACATGTGCACTCACACTCAAACTGACACAGCCACACTGACACACACTAACACACATACATACACTCAACACATTGACACATTTACACACATACATACACTGACACACACTGACACATTCTTACACACATTCACACACTCATGCACACACACTGTCACATGCTTACAATCACAACATACTCAGGCTTTGTTCACACTCACACTTATATGTCCACACTGTCACACATGTTCACACATACACTCAAATCACACAAAACACACAGGCTTTGTTCACATACATTCATACACATTCACACTTACACATGCAAACACAATCCTCACAGCACACACCTGCATACACACCCACACACTTGTGCTTACACACACCCACACTCATCCACATTCTCACACTCACGTGCTCACATACACACTCCCATACACCCACACACTCGTGCACTCATGAGTTCGCACTCACATGCTCCCTAGCATCCTCATATTCACTCACACGTCTTCACACGCTCACATAGACACACAGGTGCTCACACACAATCTCACACTGACACACTTATTTACTCACATACGCACACATTCACATACACAAGAGTGTGCTCCCACGCCCATCCTGGCCGCTCCCAGGCAGCTACTGACACACGCCAGGTCGGTGGCGATTCACACTCCGTGCTGAGAGGTATTCAGAGGGTGGGGCGCCATCTGGTCCTCACTTTTCGTGGGGGCGGGGGTAGTGTTCAGAACACTTGGCTCTGGCTGATGCCGGAAGGGAAAGGCCGGTGGCCCAGGGAAGGGGGACCGGGAGCGAGGGAAGAGCATCGCTCTCTCTTTCCTGGACATGGGTCCCTTCCTGAGCAAGCCTGAACTGGCCTCAATTTTCCTGGGTTCTCTTAATAATTTTTTGGTAAACTGCCTTTTGTGGGGGAATCCCAGCGCGCCACGCACTTTGCCAAGCGTTTGGCCGTGCACCCGTCGGCAATTCCAGTGGCTGTTGTTCCATCCGCACTTCACTCTAGAGGCCACGGAGACTCAAGCCCAAGTGGTTTTGGTCACGACTGCACAGCTGGGAGAAGAGCCCTGGTATGAAGCCACTCGGCGGCTCAGTTCATGGTTCTGCAAAGCTTCCCCGACGCCCAGCTCTCCTGCCCTCAAGCATGCCCACTCCCTGGGGACCCTTCAGCACATCCCTGGAATCACTCTCTCCCTCCCCCATGCAGACTGTGTCCCCAGCCCATTCCCGCAGAGACAAAGGTCAGATCCACCACTTCTGTCCCTCGTCCCCTACTCATGGTCCACAACACCCTCCACCACCATCACGGGCCCAGCGGGCGACTGCAGGGCAGGAAAGGGAGAGCCTCCGCTCCTGCATCAGCCTCCAGGAGCTCCGCCAAGAAAAATGAGGGCAAGGACACACTCCGCTGGCGAGGCCTGCTATTTCATTTTAAAGGAGACAGTGCTTCCTGGATCTTGCTCGTGCTGCTGCAAGTCATATAAAATGATAGGATCTTTCTGAAGGGCAGTGTGATCACATATATCAAAGACCTTTAAAACGTGCATGCAGCGGCACATCCTTTAGCCTATTAACTTCACTTCTAGGAAACGTATCCTAAGGAAATATTTGGACAGGTGAGCAAAGACGTAGGTACAAGGATGTTCACTGCAGCACTGTTTAAAATAGCAAGGAGCTGTAGCCAAAAATAGAAACAATCTAAATAAATCATTGCATACCCATATAATGAAGCACCCTACAGCTACAAAGAATAATTGTAAAATATAGTCATTGACATAGAAAGATATTCACAATCTATTTTTGACTTTAGACAGGCTATAATAACCTATTTACATTTTGATGCCATTTTAACTAAAAATCTGTATCAATAAAGAAAATTCTAGGCCGGGCATGGTGGCTCACACCTGTAATCCCAAAACTTTGGGAGTCCGAGGTGGGAGGCTTGCTTGAGCCCAGGAGTTCGAGACCAGCCTGGACAACATAGTGAGACTCCATCTCTACAAAAAACAACAACAAAATCAAAAAATGAGGTGTGAGAATTGCTTCAGCCCAGGAGGTTGAAGCTGCAATGAACTATGATCATGTCACTGCACTCCCGCCTGGGTGACAGAGTGAGACCCTGCCTCAAAAAGAAAAAAAACAAAGAAAAACTTAGAAGTGAATGCATCAGACCAGGCGAAGTGGCTCATGCCTGTAAGTGGCACTTTGGGAGGCCAACACGGGTGGATCACCTGAGGTCAGGAGTTCGAGACCAGCCTGGCCAACGTGGTAAAACCCCGTCTCTACTAATAATACAAAAATTAGCCTGGTGGGATGTTGCGCACCTGTAATCCCAGCTACCTGGGAGGCTGAGACAGGAGAATCACTCGAACTTAGGAGTGGGAGGTTGCAGTGAGCTGAGATACCGCCACTGTACTCCAGCCTGGGTGTCACAGCAAGAATCTGTCTCAAAAAAAAAAAAAAAAAAAAAGAATTGAATGCATCAAAATATTAACTAACACAGTTTATCTATGGAGAGTAATGCCACGAGTGATTTTTTGAAATCTCCTTTGCATTTACTGATTTTTTCTTTTTTTTTTTTTTTGAGACGGAGTCTCGCTCTGTTGCCCAGGTTAGAGTGCAGTGGCGCAATCTCTGCTCACTGCAAGCTCCGCCTCCCAGGTTCACGCCATTCTCCTGCCTCAACCTCCTGAGTAGCTGGGACTACAGGAGCCCGCCACCACACCCAGCTAATTTTTTGTATTTTTAGTAGAGACAGGGTTTCACCGTGTTTGCCAGGATGATCTCGATCTCCTGACCTCTTGATCCGCCCACCTCGGCCTCCCAAAGTGCTGGGATTACAGGCGTGAGCCATCGTGCCCAGCCTCTTACTGATTTTTTCTAAAATTAACATTTAATTAATATGAATTTTTACTTATACATGCATATTATTATATAGTTGTTCGACTACACATAAATATTCCTGGAAAACTACACAAGAACACATTAGCTTCCTCTGGCAACAACAGAAGGTACGTGGCAGAGGGTCAGCATGTGGAAGAACATTTTTCACTATGTACTTTTATGGATCCTTTGAATTTTGAATCATATGAATTATATATATATATATTTTTTTTTTTTGAGACAAGCTCTCATCTCACTATGGTGTCCAGGTTAGTCTGGAACTCCTGAGCTCAAGGGATTCTCCCTCCTTGGCCTCCCACAGTGCTGGGATTATAGGAGAGAGCCACCCCACTCGGCCAAATTTATCGTCTTTCACAAATACAAATAGAAACTAAATTTAAGTTTTAAAACAAAATAAAAGATTTTTTTTTTTTTGAGATGGAATCTCGCTCTGTCGCCCAGGCTGGAGTGCAGTGGCGCCATCTCAGCTCACTGCAACCTCCACCTCCCGGGTTCAAGCGACTCCCCTCCCTCAGCCTCCCAGGTAGCTGGGATTACAGGCCTGCGCCACCACACCCGGCTAATTTTTATATTTTTAGTAGAGACGGGGTTTTGCCATGGCTGGGTTGGTCTCGAACTCCTGACCTCAAGTGATCTACCCGCCTCGGCCTCCCCAAGTGATGGAATTACAGGGATGAGCCACCGCACCTGGCCAAAAATAAAAGATTTAAGGGGTATCTTTGACATTTCACAAAGCCCATTTTTGTGCAGCAGTGACCGTGGAAGGAGACTGTTTATATCAGAGTCACAAACTCAAATGCCTAGAGGGCCAGAGGGATGAATGCAGGACAGAGCTGGTGTAACCACAGGGAGTGGTGGGGACTGCGGCAACCTGGAAAGCAGAGGCCCTGTCTGTGGCGGCAGCGTGATTCTGCTCCAGCTGATTAGACCATGCAGGAAGACTGCCCCAGGGCCAGCCCTTCCAGCTCATCAGCAAAAGCCTCACATCTAGGATTCCATATGCTTTTCCTCATTTTACAGCGTGTGCTTAGGCCAGGTGCGGTGGCTAATGCGTGCAGTCCCAACACTTTGGGAAGCAGATCACTTGAGCTCAGGAGTTCAAGACCTGCCTGGGCAACTTGGCGAAACCCCATCTCTACAAAAATACAAAAATTAGCCAGGCATGGTGGCGCATGCCTGTAATCCCAGCTACTTGGGTGGCTGAGGTGGGAGGATCACTTGGGCCCAGAAGGTTGAGGCTGTAGTGAGCCGAGATTGCACCACTACACTCAAGGGTAGGCGACAGAATAAAACACTGTCTCAAAAAAAAAAAAAAAAAGTGCTGGCCCCAAAAATGAGTTTCTATAGGCCAGGCACAGGCCAGTTTGCAATCTCTACGTTCATATGGAATATTTTTGTTTACACTCCCAAAGTACCTTAGGGAGAAGTAACTTGCTTAGAGTCAAACAGTGACTCTAGAACTTTGAGATGGAGTCTCGCCCTGTCGCCCAGGCTGGAGTGCAGTGGCACCATCTCAGCTCACCACAACCTCCGCCTGCCGGGTTCAAGCGATTCTCTTGCCTCAGCCTCCCTAGGAGCTGGGATTACATGCATGGGATTACAAAATGCCTGGCTATTTTTTGTATTTTTAGTAGAGACAGGGTTTCACCATGTTGGCCAGGCTGGTCTCGAACTCCTGACCTCAGATGATCCGCCCACCTCGGTTTCCTAAAGTGCTGGGATTACAGGCGCGAGCTGCTGTGCCCGGCCAGAACTTTAGTTCTAACAGTAGTTATTAATAGTTAACAGCAGGCCAGGAGCGGTGTCTCACGCCTGTAATCCCACCACTTTGGGAAGCCAAGGCCGGAGGATGACCTGAGGTCAGGAGTTCGAGACCAGCCTGACCAACATGGAGAAACCCCGTCTCTACTAAAAATACAAAATTAGCCGGGCATGGAGACGCATGCCTGTAATCCCAGCTACTCGAGAGGCTGAGGCAGGAGAATTGATTCAACCCAGGAGGCAGAGGTTGCGGTGAGCTAAGATCACACCACTACACTCCAGCCTGGGCAACCAGAGCAAAACTCCGTCTCCAAAAAAAAAAAAAAAAAGTTAACAGCGACTTGGAGGGAGCCAGAGGTTTACAGGGCTGTCGGACCCTCTTGGGGCGCCAACATTTTATCAGAGCAGGAAGCCCAAGCCTGTTCACTGAGGACATTTGAAGAGTGGAAACAGAAGCCCAGTGTAGGAGGGTGACCTCTCCTGGCTCCCCTGGAAGAGCCAGCCTCCATGTTAGGTAAGGCTAGTCAGCAGCCAAAGTCAAGGTATAGAAGCAGGGGGCCAGACCTAAGACCTTGAGCATTGGCCTCTGGCCTCCCTACTTCCCTGCCTGTGCCCACCGTGTCCCCTTCCACTCTGCCGCTTTACACCCTGGCCAGCCTGCAGCTCAATCACATCTATCTCCCACCCGCAGGCTCCTTGACCACACAGAGAAGAGGCAGGATTCAAACCAAGGCTGGCTCATTCCTCTAAGTCCCTGCTCTTTCCACCCAGCATCCTCCCTTCTCTGGGTTACTGCATCCTCTGAACCGTTTCTTCACCCCTGAAATGAGGCTAAGTACTCCGGAGGCTGAAGCAGAAGGATCGCTTGAGCCCAAGAGTTTGAGGCTGCAGTGAGCTACGATGGCACCACTGCACTCCAGCCTGGGCAACAGAGCAAGACCCCATCTCTAAAAGCTAAATTAGGCCAGGTGCAGCGGCTCACACCTGTAATCCCAGCACTTTGGGAGGCCGAGGCGGGCGGATCACCTGAGGTCAGGAGTTCGAGACCAGCCTGCCCAACATGGTGAAACCTCTTCTCTACTAAAAATACAAAATTAGCCGGGTGTGGTGGCAGGCGCCTGTAATCCCAGCTACTCGGGAGGCTGAGGCAGGAGAATCACTGGAACCCAGGAGGCAGAGGTTGCAGTGAGCTGAGATCGCACCCCTGCACTCCAGCCTTGGACAACAGAGCCAGACTCCGTCTCAAAAAAAAAAAAATCTCTTTTTAAAATAAAAGTTAAATTAATTAATTAATAGGAAGAAATGAGGCTAAGGATACCTCTTTCATAGGGTGGCTGTGAGTTACATGGAATGAGAGGTGAAGAAATTGAAGATGAGAGACTATTTTGCATCCACTCAATTAGAAAAGGTTTTGAAATGGTAATACTCAGTGCTTGTGAGTATCTGATGAAATGGGACCCTTTCATCTCCTTCAATGAGATTCCCGCCTAGAGTGCTCAGGAGGGTCCCTACACATTGGAAAAGGTCAGTAAATCTCAATAAATTCCTGGTGACTGAGTGACCATACTCTTAAATCTGTTAATTCTCTAGTTCCTCTTTTCGACAAATAGGGGAGGTTGGGGCTGTTAGGTGACTTGCTAAAGTCACACAGCTGGTAACACAGGAGTCAGAATTAGAGCCTCAGAATTTCTTCCCTTCTCCTGAGGGCCCCTTGTCCTGGGCCCCTTCCTGTTCTTTCAGACCACCAGGATGGGACACAGCTGGCGCCCGCATACCCTTTCCACTCCCCCGGAGCCCCACCTGCCCACAAGGACTGCCTGATTCGCCTCACCTGGGCACCTCTGGGTCCCAGCCCAGATCCCCAGGCCTCCCGGGGACAGGAGGGGAAGGTCCACATGAGATGGTCTCACAGGGTAGCCACAGGGAGAGAAACGATGGGGAGGCGGCCCAGGGTGGGGTTCAGGCAGACCCTGGGGCGGGAGCTGTCAGGACATCCCCATGTGTGGACAAAAGAACCTACCTGCGGTGCTGGCAAAAGTGCTCAGGCCACAACCGCCCTATGGCCACACACACACACACCCCGCAGGGATCACACAGGGAGGAGTCTCAGACACTCCCTGAGGGGAACCAAGCTCTGATCCCAGTGAGGGCCCTAATGAATGGGGCTGATCCACTCACTCCCACCTTCACTGACCACCCAGCCGGGTTCAAGTAACCTCCGTCAAGGGCCCACCCCTCCCCTACTCTCCACCCAATGAGCCTCCAGAGGGGAGGCCATGGTCCAGACCTAAGCCAATCAGCACACTGCCTCCCTGGCCACAGTGATTGGTTCAGTGTGGGCACATGACCTCAGTGGCTCCAGTCAGAGCACATCTCAGGACTTCCCTTGGGAACCGTGAAACCATTTCCATCTCCATATTTCCATCTGGAGTCCCTGGAGCGCCTGGCACCCGTCTTGGGTCCATAAGGAGAGTCCTCCAGACTGGACCACCGCCAAGAAAACAATAAAAAGCTCGGCAGACTCGGCAGACTCGGCAGCTGAGTCCTGATCATGTGCTTCAGTCTGGATTAGGTCTTGCCTGAAGCTATCGAGAAGCTGCATAGTTCCAAGAGCCCCCCAAAACCCTGTGTTTTGCTTAAGCAAGTTTGGGTTGGGTTTTCTCTTACAGACAGTCCCCGACTGACTTATGCTTGACACGAATTTTCCGACCTACGATGGGTAATCCCATCGTAAGTCAGGAAGCTCCTTACCATTTATTTATGTTTTCTACTGAAAGCCTATCGCTTTGGCACCATGGTAAAGCTGAAAGCCGGTAAATCAAACAATCCTAAGTCAGGCACCGTCTGCTGTGTTGCAGACATTAAATGTATTTTCGGCTTTCAGCATTTTCTATTCAGGTTGGGTTTATCGGGATGTAGGTCCACCCTAAGTCAAGCAGCAGCTGTATTTACAACCAAGAATATCCTAAATGATACCCAGCAGAGCTGTCCGGATATACACCCAGGATGAGAGTTGCGCCCTCCTGCTCATAGCAAAAGTCAAGGAACAAAGAATATCTTCTTGCCCAGAAGAGTCTGCCTGTCCCTCCCCACTGAGGTTCCAAACTCCACGGGCTAGCAGCCTGTCTGCCCAGAATCTCTGCTCTAGACACCCACAACACGAACGAGGACACGCAGATGCCACACACAGCACTGGGTGGACTTTTATTTTAAAGTCAAAGGCACAGCCTGGCTGGGCTGAGGCAGTGACCATGGATGCCCAGCCCAGACCCCCAAGGCCCCACCCCCAGCCAGGAGTAGCTGTGCCAAAGAGGAAGGGGTGGGTGAGAAGATGGCCTCCTCTTTTAGGAGCCACCTATCTCCTTCCTTAGCCCCAACAGGGGAGAAGCAGATGACATAAAGTGAGGCAGAAATGCTTCAGAGGGTCCCCCAGGGCCTCTCCTTCAGTACCCCCAACACGGGTCTTTGGTGGACGTAATTGCACAGACAGTCCATAAAGTGACAGTTGAGGGGTGCCCCTCCCAGGAACGGGGCCTCAGGGGAGAACAGGGTAGGGGGTCCCAGTTTAGGAGTTAGCACTCCTAACTCAGTGCTTAGAAGTGGGGGAGGGGCTCTTTCCTGTTGGAGCAGTCCCCCTGGAGGGGCCTTCTGCCCAGAAGAGGCAGTGTCCTGGGAGAGGGCCCCCCAAACCCCACTCCCCAGCAGGCCCCCCCTTCCCTGCAACTCTATCTGGTAAGACATAAAAAATTCTCTGCTTATAAAAATACTTCTGCTCTGTCTGGGAGTGGGGTGGGGTAGGAGAGGAAAGGACAGTCCCTTGGGGATCAGGTCAGCCGCAGGCAGAGGCCTCCGGGAGTGAGCCGGGCTCCCAGGTCACAGCCCCTATGAGGGAAGGGGGTCACAGTGGTGGGGATTAGGAGGGGGGCAGGGGGCCGTTGGCTCGGCGGGGGGCCCCTTTGGAGGCGACGGGGGCTCGGCCCGGGTTGGCTGGTGCAGGGGAGCCCCGGCGGGAGGCGGTGGCGCTCCGCAGCTTCTGCTTCCGCCGCTTGGCCAGGGGTGCATTCTCCACGCTCTTCAGGAAGAAGCCCTCCCGCTTGCCCCGGTTGAATGCCTGGCAGAAAGGAAAGGGTGAGTGCCCCCACCCCCGCCTGACCCCGGCTTCCAGATCTAGTTTGACCTCCATTCCCAGACCTTGCCTCCAGCCGCCTAGGTCAAGGCCGACAGGGCCTTGGCCTCCAGACCGACCACCGGATTCGGTTCACCTCCCTTTTTTTTTTTTTTTTTTTTTTTTTGACGGAGTCTCCCTCTGTCGCCCAGGCTGGAGTGCAGTGGTGCAATCTCAGCTCACTGCAACCTCCGCCTCCTGGGTTCAAGAGATTCTCCTGCCTCAGCCTCCTGAGTAGCTGGGATTACAGGCGCGCGCCACCACACCCGGCTAATTTTTCTCTTTTTAGAAGAGACGGGGTTTCACCATGTTGTTCAGGCTGGTCTCGAACCCCTGACCTCGTGATCCGCCCGCCTCGGCCTCCCAAAGCGCTGGGATTACAGGCGTGAGCCACCGCGCCCGGCCTCACCTCGCCTTTCTGTGCTCCGATGGCCGGGCCTCCCCAGACCCCACCTCTCGAGGCTTCGCCCACCCCTTCCCTTCAACAGACCCTGCCCCTTACCATGAAGGTGGCGTTGAGACCCGAGCGCACTGCGGGCCCAGAGGACTCGAGCACGTCGGGCGTCCGGAGCGGGGGCGAGGAGCGCGCGCTGCCGTCCTGCAGCCACGAGCTGCCCCGCAGTCCCTCGAGCTTCAGCCGCTTGGCGGGGTCCACGGTCAGGAGCCCTGGAGGCGGGGCAAGGAAGTGTGGGGAGGAGCCTGGCGTAAAGGCTGAGCCCCAAAGAGATCGTAACAGCCCCACTCTCCTCCCCTACCCATCCCCAACCAGGACACCTGGCCCAGTGACCATCCCTGTCCCAGCGTCCCCCTCCCCAACCATGGTCTATGACCTCCAGCTCCGCACCTCGGACCAGCTCCTTGGCTTCCTCGGATACACCCTGCCAGGCCTCCCCGTCAAGGGAGAAGCGCCCCTCGCGGATTTTGCACATGATCTCGGCCGCCTGGCTCTGCCCGCCCTGGCCAGAGGCCCCCTGGAAGGGGACCTGCCCCGACAGCATCATGTACTAGGAGGGTGAGGGGAAGGTGAGGCCGGCCCAGGCTGGGGTGCCGAGGCTGACCCCTCCGCTCCCACAGAACCACTCACCCTCCCCACTAGGGGCACTCCTGAGACCCACGCGTGGTGAACCCTGACTTCTAACCCCCAATACCCGGATGCTCCGACTCTAGCACCAGAGCGACCCCACCTCTGTATTTGAACCACCCCGATCCCAGCTTCGGACGAAACCCAGCCGCCCCCACCAAGATGACCCCTGTCCCCTCCCTCGTGCTGCTGCACATCAGGAAGACGCCAGGTCCGAGCGACCCTGACCCCGCCTCAAGGACCGCGTCCCATACCAGAATGACGCCCAGGCTCCAGAGGTCGCAGGACTCGTCGTAGCCCTGCTGCGCCAGCAGCTCGGGGGCAGCGTACTGCAGCGTGAAGCAGGGCGTCTGCATGGGCACCCCGGGACTCTGCGGCCGCAACCGCGCGAACCCGAAGTCGATGATTTTCACCGGGGCCCCGGGCGTGTCGTCGGCGTACAGGATGTTCTGCGAGGGCGGCGGGGTAGTGGTCAGAGGCAGCCCCCGGCGCCACCGCTCCGCCCCGCCGCCGAGGCAGCTCGCCCACCTCCGGCTTGAGGTCGCGGTGCACCACGCCCGCCTCCTCGTGCATGAAGCTCACGGCCGACACGAGGCTGCGCAGGATCTGGCTTGCTTCCGACTCGCTGAAGTGCCGCTTCTTGCGGATGTGCTCCAGCAGCTCCCCGCCCCGCAGCAGCTCCAGGACCAGGTACGTGTGCAGCTGCGGGCGGCGTGGCGGGCCAAGGTCAACACCCACCCACGGCGGCAAGCCCCCTCCCACCACCCAGGCCCCGCCCCCGGCCTTCGGGCCCTGCCAATGTTCGAGAACCCCCTCCTCAAAGTCCTTTTTCTTTCTTTCTTTCTTTGTTACTTTTTTGGAGACAGTCTCGCTTTGTCGCCCAGGCTGGAATGCAGTGGCACCACCTCGGCTCACTGCAACCTCTGCCTTCCGGGTTCAAGCGATTCTCGTGCCTCAGCCTCCCAAGTAGCTGGGATTACAGGCGCACGCCACCGCGTCCGGCTAATTTTTGTATTTTTCGTAGAGACGGGGTTTCGCCATGTTCCCAGGCTGGTCTCGAACTCCCGACTTCAAGTGATCCGCCCACCTCGACCTCCCAAAGTGCTGGGATCACAGGCGTGAGCCATCGCGCCCGGCCAAAGTCCCTTTTCTTGTCCATCCTCAGCTCCGCCTTCCCGTCCTCAGGCCCTACTCCCCTCAAATTCCACTCCCTGCGCCTCCCTGGTCCCTTTGGGCCCCGAATCAAACGCTAGGCCCCGCCCAATTCACCCCTAGATCCCGCCCATAGTGCCCCCAAGCCCCGCCGCCTGCCCCTTTTCTCTCCGCCCTCCCCTGGCCGGAAGCCATCACCTGGTCGTGATGCACCTCGTGCAGATTCACCACGTTGGGGTGTGACTGGCACAGGCGCAGGGCAGCCACTTCGCGCTGCGTGTTCGCCTCCAGCCTGGGGGACGGAGCAGAAGGAGTTACGGTCGCCGCGCTTCGGCCCCGCCCCCGGGACAGCGCTCTGCCACCCCCACCCCTGCCCGCGCCTGGGCCCTCCCACCTGCGACTGAGGATCTTGACTGCGAACTCCTGGCCGCTCTGGCGCTGGCGGCAGCGGCGACACACAGAAAAGCTGCCCTGGCCCAGCGCAGGCTCCCGCAGGTCCAGCTCGTACTGCTGGAAGAAGGGCGAGTCCTGGAGGCGAAGGCGAAGGCGAAGGCGAAGGCGGCGCGTCAGAGGTCCCACCTGGTAGCCCCGCGGCCCCGCCACGCCCCATGTCGGAGAGGCTTAGGACCTTGCTGAGCTCACGCTGCGGGCGCCAGTTGGATCTAGGCCTAGAGTCCCCGGGCCTAGGCCTCTCCTAAAACCAATTTCCCCCCAACCCAGCCCAGCCCAGCCCACCTGCATCATAGCGCTCCTGGCCACCGCTGCCCGACCTGGCCGGTCTCCAGCACCAGGCGCTTCCAGCCCATCGGTCATCACCGCGTTGTTGTGGTCAAAGAGAATGGAGGGTGCCACAAAGGAGTATCCCTGCAGGGCGGGAGTCCGGGGAATGGGCATGGGCATGGGGGTTGGGGGTGCGGGTGAGGAGACTCTGGTGGGGAACCAGGCAAAGGCAAGACCCTGGACAAGGGGGCAGTGGGGGGTGTTCCAGTTGCATTCTGGTACACACAGGATGTGTGGACACTTTTTATTCCACCTGGTTTTATAATCACTTGGGGCCATGTCTGTCCCCACCAGCCTGTGACCCCAACTTTCTCATCAGAGTGACCACTTATTCCTCCCCAGGTGCCAAGGGCTGAAGGCACTGAAAGGACCAATGAATATATTGAAAGTGTGGCCTGAGTTCACGCTTAGCTTATGAGAATCCAACTCTATCCGCTGAGGAAAAAAAACTTATTCCTCCCTTTCAAGCCGGACTTTGGCTTCTTCTGCAAGGGGAGCTACTGAAGAAATGCAAAAAGAAGGCAGAGTTAATTCTTTGCTTTTCCTAAAGATCCATGTCCTGGCAATTTGAGGAGCTTTTAAGGGTCATTTTAATTGCGTGTTGTGGCCAGGCACGGTGGCTTGCGCCTGTAATCCCAGTACTTTGGGAGGCTGAGGCAGGTAGATCACCTGAGGTCAGGAGTTTGAGACCAGCCTGACCAACATGGAGAAACCCCATCTCTACTAATAATACAAAAATTAGCCAGGCGTGGTGGCACATGCCTGTAATCCCAGCTACTCGGGAGGCTGAGGCACGAGAATCGCTTGAACCCGGGAGGCAGAGGTTGCGGTGAGCCGATATCATGCCATTGCACTCTAGCCTGGGCAACAAGAGCGAAACTGCGTCTCAAAAAAAAAAATTAATTATCTGGGAGTGGTGGCACTTGCCTGTAGTCCTAGCTATTGGGCAGGCTGAGGTGGGAGGATCACTCAAGCCCAGGAGTTCAAGATTGCAGTGAGCCATGGTTGCCCAACTGCACTCCAGCCTGGGCCACAGAACAAGATCCTGTCTCTAAAACATTAATTAATTAATTTTAAAAAATAATTTTAAAAATAAACTATGTGTCATCTTCTCCTAAAAATGTAGTACCCAGATCCGTACCTGGAATATTTTAGGCACTCACTACACATTTTTGAATCATTAAATGAATGAATGAAAGTACCTACCAATTCAAGAGAAAGAACTTTATCATGAGGGCTGTGAGACAATGGAATGGAATGTGGACATTCAAGCACAGAGTTGTCAATTCTAAGAGCTTCAGAGAAGGGACTTATCCAGCCATACTTGGTCTGTCTATTAAACAAACCATACTGGTTTATTTAGTGATAATGATATAATATCATTATGGCAACATGATAAACTGCACAGAAGGAGATGCTGTCCACAGAGGACTGCAGCACAAAGAAAGGGTGACCCCCTGGGCCAGGTGAGCAGACAAGGAGGCCTAAAAGAGGGGTAGAAGCTTGCCATGTAGACTGCTGTAGAGAATGTACTCCAGGTAGCAGGAGCAGCAAGTGCAAAGGCACAGAGGTATATTCTGGAACCTCTGAGCAGTTCGATCATGCCCTCCAGAGCATCAAGTAGGAAAATGATGAGAACTGAGGCTAAGGTTCTAAGCAAGGACCACATCATGAAGGGCCTCAATGCCCAAGCAAAGGGAGTTTGGACTTGTCCAAAAGGTGTAAGCTTCTAAAATTCAGTAGAGGGGGCTTGGCATGGTGGCTCATGCCTCTAATCCCAGCACTTTGGGAGGCCGAGGTGGGCGGACCACAAGGTCAAGAGATTGAGACCATCCAGGCCAACATGGTGAAACCCCATCTCTACTGAAAATACAAAAATTAGCTGGGTGTGGTGGCGCACGCCTGTAGTCCCAACTACTCAGGAGGCTAAGGCAGGAGAATTGCTTGAACCCGTGAGGCAGAGATTTCAGTGAGCCAAGATCTAGCCACTGCACTCCAGCCTGGAGACAGAGTGAGACTCCGTCTCAAAAAAAAAAAAAAAAAAAATTCGGTGGAGGGGACCTGACCCTCCAGGAGTGTACCATGCTATGCCAAGGGCATGCAAAGCCACAATATCAACATGCATCTCCTCCTAGGTGTCCACGTGAGAAAGTGAAGATCTCTTTTTTTTTTTTTTTGAGACGGAGTTTCACTCAGTCGCCCAACCTGGAATGCAATGGTGTGATCTCTGCTCACCGCAACCTCCGCCTCCCAGGTTCAAGGGATTCTCTCACCTCAGCCTCCCGAGTAGCTGGGATTACAGGCGCATACCACCACATCCAGCTAATTTTTGTATTTTTAGTAGAGACGGGGTTTCCCCATGTTGGCCAGGCTGGTCTCGAACTCCTGACCTCAAGTGATCCACCTGCCTCAGCCTCCCAAAGTGCTGGGATTACAGGTGTGAGCCACCACACCCAGCCGCAAGTGAATAATTTCAAACAATATTTTTACATAACAATAAAGAGATGATGGAATAGAAGGGAAATTAACAGAAGGTTTAAAGATAAACCATGAACTATCAAACACACATCCTGCCTGGGTGGTCTCTGTGACTGACAACCCTAGGTCCCACTGAAGTGGCGACGTCTAGGGGAGACGCTGAGTCCCAATCAGGACACAAGGCCTAGGCAGTGTCCTCGGGCCAGCCAGGGCTGAGGCAGACAGCAACATCTCATCTCTCCTGCATCTGGGTTCCATGAGTTTCCCCTCACCTGAAAGATTCGGGGGTCCCCAGGTGGGGGGCTGCCAGGGGGTGAGTAGACAGGCTCCAGCCGAGTGAATTCCTCCGCAAAGTTGCCCACATCCAGCTCTGAGCGGATTTGGGGCCGGAATGGGGCTGGAATCTTCCTGGCAGCCAGAGCCACCCAATCGAGGCCCTGAGGGAAGGGAATCAGAGGTCAGGTGTCAAAGGCCAGGAACGAGAAACTCCCTCCACTCAGCCCACCCTCACTGGGCAGTTCCTCCATGAGGCAAGGGCCCATCTGGCATTTGGGGTGGGCAGCTGTTCCTCCTGCCTCCCTGGCTTCTCTCTCCCTCTGGTAACACAATCCCTATTCCCCTTAGAGAACCACCATGACACCACACTTAGTCAGTTCTGGAACTTTTAATAGAATTGGTGTGAAAAGGTCGGGCGTGGTGGCTCATGCCTGTGATCCCAGGATTTTGGGAGGCCAAGGCAGCTGGATCACCTGAGGTCAGGAGTTCAAGACCAGCCTGGTTAACATGGTGAAACCCCATCTCTACTAAAAATACAAAAAAAAAAAAAAAAAATTAGCTGGGCGTGGTGGTGCACACCTGTAATCCCAGCTACTCAGAAGGCTGAGGCAGGAGAATCAGTTGAACCCAGGAAGCAGAGGTTGCAGTGAACCAAGATAGCGCCACTGCACTCCAGCCTGGGCGACAAGAGCGAAAACCCCATCTCAAAAAAAAAAAAAAAAAAAGAGTTGGCGTGAAAAACAAATCTCTTTCTCCTGCTGGACTTAAATCTAAGAGGATGTGGTCTGGAACTGCTGGGGACCCTCTCAGGGTTAGATGAAGTCCCCATGCAGAAAAAGCAGAACCAAGGGACATAGTTTCAGCACCTGGATGTGGTCTTGCCTTAAGTCAGACCACTTTCCCTCGACCTTTTCACTTATGAGAGCCAAAACATGCCCATTTATGTTTAAGCTAATGCGGCAGAATCTGTTGATTGCCTGCTCAATATCCATTCTCCCTGTCTTCCTTAGTACCATAGCCCCAGTTTTATTCCACGAACCAATATACACAATTAAAAGAATATTTTTACAAACTTGCTTGCAGTTAGGGGTGACCAAAACTTATCAGAAAAAAATTATTAGGTAGGATTCCAGGAACAGATCCTGAAGAGGGAGGTTGCTAGGTGGCATGTGCTCCTTTTGCCCCTTCTCCTTCCTCCTGCTCCCTACCTGGGAGACAGCTTAGATGGCAAGAGCTCCAGCAACCATGTTGGACCATGAAGCAACCCCAGGGATAGAAGCTACTTGCTAAGAATAAAAAAAAAATTAAAAAAAAAAAAAGAAGAGGAAGAGTTTGGATTCCTGAAGACAATGTGGCACTGTGAAGACACTGCGGCAGCCCTGGTCTGCTAATCTGGACTTCTTTTATGTGAAAAGAAAAATAAGTAAGCCACTTATTTATAAGTAAGTATAATAAAAGGTTTACTTATAAGTAAACCTCTTAGGTCACTCTGTTCATTCTGATCTCTGTGGCTAGCACCAAACTTGATTCCAACAGATATCACCATTTTGAGTTGGACTTTTTGTCGATGTAGCCAAGATGACTGACTCAAGCTGGAAGGCTCCAGTTCTACCACCAAGGACCTGAGCACTGCTCTCACCAAAGAAGCTGTCCAAGAAAAAGCAGAAGGAGGCCAGGCGTGGTGGCTCATGTGTCTGTAATCCCAGCACTTTGGGAGGCTAAGGCGGGCAGATCACGAGACCAGGAGTTTGAGACCAGCCTGGCCAACATGGTGAATCCCTGACTCTACTAAAAATACAAAAATAAGCTGGCCATGATGGTGCGCACCTGTAATCCCAGCTACTCGGGAGGCTGAGGCAGGAGAATCACTTGAACCAGGGAAGCAGAGGTTGCAGTGAGCCATGATCATGCCACTGCACTCTGGGAAATAGAGCAAGACTCTGTCTCCAAAAAAAAAGAAAAGAAAAAGAAAAGACAGAAGGAGGGAAACACCCTTCCACACATCAGGCCTTGAAGACCTTGGGGCCTCTCCTGTATGACTGGTCAACCCACTCCAGTATCCAGCGCAGCACCCAGCATAGGTGAAGGGTGGGCTTACGGAATTCACTGAAAGAAACCAACACTGCTCAGATGCTTTCCCCACCCCGTGCAAAGGGACATCTTCACCTCAAAGACATAGATTCCTATGTAAGAAATCATCTCAGGCAGGCCCTCCCAGGGCTTGGAAGATTCAAAGAGATGGCACTCGAAGTATGAGTAACACAGTACCTGGCCCACAATAAGTACCCAGAAATGGGTGCTTTTGTTTAGATGTCAGACGGATGGCAAATCTGATGCCTACACTTAAGCAGAAGACCATTAAGCACAGGCATTCAAGCCTCTCAGCCTTGGGTTGAATCTGAGCTCCATCACTTCCTGGACAAAGTACTTAATTGTTTGGAGCCTCAGCTTCCTCATCTGTAAAGATGGGGACAAAAATCAAGGTGGTTGTGGCAGGGCGTGGTGGCTCACACCTGTAATCCCAACACTTTGGGAGGATGAGGCAGGTGGATCACTTGAGGTCAGGAG
This sequence comes from Homo sapiens, assembly GCF_000001405.40. NCBI lineage: Eukaryota > Metazoa > Chordata > Mammalia > Primates > Hominidae > Homo > Homo sapiens. Next base: position 64,362,893 of record NC_000011.10, on the reverse strand, counting down.
TTCAAGACCAGCCCGGCCAACATGGTGAAACCCCGTTTCTACTAAAAATATAAAAATTAGCCAGTCGTGGTGGCCTGTGCCTGTAATCCCAGCTACTTGGGAGGCTGAGGCAGGAAAATCGCTTGAACCCCTGAGGTGGAGGTTGCACTGAGCCGAGATCGTGCCACTGCACTCCAGCCCAGAAGACAAAGTGAAACTCCGTCTAAAAAATAAGAATCAGGTAGTTGTGAGGGTGAAATGAGTTCATGTCCGCAAAGGGCCGACACACAGTAGGTATTGACTGTTACAAAGTCCTGCTGGGCGATGACGCTGGCCAGGCCCAGCCCCTGAGTCAGTGCATTCTCGCATGGCCAGATTCACTCTGCACTGCACTCTAACATGTGTGTGCTCCTAACAAGTGAGCAAACACCCATGTGTGCTGATCAACCGTCCATCTGAATGACAGGCACACAGACTGTACAGGGACGGGGACAAAGAACAAAATGCCTGGGTGGGTGCTAAAAGCCATAAGTGTGGGTTTCCGTACTGATTTGGACCAGCAGGAGATCTATCTAGACCCAAGGTCTATTCCCAACTCGGCACCATTTACTGTGCCGTCGGGGGCAGGTCACCTGCCTTCTCTGGGTCTGTCCAGTGAAAGGACCGACCAATCCATTCTCAAATCCCTGACAGCCCCAACAGCCAATGAACCTAGAATCCTTTCTTTCAGGAACACATCTGCCAAGTTTCAGTGGGGATGGATGTGAAGAGAAACCTAGCTGACACACACTTGCTTTCTTTCTCTGGGGGGATTTCCAAATAAAGTGAAACTGGCCAGGCACAACCTCAACCTGGAACAGCAGCCCCACCTGGGTATGCACCAGGAGGTATGGGGCCCTGAGTCAGCCTCACCTGGAAGAAGGGATGGTTCCGGACTTCTTGTGCCCCCTGGGGCCCCGCGCCCAATCGCTTCTTAGGATCCTTACAAAGCAGCCGCTGCAGCAGGTCCTGCGCCACGGGCCCGATCCGAGGGGGGAAGGGAGGGGAGCACTTCAGGATCCGTCTGGGAGGATTGGGGGGGTGTCAGGGGCAGCAAGCCCCCCACCCACAGCCCTGCCCAGGCAGGCCCTGCAGCCCTCTGGCCGCCCTCCACGTCCAGCCCTACTCACCGAGACACCTCAGCCTGCGTGTTCCTCTCGCCCTCCAGGGTGAAGGGCGAGGCCCCCGTCAGCAGCTCGAAGAGCAAGATGCCCAGGCTCCACCAGTCCACAGCCTGCCGGGTGGAGCCGGGGTGAGGGCCTGCATCTCCCCTGCCTCACACCCCACCTTTCCACCTCCCCCAGCCCCACTTCCCTGCCAACCTACCTTGCCATGCCCCGTCTTGCTACGGATGATTTCGGGGGCCATGTACTCGATGGTGCCACAGAAGGAGAAGGTCCGCTCTTTCTGGGAGGGCAAGAGGTCCTGCTTAGATGTCGAAACCTCTCCTGTGCCCCAGTGCCCCACAAGGCCCAGAGTAAGACTCGCTCAACTTGTGAGGTTGGAGAGCTGAGCTGTGGAAACTTCTTGGAGCTATTCACTTCTGCAGCCCCAGAATGCAGGCCCAGAGCAGGAAGAGGCAGGAAGGAGAAGGATTGAATGGGGCACTGCAGGCAGAGGTGGCCTCCACTCACCTCCTCCGTCAGGAACTCCTTGCTCAGCCCGAAGTCCGTGAGGACAATGTGGCCCTCGGAGTCCAGCAGCACATTCTCCAGTTTCAGGTCTCGGTAAATGATGCCGAGCTGGTAGGAGCAAGAGGGGTGCTGAGGCTTCCTCCCCGAAACCCTCCCCAGCTCCTCCAGCTCCTGGCCCTGCTCAGGATAAGGAGACCCCCCAGAGAAAGTCATCTGCCTGTAGAGGGGGTCTCCAGGGCAGAGCCACTGAATAAGAAAGGCCATTTAAGATATAAAACAAAGAAGGAGGGCCCCGTGGATCAGGCCCCAAGGTCCCAGAGAGAGGAAAGTCTGTGTGAAGAGCTCCATTTCAAGGAGGCCTTAGGAGCCAGGCCGTGAGGTTTCCATTTGAGGAAGTTCTGTGAACGCAGCCCCGAGTTCCCTGAAAGAGGAAAGCCCCTTCGAGGAGGTGCCAGGGGAGGGGACCCCACCAGGCAACGTTGAGGCTTCCTGCAAGGGGTCCAGGGGAAGCAGCTCCAATTCCCACCCAGCTCACCACTGGCCCCCCAGGAAGCCCAGGGGGAAGCCTGAGGCTGCCCTGCGTGCAGATTCCTTCCAAGGCACAGACCCAGTTTCCATAGCAACAGCCTGCGGCCAGGTCTTCACCCACCTTGTGCAGGTGTTCCAGGGCCAGCACGATCTCACCCCCATACACGCGCACCTCAGCCTCCTTGAAGTACTGGCGCTGGTAGAGGTGGGTGAACATCTCCCCGCCGCTCACATAGTCTGGGAGGTGCAGTGGAAGTCAGGAAGCAGCCCCGTCAGGTGGCCTCGCCTGCCCCCAGCCACCCCAACCCCGTTGGGATGTGGTGTGCGCTCACCCAGGATGAGGTGCAGCTTGGCATCCGTCTGGAAAGCGTAGTGCAGCGTGACCAGGAAGGGCGCCTGGCGCACCAGCTCCAGCACCGAGCGCTCGGTGCGCGTGTGCTCTTGCGTCTTGGCGCGCTGCACCAGCGCCGCCTTGCGCAGCACCTTCATGGCGTACAGCTTCCCCGCGTCGTGCCCGCCCGCCTTCCGCACCAGGAACACCTTGCCGTAGGCTGTGGGAGCAGCGAGTGGGTGGAGGGTGGGCTGTGAGCGGGAGATTGGTGCAGGCTTGGGGGGTGGGGGCGATGCCAACCCAGGAGGGTGTGCAAATGAGGCGAAGGAGCTGGGGCAACAGGCAGGTGTGCAAAAAGCTGGCAGAGCCTTCTAAGGAAAGGGTGTGCACACCCCGGGAGGGTGCCCAGCAAAACCAGGGAAAGGATGTGCAAACCAGGCTGGGGAGCATGCATCTCCAGGGGGCCTGCTGCGAGGCATGGGGGCGGGGCATATGCAAACCTGCGAGAGATCAGATGGATGTGAAAAGATGCCAGTGCAAGGAAGGGAGGCAGAGGTGTGCACCTGGCTGGGGAAGGGATGCGCAAACCAGCGCTGGGGCATTTGCAAAATGTGGGAGGGGGATCCCATATTGGAAGAAAGGGAGGAGCTATGCAAATCACTTGAGAGGGGCGCCAGTCCCCCTCCCCAGGGTGTTGGCAAATCCAGGGGGGTATGCACGCACAGGACCGTGGAGGGAGGAGTGATGTCAATGTGGAGTGCCCTGGAAGTGGGCATGCAAACTCTGGCGAGGCAGGGCGGGGCAGGCAAGGCAGGCTGTGCCGGGAAAGGGTGGGGGGCCTGCTCAGTGGCCTGGCCCAGGCCCAAGAGTGAGCAGGCAGGAGGTCAGGGGCACCGCGCCTGGGACGCCTGCCCGGTGGATGGGGGTCCTCACCTCCCGTGCCCAGCACCTTGAGCAGCTCGAAGTTCTCCACGCTCACCTTCTCCTCGTGCCCGGTCAGGTTGGCTGTGGGCACAGGGGGCGAATGAGCCCAGCCGGTCCATGACCCGTCCCGGCCTGCCCCGGGCAGCCGCAGTCAGGCCCCACACCCACCTTCTGTGATCCGCAGCTCCACGGCGCAGCTCTCATCGTCGTCCTCGTCCCCCATGGCGGGCGGGTCGCTGGGGCCCGCGCGGCTCGGGCTCCGGGCGGCGCCGGTTACATGGCGGCTCCGGCCGGGGCGGGCGCTTCCTGGTGCCGCCTCCGGGGCCGAGGCGGGCGCCGGCACCGCCTCCCGGCTCCCCGCCCTGCGCGGCCTGAGTCAGGCGGCTGGAACGTGACAGCGCCGGGCTGCCGGTGGGCGGCCGGCTGGGGCCGCCCTGTCTCCCGAGCCCCCAGGCCAGGCCTCAGGGCCGTGCGCTCCGGGACCTTACTCGACTCTCCCGGGAACTGGAAACACCCCGTGGGAGCCATCCCTGAGCCCGTGGGTAACCTGGAGCCTCTGGGGCATTAGTCCCCAAGCCAGGAATCTGCCCGGGAATGCCGGCTGCAGCCAGTGGCTGGAGGACATTAGGAGTCTGTGCCCCAAGGTGGGGGACGAGGTGCCTGGTGCTGGGCAGGCTGAGAGGGGGTCTGGATCCTGGAAGTCACCCAACTCTCAGGCAGTGGAGCCCACCCCACTCCATCGTCCTGGGGGTGGCCAGCAGGGCCCCTCTCCCCAGAGGACTGGCCTTTGCAAGGAGGAGCCTCATCACCAAGAGGGGGCTGGAGCCCGGCCTGGGACCCCATGGCAAGGAGAGGAGTGGCCAGTTTTCTGACCAGCTTTCTGTCGGGGGTGCCTGCAGAAGCACTTCAGCCCCCAGTCACCGTGCAGAGCCCACCAGGTGCCATGCGCACCTCACGTGTTCTGCTCCTGTTGTCTCCTAGCCTGGTGCAGTACCCAGCTTAGAGCCCTGAGCAGGCCTCAAGAAGAGATGTCAGTGCCACACGGGGCTGCCCCCTCTCCCCATGAGGCCCAGGGCCCCTGCTGACTGGTCCTCCTGAGCCCCTGCTCCGTCTTCTTCCTGCCTTTCCCTTCCTGACCACCAATGGGGCCACCTAGCAGAGTGGGACAGCCATGAGGCCCCACACCCTGAGGCCGGTGGGAGGGGCTCTCAGCTCCTCTGCCAGCTGGAGAGGCCAGGGTGTCCACCCCACGCCCCTGTCCTGTGAAGCCCTGGCTGAGAGGAGGAGGAACTCAAGCTGCTGCAGGTCACACCTGGGAGGCCGGACGGACCGTCCCTCCCAGCTCTGCACCCCCCAAGTTCAGGCTGCCTTATCTCAGCCCTGGGCAGCTCCACCCTCCCCTGGGTGGCCCCAGGTACCCTGACTCACATCCTGCACCCCAGCCGAATTGCCCCGCCTCTCAGGCATCAGGCTAGAGGCCCTGGTCAGAGAGCCAGCGTCCCTCCCACCTCTCCTGGCAACCCCTGGCATTAAGTGATGCCCCGCCAGGCTGAGAACTCCCTGGGGAGGGGGCTCAACCTCAAGGAGGGAGGGGAGATGAGTAGGAGGAGGATGTGAACAGAGAGAAGACAGTGCCCTGGGAGAGGGTGGGGGCGGGGCAACAGGGGCTTCACTGCCCCACACCCCTGAGCCCAGATCTTAGACCCCAATCCCTGCTGGCTACCCAGGATGTCATCCCCTCTCCACCTCACCAGGACATCCGGGCTTTGGCCGGCCGGACTGGCCAAGACCCTGGAGAAAGGCCTGTGCTGCCCTGTCCAGGCAGGGGCCCTCTGCCCACAGACCCCCACCAACCAGCAGGACTGGGGCGGCATGTGTCCTGGTGCCCTGAGGTACCCAGTGCGGCCAACAGACAGAGCAAGACTCAGGAGGCTGCAGTTCAGCTTTATTCTCATGCCCCTCATGTCCAGTTAAGGCTCAAGATCAGCCCAGGCCACAGTCCCCCAGCACTGGGACTCAGCTTCCCACCTGGACAGGGCAGGGGGTTCTCTTGCCAACTCCTGCCAGCCTCCTTCAGCTGGGGGATCCCCCAGAGACCGCTGCCTCAGCGGGAGCCACCTGGAAGAACCAGAACTCCAGCCTGGAGCTGCTCGTGGGGGCCAGCCATCCCCCCTGTCCACACACTCGTCCCAGCTCCATCTCCGGGCCCCGGCGCTGACCGTGGAGGATCTCAGGGCCCAGGCCTCCTTGTCCAAGGACTCCCCTTGGGGTCCCTGGCTCCCTGAGCTCTTGGGCTGCCTGGGGCCTCCGCTGACACTCCAGTGCCGAGAAGGCTGCACTCCCAAGCCTGCTGTTCCCACGGTGTCACTGGCTGAGGGATGGGGTGAGGGGACGTTTCTCCGGTTCCTGTACCTCAGGGCCTAGAGGGAAAGGCTCAGCTGAGATCTGCTTCCCTCAGGAGGACTCCCAGAGTCCCAGGAGGCCCACAGGCTCGAGCACCTTCTGCCCACCCCCGACCTGCCAATACCCCCCGCTTCCAGCTGCACCACGCCTGCTGTTCCCTCAGCGGTTCCCTCTGCCCAGAATGCTGTTCTCAGGTATGTCCACACGACAAACTCTCCCCTCCAAGTCTTTGCTCCAATTTCACATCCTCTCTGAGGCCCACCCCAGCACCCCAGTTACTAAAACTCCAACCAGCCTGCCCAGAGCTCCTGAGCTCCTGACCCCTCCCCTGCTCTCCTTTCTTCCCAGAGCATTAGCGCCTCCTGATGGTCCAGCCGGGTCTAGGGCTGAGCTGCCCAGGGCGGAGCTAAGTAGGTGAGATGGGGTTGGCCTGTGACGTGCTTCAAAGACCTACTATGTTTTTTTGTTTTTTGTTTTTTGTTTTTGAGACAGTCTCACTCTGTCACCAACGCTGGAGTGCAATGGCGTGATCTTGGCTCACTGCACCCTCTGCCTCCCAGGTTCAAGCGATTCTCCTGCCTCAGCCCCCTGAGTAGGTGGGATTACAGGCATGGGACACCATGCCTGGCTAATTTTTGTAGTTTTAGTAGAGACGGGATTTCACCATTTTGGCTAGGCTGGTCTCTAACTTCTGGCCTCAAGTGATCTGCCTGCCTTGGCCTCCGAAACTGCCAAAGACTTACTATGAAAAAAATCACGTCTGGCTGGGTGGCTCACACCTATAATCCCAGCACTTTGGGAGGCTGAAGCGGGCGGATCACCTGAGGTCAGGAGTTCGAGACCAGCCTGACCAACATGGTGAAACCCCGTCTCTACTAAAAAAAATAATAATAATTATACAAAATTAGCCTGGCGTGGTGGCCCATGCCTGTAATCCCAGCTACTTGGGAGGCTGAGCCAGGAGAATCGTTTGAACCTGGGAGGAGGAGGTTGCAGTGAGCCAAAGAGTGAAATTCCATCTCAAAAAAAAAAAAAAAACATCACGTCTAATAGCTCATTCATGATTTTTACACTGGCTACATGCTGAAATGGTAATAGCGTAGGCATATTGAGTTAAATGTTATTAAAATCCATTGTACCTGTCTCTTTTCACTTTTTCTGGTAAGCCTACTGGAAAAGTTAAAATTATCATGTGGTTCACACCATATTTCTAGTGGACAGGGCTGTTGTAGATAATAATTATTTTTAGGCAAATTGTTTACTATCTGCCTCCTCACACCAGAACGTTCCCTGCTGTGTCCCCTGCCAGCACGTCACCTGGCACTTGGTAAAGGATCATTGTCGAATGAAAGAATGGATGAATGAGGTTCTGCCAGGGGCCCCAGGCAGGACAAAGAATACTACTCCTTCCACAGTCCCCCACTCACCCTCTCGGTTGGCATCTGTTTCGTGTTCCTGCAGGGTCTCAGCGGAGTTCTCCCATCCCACACCAGGTCCTGGGAGGCACAAGGCAACCACTGGGCCCAGGGCCAGTGCGGAAGTGGACAGAGCTTGCAGGAGACACAGGGGACAAGAAGGAAGCCTCCTCCCCCAAGGAGCTGGTGGGTCCACAAAGAGTTGGGGGGCTGGCTGGTACAGTGACCCTTGTCCCTCACCTTTGCTGTGGGAGACGGGCGCCCCCAGGGGGCCTGGATGGCGCTGTCGGAATCGTTGCCTAGGGGTGTCCCCAGGGCTGAATGACTCAGAGCTTCGCCCCACCGGGAACCTTGAGCTGAGTTTCCGCCGCTGCCCGCCTGCCAAGGTCTCATCCCGCAGGCAGAGGGAGCTCTGGGCCCGGCGCATGGGTGCCGGGGAAGGGGACCCTGCAAGAGGTACATGCAGGGAGGGGGTGAGAGGAGGGGACGGGAGCTGAGGCTCCTGTAGGGAGGAGGTCAGAGAATGGGGGGAGGCTGAGGCTCACGCAGGGAGGGGGTCAGACAAGGGGAGGGGGTGCTGAGGCTCCTGCAGGAAGGAGGTCAGAGAAGGGAAGTGGGGGCTGAGGCTCATGCACGGAGAGGGCCAGAGGAGGGGAGAGGGAGCTGAGGCTCATGCAGGGAGGGGGTCAGACGAGGGGAGCGGGGGGGCTGAGGCTCCTGCAGGGAGGAGGTCAGAGAAGGGAAGTGGGGGCTGAGGCTCATGCAGGGAGGGGGTCAGAGGAGGGGAGGAGGCTGAGGCTCATGCAGGGAGAGGGTCAGAGGAGGGGGGGAGGCTGAGGCTTATGCAGGGAGGGGGTCAGAGGAAGGGAACGGGGACTGAGTCTCATGCAGGGAGGGGGTCAGAAGAGGGGGCTGAGGTTCATGCAGGGGAGGGGTCAGAGGGGGGGGGCGGAGGCTCATGCAGGGAGGGGGTCAGAGGAACAGGGCCCTGGATGGAGTAGAGGGGCCAGTGGGTGAAGCTGCCCAGGGCCAGGGAGGGGAGGTGCAGAGGTGGGGGAGAAGCCAGGCAAATGAGTGGGGCAGCAGGACACTGGCCCTGTGCTGGCCTTCATACTAACTCACTGCATGACCTTGGGCAAAAGCTTCCCCTCCCGGGGCCTCAGTCTCCTCATCTGCAGTCTAGGAACAATGACCTCTCCCTAGAGTCCACTGCACCTCCCAGATCCTGGGCTCCGCTGCGGATGGGGCAGGCTGGGTCGGGGACAGCACAGGCAGGAGGGAGGTGTGGGCCAAGGGTGACCCTGTAGGACCCAGGGAAAAGAGCCCCTGGTGGCATCAGGGCAGGGGGGGCAGGCCTCAGGGAAGGCCAATGGGGTCACGCATGCAGGCCAGGCAGTGAGGCAGGTGCCAAGGTGGGGGACAGAGGATGTGGGGCAGGGACCATCCTGGCCACCTGACCCCCAGACCCACCTGTCCCATCTGCCTCCCTGCCCTCAGGAAGCTCCGTCTCCGGGGGGCCCCCCAGGCTCTCGGTGCTGCCAGCCCCATCGGCCCCCAGGCGCAGCCCCCCAGGGGGGCCCCCCTCCCGCCGGGGCCGCATCAGCCTCTTCACCTTGTCTGCCAGCCAGCTGCCCTTCCTGGGGGCAAGAGGGCACAAGAGGGGGTCAGGACAGGGAGGAGGGAGGGAGCAAAGGGTGTCCTGGGGATGTCAAAGGCCAGGTTGACCTTCATGGGGCCTGGACCTGAGCTGGGCCTGGGGTCAGAGGCCAGGGCAGGGGCAGAGGTTAGCAGGATGTCCAGCCTGAGGGAGGTGACAGGGCTGCTCACTTGGTCCGGGGCAGGGGCACAGGCTCCAGCACGCGGTATTGGTCCATGATCTTCTCCACGAGCTTCTGCTTCTCGCGGCGCAGGGCATTAAGCTGGTCCCTGGCAGGAGTGAGAAGGGAGAGGTGGGTGTGAGGCCCAGGGAGGCCGAGGCAGTAGCAAGGCACAAGCTGCAGCGAGGACGCACTGGTCCCGTGCCGCAGATTGGACTGACCTGGAAGGTCAGCTCCAACCCTGTCCCTAGGCCCTCACTAAGGGCTCTCCCCAGGAACGCCCAAAGGGGATGCAGGCCCCACCCCGCTCCCAGGCGGCCCACTCACAGGTACTCCCGCTGTTCGCGGTGCAGGTGGTCCCGACTCTCCAGGCTGCGCTCCAGGAGCTCCCTGTTCTCCCGGCTCAGGGCCTGAACTTCAGCCAGCAGCTGCCGGTTCTCCTCTTCCTGGGCACTTCGCAGCTGTGTCAATAGCTGGCAGGGGGGCACCATGGCTCGGAGGGTGGGACCCAGCTCAGGACCACCTGGGTCTAGGCTTTCTGCCCCACCACACGCCCATACCCCCACCGGCCCTCCAGCCACACCTCACACTGCGTGGTCAGCCGGCAGGCGCTCAGGTCCAGCTGCTGGTTGGACTCGCGCAGCTGCTGGCTCTGCATCTCCAGCTGTGCCCGCTCCAGCTCCAGCCGCGCCAGCCGGCCCCGTAGCTCCCCGCGTTCACCCTGCAGCTCACCCCGCTCCCGAGACAACTCTGCCAGCAGCATCTGAGCCCTTGGGAGGCAAGGAGAGCTGCTCTCCAAGGGACCTGGGTCCCCAGTCCGAGTGCTGGCCAGAGAAGTTATGCCGGGGAGGGGAGGCCAGACAGGACCCCACACCCCCAACCCACTTTCAGGATGGGGCCACTGAGAGCTGCTAGAGGCTGTGGCAGGGGCGGCACCTGTCGTGCTCGCTCTGAAGCCTCCGCAGCTCCTCCTCCAGGCCCCGCTGCCGATGCCCATCTTGCATCAGGCGTTCACGCTCTGCCAGCAGGGCCACCTCCTGTGCCTCCACGCTGGCCCGCTGGGCCTGCAGCTGCTCGTGCCTGGGATGGACAAGGGGCTAAGAGGGCTGTGTGAACCTATGGCCACCACAAGCAGCTGGCTGGACTATCTGGACCCGGGGCGGGGGGGTCTGTCACCTCCTAAGCCTAGGTCCCCCAGAGGAAGCCATTGGGCAGAATGCCATGCCAGGTGCCCACCACTCCCAATAGGTGAGCCCCACGGGGAGCCCAACCCAGAAGTGTGGGGAGCACAGCTACCCCAGAGGGCACAGCAGTGGCCGGGGCATCACAGAGCGGAGGTGGAGGTGCTTCCTGATGGGGAGTCAGACCTGCTGAGGGGAGTCTTCTCTGGCAGATAGGGGGTGCCAGGGGAGGAGCTGGGCATTTGGTGATGCTCACCGGCCCTGCAGCTCCCGGTGGGCCAGCTCCAGTGCCCGCATGTTGGCCTTGAGGTCTCGGTGCCGCACCAGCAGTCCCTCTAGCTCGGCCTCCTGCCGCCGCTGCAGCTGTGCCAGGGCCTTGTGGTCCCGAAGCAGGGCCTGCTGCTGCCCGCGGGTCTCCTCCTGGGACTGCCGTGCCGCCCGCACCTCCTCCTCCAGCACCTCCAGCTTCCGGTGCAGCTCCTGGCCCTGAATCTCCAGCACAGACTTCTCGGCCTAGGATGGAGGAGGGAAGCAGGGGCTGCTGGGGAGGAACCCCTGGCTGGAAATCGAGTGAGAGGCGGGGGGCTAAGGGCAGACGGTAGGGCCCAAGACAATGAGAGAGTTGTGGAGGAGGCAAAGGGCTGGGGGCACAGCAGGCAGTACAAGCCCCAGCCAGAGGCTGATGGTGAGCAGGGGAGAGGCGGCAGAGGCTGGCTGGGCCAGGCTGTCCGGAAGGGGCACAGGGCAGAATGGGACTAATGGCGCCCTGTGGAGGGGAGGGCTGGGACAGTGAGAGCGCAGGGCGACATGGGTGTAGATGTGGGGGCTGGCGGCAGGTAGGAGGAGATAGTGGCAGGGAGGATGGTGCAAAATGGTGGCTGGGGTCAGAGGACAAGGATAAATGAGACTGGGGAAGAGGTGGGGCAGCTGGCTGGGAGCTGGGATAGAAAAAGGCCACAGGATGATCCAAAAGGAGCAGGAGGGGGCAGTACATGGGCAGGGATGGGCACCCGGGCCACCACCCACCTGCAGGCGGCTGCTGTGCTCCTGCGCCCGCTGGCTCTGCAGCAGCAGCTCCTGGGCACGGCCCTGCAGGCTCCCCAGCTGCCCCTCCAGGTGCTGCAGCTGCCCCTGCAAAGCTGCCTTCTCTGCCACCAGCATCGCATTCTGCCCAGAAGTGGGGGTTAGCAATAGCCAGGTGGCGGGGGCACCCCCTAGTGCCTACCACAGGCCCACACTCACACTGCATGGGGCACCCCCACCCCCGGGCCCACTGTGAGTCCACACTCACACTGCACGGGATACCCCCCAGCCCAGGGTCCACCGTGGACCCACACTCACACTGCACGGGGCACCTCCCCAGGGCCCACTGTGGGCCCACACTCACACTGCGCTCCACCTCAATAAGCCGCACATTCTGGGTCTCCACCAGCTGAGGCTCCGCACGCTTTTTGGGCCCCAGCCCCGCGGGGCCCTGGCGCAGCTGCAAGGAGAGTCCCTGGGAGGTCATGCGGGACAGCCGCAGTGCCTTGGGGATGCCTCAAGGACCTGCGCTTATGGACCTGCCCTGCCAGCAGCATTTAGCCTAGTCCACCCCGCCCCAATCCCATGCCTTCCCTTGGATCCCACAAGTCCCTGCTCCTGGTTCCTGAAGCTCCACCGTCACCACCCTGCCCTTCTCAACTTCTGTCTCTCTGCGGCAGAGCCTTCTGCTCATAACACTTCTCCATCCCACTACTCCTCTAAGACTATTTGGTTTTTTGTTTTTGTTTTGAGACAGAGTCTCACTCTGCCACCCAGCCAGGAGTGCAGAGGTGTGATCTGGGCTCACTGCAACCTCTGCCTCCCGGGTTCAAGCAATTCTCCTGCCTTAGCCTCCCGAGTAGCTGGGATTACAGATGTGGGCCACCACGCCTGGCTAATTTTTAGGGTTTTTTTTGTTTTTTTGGGTTTTTTTGAGACGGAGTCACACTCTGTCACCCGGGCTGGAGTGCAGTGGTGTGATCTCGGCTCACTGCAACCTCCTCCTCCCAGGTTCAAGCAATTCCCCTGCCTCGGCCTCCTGAGTAGCTGGGACTACAGGCGCCCACTACCATGCCCAGCTAACAGCTAATTTTTGTTGTTGTTGTTGTATTTTTAGTAGAGATGGGGTTTCACGGTGTTCATCAGGATGCTCTCGATCTCCTGACCTCATGATCCATCTGCCTCGGCCTCCCAAAGTGCTGGGATTACAGGCGTGAGCCACCACGCCCGGCCTGATTTTTGTATTTTTAGTAGAGATGGGGTTTCACCATATTGGTCATGCTGGTCTCGAACTCCTGACCTCAGGTGATCCACCTGCCTTGGCCTCCCAAAGTGCTGGGATTACAGGCATGAGCTGCTGTGTGGGGCCTTCTCTAAGCCTCTGTTTCAACCCCACCTTCTCCACAAAACCTTCCCTGATAGACTCGCATGCACCTGCTGGGTATCTTGCTGGGTACCACCCTCCCAAGCCCCTGCATGGCCTCCTCACAGCCCCTGGCACCTAGTTATTGTCACCTGTTTTCTTGCCTCTATCCTGACTGTCCTGTGAGCTCCCTGAGGATGGCAGCCTGGGATTGGGCCCCACCACCACCCCACCCTCCGTGTGGAGCCCGCACACAGCCTGGGTATCAGAAACCATCGCTGGCTTCCTTGATGCCAAACACTGAGCTCCCTAGGCAGTGGAGGACCTCGGGTGAGACAGGCGGAGCAGTCATCCACAGCAGAAGTTCTGTCCATGTGCAGAATGGGGAAAATGAGACCCCAGATAAGTCAACACGGCCACCTGACTCCCAGCACAGTGCTCTCTCCAACAGGCCCCACATGGGGAGTGAGGCAAGTAGCTAGCCAAGAATCCAGAGGCAAGACTAGGAGGACAGATGACCCTGGCATCTGCTCATGGGATGGAGGGCAGGGTGGCATGGCCCCCAGCTCCCAGGCGGGCAGGCATCACCTGGAACAGCTCCTCTTCCAGCTGCAGGGCCCTGGTCTTGAGCTCCATCAGCGCCTCCTCCTTGCTGGTCGCCGCCGCCTGCAGCTCAGCTTCCAGCCGCTGCTCCAAGCCCTGGTACCTGCCAGGAGAATCCTTAGCACCCAGCCCCACCCCACCCTCGCCCCACCACACCCCTGCCTCCCTCATTCTTCCCCTCAGCCCTGTCCCCACCTCTGGTGCTGGCTTTCCTTTTCTCGCAGAAATTCCTGGCGCTCGAGAGCCGCCTGCTCCAGCTCACGCTGCAAATGCTCCAGCCGGTCCCCCAACTCCTTGCCCCGCACCACAGCTTTCTCCAGCTCCTGAGGGCAAGCAGAGCAGGCTCAGGGCAAGGGGGCAGGAGACAGCCGGAGACAGAGGCCTGAGAGTCAAGAGAGCTGCCTTTCTGTCCTTGACCTGCCATCCTGGGCACGTATCATTAAGCCTTTGGGCTCTACTTCCCCATCTATAAAATGGGAGCAAAGCCTGGGGCCCTTGAAATTGGGCATGAAAGAGCTGGGTGTTGTAAGCCTGGCAGGGCATGAGGAAGGCCCCTGGGCTGGGAGTCGGTAGGTGACACATGTTGGGCAAGTGCCGTCACCTCTCTGAGCCCACGGTTCTTCATGTGCGCAGTGAAAGGTGGATGCGCCCGGTGGGCTGCCACCCCAGCCATGTGACAGCGAGACAGCTAGAGAGGCTCAGCAGAGGTGGGTCGGGTGAGAGACCTTGGCTACAGGGAAAAGGCCACGGAGGGCTGGAGGGACAGGAAGTCAGGAGCTGACAGTGGGGGCTGGGGGGGCAGGGGGCGCCAGGATGCTGCCAGCTAGGTGACCTGTGGCCTTTGGCGGTTGGGCTGCACCACTTTGGAAGGAGACGGGAGGCCCATTCTGGCCTGTGTGCCCCAGAGGGAGGGAGACCAAACCATTCTGCCACATGGGGGGCCTGGCAGGATGAAGCTTCGGGGACAGCTGCCCATGACCAGCTGCCAGCCAAATCCTGCCTTGGAAACCAAGCCTACAAGCCTTGCTGCTGAAAACTACCTTCCTGGCTTAATAACTGCACCTAGGCCTTGCCCAAGGGGCACTGCACCTCCTGACACTCTTGGCCACCACCTCTCCCTGAAAAACTACAAGTCCGATGAGGCACTGCTGCCTGGCTGGCTGACAGCCACTAGCGCAAGTACTGGGGTAGGAGGCACGGTGAATAGAACCTCCCGCCCAGCCCCTGCCCTGCCCTCCTCCGGGCCCTGGCCACAGCCCTCCTAGAACCCCCTCCCCCAAGCCTGGGAGGCTTCCCCACCCAGTGGACAACCTGAGACCCCCTGGTTCCCTGACCTCCCCCTGGCCAGCCACCTTCTCCTGCTCCAACCAGGAAATCTCACAAAATTCCCCCTTTGTCCCTAGCTTCCCCCACCCTCTCAGTCCTTGGAGCCGGCTCTTCCAGCCCGCCAGCCCTACCCTCACCTTCACTGCCTACCTGCTGCCATTCCCTCCCATGGAACAGGTCCATTCTAGGTGCCAGGCATTGCCCCAAGCTCCCTACGCTCATTATCTTACAGGATCCTGTGAGGCAGGTACAATTTTTTTTTTTTTTTTTTTTTTTTTGAGACGGAGTCTTGCTCTGTCACCCAGACTGGACTGCAGTGGCGCGATCTTGGCTCACTGCAACCTCTGCCTCCTGGGTTCAAGCAATTCTCCTACCTCAGCCTCCCGAGTAGCTGGGATTACAGGTGCGTGCCACCACACCCGACTAATTTTGTGTTTTTAGTAGAGTTGGGGTTTTGCCATGTTGGCCAGGCTGGTCTCGAACTCCTGACCTCCGGTCATCCGCCCACCTCAGCCTCCCGAAGTGCTGGGATTACAGGTGTGAGCCACTGTGCCCAGCCAAGGCAGGTACAATTTTTATTCCAGTTTTACAAGTGAGAAAACTGAGACTCAGAGAGGTTAAGTAACTTGCCCCAAGCCACACAGCTGGAAAGTAGGCAGGTCGCCCGGCTAGACAGCATCTCAGCCACACCCCACAGAGTGGACCCCAGAGATGGTCTCTCACCTTCCCTCTCACATTCGCCAGAACCCCCTTACCCTGGGCCTGTCTTGCACAACGCCTGACCCCATGTCTACCCAGCAGTGTTCTCCCCACCCCCCATCCTCATAATGGGTCTCTGAGCAAATTACTCTTCCTCCCTGAATTTCAGGGTCCTTGTCTGTACAGAAATGGGACTGGAAACTGCCTGTGCAGGATGACTCAGTTCCTACCTGTGTTGCAATCTCACAGGTCCCCTAGCACTGGGGCCCATTGGCCCAAACACCCTTCCTCGCGCCTTTTCACACGCAGACCTGACCACTTTGCTCACTTTGCCCATTGGGGAGCCTTCAGTGGCTGCCCAATCCCCCATGGCAAAAGCCCTAACCCCTTCCTTAGCTTGGAAGGAAGCTGAAGCCACGCCCAAACACTGGATTGCTAGCTTCGTGGTCACTGCTGTGTGCCCAGAGCCTGGTACAGGGCCTGGCACCAAGAAGATGCCTGTAAACATGTTTAAATGAATAAGTAAAAGTGTGTTGGCCAGGTGCGGTGGCTCACGCCTGTAATCCCAGCACTTTGGGAGGCCGAGGCGGGCAGATCACAAGGTCAAGAGATTGAGACCATCCTGGCCAACATGGTGAAACCCTGTCTCTACTAAAAATTCAAAAAATTAGCTGGGCATGGTGGCATGCACCTGTAGTCCCAGCTACACGAGAGGCTGAGGCAGGAAAATCGCTTGAACCTGGGAGGTGGAGGTTGCAGTGAGCCGAGATCACGCCTCCAGCCTGGTGACAGAGGGAGACTCTGTCTCAAAAAAAGAAAAGAAAAGAAAAGAAAGAAACTAGCCAGGCCAACATGATGAAACCCCATCTCTACTAAAAATACAAAAATTGGCCGGGCGCGGTGGCTCACGCTTGTAATCCCAGCACTTTGGGAGGCCAAGGCGGGTGGATCACGAGGTCAGGAGATCGAGACCATCCTGGCTAACATGGTGAAACCCCGTCTCTACTAAAAACACAAAAAATTAGCCGAGTGCGGGAGCGGGTGCCTGTAGTCCCAGCTACTCCGGAGGCTGAGGCAGGAGAATGGCGTGAACCTGGGAGGCGGAGCTTGCAGTGAGCCGAGATAGCACCACTGCAGTCTGGCCTGGGCGAAAGAGCGAGACTCCGTCTCAAAAAAAAAAAAAAATACAAAAAGTAGCCAGGCGTGGTGGTGTGTGCCTGTACTCCCAGCTACTCAGGAGGCTGAGGTGGGAGAATCTCTTGAACCTGAGAGGCGGAGGTTGCAATGAACCAAGATCACCCCACTGCACTCCAGACTGGGCAACAGAGGGAGACTCTGTCTCAAAAAGAAAAAAGTGTCCAGTCCTCCTCTCACACCCACTCCCATGCCTCCCTAGTCAGCTTCCTCTGCCACTTACACCATGGCTACTGCGTCCTGATAGCCCCAAGCTCCCCTGTCCACCAAGGTGACCCTCCTCAAGCGCAGCCCCACACAGTTCTACCCTGGCTTTCCCTGCCTGGGGAGGGAGGACCAACACATTCAAAGCTGGCCCTCATCATCCCTTCCTCCTGGGCCCTGAGCATTCTTTTTTTGTTGTTGTTTCATTGGATGGTGTTTGTTTGTTTTGAGACAGTCTCGCTCTGTCGCCCAGGCTGGAGTATAGTGGCACAATCTCAGCTCACTGCAACCTCCGCCTTCCGGGTTCAAGCAATTCTCCTGCCTCATCCTCCCAAGTAACAGATTACAGGTGCCTGCCACCACGCCTGGCTGATTTTTGTATTTTTAATGGAGGCAGGGTTTCACCATGTTGGCCAGGCTGGTATAGAACTCCTGACCTCAAGTAATCCACCCACCTCGGCCTCCCAAAGTGCTGGGATTACAGGTGTGAGCCACCACACCCAGCCCCTGAGCGTCTTTAATGCCTTTGTCTTTGCACATGCCATTCCCTCTGGACAAAATGTCCTCCCCACCTAGTGACATTATGGTCACTCCTCCTAAAGCCTCCTTGCCTCCACTTGGGCATCAGCTCACCCTCCCATGGGCTCTCGTAGCACTTGGCTCTGAATAACCAGTGCTTGAACACTTACAA
This sequence comes from Homo sapiens, assembly GCF_000001405.40. Classification (NCBI taxonomy): domain Eukaryota; kingdom Metazoa; phylum Chordata; class Mammalia; order Primates; family Hominidae; genus Homo; species Homo sapiens. The sequence continues at coordinate 64,345,539 of NC_000011.10, read as the reverse complement.
CATACCCTTGCCAGCATGAACCAGACCTTTACAGCTACTGTCTCCCAAGGTCCTCCTAAGACCACCCCAGGTGGCCAGGAATAGTACCCCTGTTTTACAGAAGGATGCCTGGGGTGGAGGTGAGTCTACTGCTGCAGCCAGAGAGCCAAGATGTGTACTAGGCAGTCCCACCCCCTCCCACAGCGCCCCCATCACACAGTGGACATGGCTCTGTGCCCCAGGCCAGGCACACCTTTGGAAGGCAGGGGTGGACTTGGCCTTTCTATCTCCAGCCCCAGCTCAGTGCTGGGCACCCACTGAACAGCTGCTGATGGAATCAGTAACTCCCAACAGCCTGGAACTCTGCTTCCCAACCCCAGCGGTGAGCCCCAACCTGACCTACCGCCTGGAGGGCCTCCTTCTCCCGGCGCTCCCTCTCAGCCTCCTCCAAGTGCTGGCGGCCCTCGCTCTCCAGCACCTGCATCCGTTCCTCGGCGGCCTCCGACTGGGCCCGCAGCCTGGACCCCTCACGCTCCCACTGCCTCCGCTCCCGGCCCGCTGCTGCCAGCGCCTCCACCAGCGCCTCCCGTTCCTGGGACGCAGACTCCAGCTCCTGGCCAGCAGCCTCCACTGCCTCCCGCAGCCGGGCTTGCTCCCAGGCCTGGGCCTCTGCCTCCCGGTGGGCCTCGGCCTCTGCCCTTCGCGCTTGGGCCAGCTCCTTGGAGAGGCGGGCAGCCTCCGTGTTTTGGGCCTCCAGCTTGCGGGCCTGGGCTTCCAGCTCATCTCCAAGGGCCTCAGCCTTTCTCCTCAACTGTGCCACCTCCTCCCTGAGGGCCTCCTGCTCTGCGACACCACTGGCCAGGCTCTCCCCTGGGATTGGGCCTTCCCAGACCTGGACCTCAAGAGCCCCTTCTGACTTCTGCTGTGGTTTTTGCCAGGCTGGGTCCCTGACCGTCCCTTCCAGCCTCTGGTCATGCTCTCTGGCCTCTGCTTGTCCCGTGGCCAGGTCCAGGCCCTGGTTTGGGCCCTCCTGCTCCTCCAGCTGCACAGAGCTGGGCTCCGAAGGCCCTGGCTTGTGCTCAGGGCCCTCCTGTCTCAACCCCCAGGCCTCAGGCACCAACTCGCCTTGGGGAGCCTCTCTTCCCTCTGTCTCTCCTCCCAGCAACTGCGGGGCCTGAATTTTGGTCCCTGGACCCTGAGGTGGGGCCACAGAGGCAGGGCTCTGGAGAGAGGATCTACGGCCAGCCTTCTCCGGGGACTCCTGTGTCTCCACAGGAGAGCCTGACTCTTGCGGGGACCAGTCTGAGGCCTGGGGGTCCATGGCAGCTGCCTGAAGGGGACTCTCTGCCTCCTGTGGGTCTGAATCAGGTGCCTGGGGACACTCAGCTGATGCCTCGAGCACTGAGTCTAATGCCGGGGGAGCCAAGTCCAAGGCCTGGGGGCCTCCATCCCTTGCCTTCTGAACCAAGCCCTGAGGGCTGTGGTCGAAGGCCACAGGAGTCTGGGGAGCCTCCTCCAGCACTGGAAGAACAGGGTCCTCTCTCGGTGCCTCCAGCAGGGGGTGCTGAGGGCATACGAGAGGGACAGTCAGGCCCAGGGAGGGACTAGGGGAAGGGCCGGCCAGGACCCTGGGGGAGGGGACTTACCTGGCCCCCTGGCTGCCCCTGAAGCACCTGAAGCAGCCCCCGAAGCTCCCGGTTCTCCCTCTCAAGGGTCCGAAGCCGCCCAGCCTCTGCCTCCCTCACCTCATCTTGCAGCGAGGGGGCCGCTCCTGCTAGGGGTGCTGAGGATGAGAGATGAGGTCAGGACCCCTCCTTTACTGCCTGGCTCCTCACATACACACCCCAGAGGCTTGGGAGAAGGGAGGGAGTCAGAGGCTCTCCCCAGTACACTGCTGGAAAGCATAGGAAGCCCCCACCCCAGCCCTTCCAGTGGGGTCCCTCACCCTCCCCAGGGGATCCTGGAGGTGGCTCCAAGCTCCGCTGAAGCTCCAGCTCCAGCTCCACATTCTCCTCAGCCAGCTGGTCCACCTGATGCCGCAGAGAGTCCAGCTCCTGGGGGTGAGGGAAGGGTCAGACAAGCCCTCCACACCATGGCCAGGCCGAGTGTGTAGGTCGGAGGGTCACTAGAGGTCACCAAGAGCAGAGGTTGCAAGAATCACTAGGGACCACTAGGGAATCAATGGGGTCATGGGGTGACGGGGCAACCCAAGTGGGATCACTCTGGCTACCTTACCGCATGGGCCTCGCCCAGCCGGGTTCGCAGCAGCAGGTTCTCGCGCTGGGTCTCGTGCAGCCGGGCGCAGCGCTCTCGGGCAGCCTCCAGCTGCTCTTCCAGCAGCGCCTTGGACGCCTCCAGCACCCCCGAGAGCACCCGCTCCTCCTGGTGGGAGAGCAGGGAGAACCGGTAGCCACGCAGCCCCCATGCACTCCAGCGCCTGAGGGTCCCAAACTCCTTCCCCTCAGCCTGTCACAGACCCTGCCTCCCTCCCCCACCCTGCACCCCATCAGTCTCTAGGCCCCGCCACTCCCTTCCATCTTCTTCCCACCAAGATCTCTTCAGGTACTTTCTCCCTCGCCCCTGGCCCCGCCCTTTGTGCAGGCCCCGCCCTTCTGTCCATGCCCCGCCCCTCCCCCCCGGGAACAGCCCTCCTTCCAAGGCTGCATCACTTACACAGCCCCCCCACTCCCCTACACCTGCCCCATCCTCTGGAGGCCCTTTCCCAGACGCCACCTCCCTGAATTTGTCCTCACCCATTTCTCCACCTGTGACTGTCCCCTCCAGAGAACCTGCCTCTCTGCCCTCGGGACCCAATCTCGCCCCTCCTCCTGGCCCGCCCCCTCGCGCACGCCCCGCCCCGCGGCTCCGTCTCCGCCTCACCTCCAGCTGACTCTTGTAGGCCTCAGCCGCCTGCAGCCGCTCGCGGCAGCGCCTCAGCTCCTCCTGCAGGCGGGGCAGGCGGCCGGCCCGCTCCCGCAGCGCCTCTGCCTCCTCGCGGTACAGCTCGGCCCGCTTGGCCTGTCCCGACAGCGCCTGGGCCTGGGCCAGACGGTGTGGAGCTGGGAACAGCCAGCCGCGGGCCAGAGGGATTAGGGACGGGAAGGAGCCGGGTTGGGAGGGAGGCAATGGGACCGGGTGCGGGGAGGTTAGGGAATGCCGCGGTGGCGGGGAGCATGTGAGCGCACCTCCTGGCGGAGCCTTCTTATTTCGGCCTCCAAACCCTGCACCTCGGCCTGGGAGTCTAGCAGCAGCTCGGCCTTCTCCTCCCTGGAGGGAAGGGGAGTCTAGGGAGGGTCTGGGGGCCCACAACCCCCAGCCCTTCCCAGGCCTGACCCCTCCCGTAGCCACCAGGGCTAGGGTCCCATCCAGGCTTAATCTGCCCCTCTCCACTCAGTCCCCTTCCCAGGCTGCGCACACTCACAGCTCCTGCCGCAGACGCCGCAGCTGAGCCTTGGCGTTGGCCAGCTGCAGGGCCAGATGGTGCGAGGGGCCCTCGGCGGGAGCCCTAGAGGGAGCCTCAGGCCTCAAGCAGAGGGGTTCTCGCTCCAGCAGCAGTTCAGCCAGCCGCTGTAGGTCAGGGGTCAAGGGTCAGGACTAACTTATCCAATGCCTCTGCACATCGACCCCCAACCACAACACCAGACATGGGGTTGTGGTCTGGGGTCTTGGGCCATCTGGTTGTGACATCACTGATGGCCCAAGACCTCAGACCACAACCCCATGCCTGGGCCCCAAACTTCCATCTCCCTTGCACAACCGGCTCCCTGATGGTCCTCCAGTTCCCCAACCTGAGTCCACGATGCCCCTGCTGCCCCTACCTGGGCCCCCAGGTCACGCTCCCGTGCCAGCTTCGACAGTGTCCCCATCAGGCTCCGGGACAGCATCTCCAGCTCGGCAGGTGCCAGCTCCCCAGGATCTGGCCCAGACAGTGCCAGCACCACGCCGGCCCCCGGCTGGGTCACCTGGGGCGCAGGAAGAGCAGTTCAGTGGAAGCCGCGGTGTGGCAAGGGCGTCCCAGGTGCCATACCAGTCTGGGCTGCCGAACCGTCTCAGTACCTCCTGGATGGCAGCGGCCAGCTCGCTCTGGACCTCGAGACTGAGGCCCTGGATGTGGCGGATGAAGAGTTCCCGGTGCTCACACTGAGGGGAGACAGGAAGGGGAGCTGGTGCAGGATCTCCCTCCTCTACCGCCAAAGCTCGACCCTAACCTTTCCTTCCCACCGCCGGCTCACCTGTACTGACGCTCCCAACAGTAGCCGAAGAACGCCTTCCAGCTGCTCCACCGCTTCTTCTGCAAGGCACATGCCACAAGGGGTTAACTGGGGCGGGGAAGGTAGAGTAGTGCGGGGGCAGAGGCAGGAGGGTGTGGGTGGGGAGAGCACCTGAGAGAGGGTCAAATCCCAATGTCTGGAGGTCTGGGGGTGGCGACAGGATCAGCAGCTGCAGCTCCTCCTGGAGGCAGAGAGGCAGACTATATGAGGCGCCTTCCCGAAGGGGCTCCTCTTCCCCTCCTGTCTCCGCCTTTCCCTCGAGACCCCTTACCTGGTAGAAGTCCCTCAGTCGGCCCCACAGGTGGTTCAGGTTCCACACTCGCCAGGCAGCAGGTCCGTCAAGGCCTCTGAGCATCCGAGGTCCCCCTCGGGAGCTGGGGGCACTATGAGCCGGAGGTGGGCTCGAGGACCCGCCTCCCGTCAACAGGCCTCGCCCACCGTCCCTCAGGCCCCGCCCACTGAGCATCAGGCTCCGCCCACCCGCTTCCCCTCCTCTCAGATCCTTCCCCGCCACCGCCCCGGCCCGATGCCCCTTACATGATGCCCAGCACCCGGAGGAGCAGGGCCCCATCGCTGAGGCGCAGGAATCTCTTCTCCAACCAAAGGGGCGGCTCTTCCTCCTCTTCCTCTTCTTCCCCCTCCGAGTCCTCCGCCTCCCCGACCAGCCCGGCCAGTCCCAGCGCCTGTGAGGAGCCCAGAGGGGTCAGCCGACCAGCAGAGTGAACCCTGAGCCCCTCCGACCTGCCCCAGTGAGCCCAAGCACCCCTTCTCACCCGTCCTCTGAGTGCCTCTGTCCCCTCTTCCCTCACCACAGCCCCCCACACCATATCTCCATCCCCCACATTTGAACCCAGCCCTCCCCTCCGGCCTGGTTCTGCCTCACCCTCCCCCGGCCAGCGCCAACACCAGCCCCTGGCTGGGGCTCACTTCCCCTCCCCAACCCGCTGCCACCTGCCCCCTCACCCAGGTAGCCAGACTCCCACTCAGGAAGTCTCTGAGCCTGGGCCCCTTGCCCCCCTCCATGCCCGGGTCGGGGTGCCCGTCTCACTGTGGCAGCTGCACCTGCCCTGAGAGGAAGAGGAAGTCCCCGAGTGGGGGATCCCGGGGCCAGCCACAGACACCCTGTGCAGCTTCCTCCTTCCGGGTGCAGGCGGGCCTGGGCAGTCTGAGTCCTACCTCAGCCCCCACCTCACCTCCCTGCATCCTCCTAGCATCTCTGCAGGGCTAGCCCAGAGGTTGGCGGCGGAAGGCCCACAGCTCCCCTGGCTCCATGGGCAATGACCGAACAGCCCTTCACCTCTCTGGGCCTTGTTTTCTCAAACTGAAACTGGAGAGGATGACCCCAGCCTGGGACCTTCGAGGGCCTCAAAAGGGCTCTGGGCCTTGCGTGGTGAGTTTGGTCACCCACACACCCATCTTCCCAAATGCCAGGCTTCACTCACTACAGCGTTCTTTCTTTTCCCTTCAGTATTTCTCAAAGTTACCCAAACCACATCCCCTGGGAAGCCTGGTTCAGATGCTCCTCCAAGAAGCCTCCCTTGAACCCCAGATAGAAGGGAGCATCATTCCTGTGACCTCACCCCACCCCATCCTCTATACACTCGAGACTGTTGTAGCCATACTAGGTGCTATGAAGGGGAGGGGATTTGACCTCGGCAGGATGATCAGGGAAGGCATCCTGGAGTACGCATGAGATCAGGGATGGCTGGGTTAACAGGGCAAAGTGGAAAGGAAGGGAGGGTATTCCAGGCAGCAGGAACAGAATGTGCAACTGCTCTGAGGCAGCTGGAAGCATGGTCAGCAAAAAGATTGGAAATTATGCATGTTTTATCTATTCCAAGATGCTTAATGTTCACGTTTCACTTTTTGTTTTGTTTTGTTTTTAAGAGACAGAGTCTGAATCTGTGACCTAGTCTGGAGTGCAGTTGCAAGATCACAACTCGCTGCAACTTCAACCTCCTGGGCTTAAGCAATTCTCCTACTTCAGCCTTCTGAGTAACTGGGACTACGGGTGTGTGCCACCACACCTGGCTAATTATTTTGCTTGTTTTTTGTACAGACAGAGTCTTGCTGTGTTGCCCGGGCTGGTCTCGAACTCCTGGGCTCAAGTGATCCTCCCGCCTTGGCCTCCTGAAGGGCTGAGATGACGGCATGAGCTGCCTCACGCAGCCCCCATTCTACACCTCTGAAGTGAGTTTACATGGTACAGTTGCTGTCTGGCTAGCTGCCGTCCCAACATCACTGTCAGGACCCACACCTGAAAAGCACCAGCATCAAATCCTTCAGAAGAGTGTCAGCAGCTTGGAAGAAATCCTAGAGGCAAGCAGAACCCTTTTTAGCCCTGGGACTCAAATGGTGGGAAACCCCAGGGGAAGGGAACCAGGCTTGTCAGTGACACTCCCTTTTTTTTTTTTTTTTTTTTTTTGGTGAGACGGAGTCTCGCTGTGTCTGTCGCCTAGGCTGGAGTGTAATGGTGCAATTTCGGGTCACTGCAACCTCCGTCTCCCGGGTTCAAGCAATTCTCCTGCCTCAGCCACCTGAGTAGCTGGGATTATAGGCACCTGCCACCACGCCCAGATGCTTTTTTGTGTTTTTAGTAGAGACAGGGTTTCACCATGTTGGCCAGGCTGGTCTCGAACTCCTGACCTCAGGCAATCCACCCACCTCGGCCTCTGAAAGTGCTGGGATTACAGGTGTGAGCCACCACGCCCGGCCTGTCAGTGACACTCCTAGAGCAGAGTGAAAACTCGGCTCCACTTCATCTGCACAATTGTAAAGCTGGCTTAAGAGCGCCTGGCTGTTTTATGGAATGTTTGGAGCAGTACTGCTCTCCGTAGAACTCTCAAGGACTCAGAGAAGGAGGTGGCAGGCAGACACAGACATCACGACTCTCAGACCAAAAATGATTCAAACAAGTTGGACTCTAAATGTGAAGGAGTTTTCTGAACATGGTAACCAATTTATTTTGCTTCTATTATCCTTTTTATGTGTGCATGAGAATTATATATGATAAGAATCTACATTTAAGTGAAACAGAGCTCTTTCGAGAAATACAAAAGAAAAATTCTAGTGATGAAAGAACCTTGGGACATCGTTAACTGGCAGCATTCTCTTTTCTTAGTGACATTTTTATAATCGATGACATCTTAGTTTTTTTTTGTTTTTTGTTTTGAGACAGGATCTCTGTCACCCAGGCTGGAGTGCAGTGATGCAATCACAACACACTGTAGCCTCAACTTCCCTGGCTCAAGGGATCCTCCCACCTCAGCCTCCTCAGTATCTGGGACCACAGACATCCACCATCCACCCAACTAATTTTTGTATTTTTTGTAAAGATGGGGTTTCACCATGTTGCCCAGGCTGGTCTTGAACTCCTGATCTCAAGCAATCCGCTTGCCTTGACCTCCCAAAGTGCTGGGATTACAGGCGTGCACCACTACATCTGGCCAACATCTTAGATTTGATGAAATATGGCGTAATAATGACATCATAGCAAACACGGGCTTCCCTTGAGCTAGGCATGGTTGTAAGTGCTTTACACTTACTAACGTGTTGGCTCTGGACTAGTCTGTGAAATAAGGACTATGGATTATCTCCATTTTATAGAGGAGGGAACAGAGAGGTTAAGTAATTTGCCTAAGGTCACACAGCTTTTAAGTGGCAGAGCCAACTAAAAGAAGGCAGTGGGGCAAGAGTGCAAGGAGCAAGGGGCACCCATAGTCAAGGTGAGCTGGGCTTGACCAGGCCACAGGAAGCCATGCAGGATTGGTAGCAGAGGAGCACAGCCAGCTGTTCAGCCCTTTTGAAATACCTCTGGAAATGGGAGTGATCCTCTCATTGTTGCCAGAATTCCAGGCCTTGATGCCCAGCACAAGCCTTCATTAAATGTCCCTGGGGTGATTATTATTATTATTATTATTATTTTTGAGACAGAGTCTCGCCCTATCACCTACGCTGGAGTGTGGTGGAGCAATCTCGGCTCACTGCAGCCTCTATCTCCTGGGTTCAAGCGGTTCTTCTGCCTCAGCTCCCTACAGAGCTGGGATTACAGGCATGCGCTGCCATGCCTGACTAATTTTTCTATTTTTTTTAGTAGAGATGGGGTTTCACCATGTTGGCCAGGCTGGTCTCAAACTCCCGACCTTAGGTGATCTGCCCACCTCAGCCTCCCAAAGTGCTGGGATTACAGGTGTGAGCCACCACACCCAACCTGATTATTATCTTTAGTATTAATAATATCAAGGATCAAGGCCGGGCACGGTGGCTCACGCCCGTAATCCCAGCACTTTGGGAGGCTGAGGCGGGCGGATCACCTGAGGTCCGGAGTTCGAGACCAGCCTGACCAACATGGAGAAACCCCATCTCTACTAAAAATACAAAATTAGCCAGCCACGGTGGCTCACACCTGTCATCCCAGCTACTCGGGAGGCTGAGGCAGGAGAATCGCTTGAACCCAGGAGGCGGAGGTTGCGGTGAGCCGAAATCGCACCACTGCAATCCAGCCTGGACAACAAAAGGGAAACTCCATCTCAAAAAAAAAAAGAAAAGAGAGAAAGAGATCATGTCCTTCGTGGGACATGGATGGAGCTGGAGGCCATTATTCTTAGCAAACTAATGCAGGAACAGGAAACCAAACACCGCATGTTGTCCCTCATAAGTGGGAGTTAAATGATGAGAACACACGGACACAAAGAGGGGAACAACAGACACTGGGGCCTACTTGAGGGTGGAGGGTGGGAGGAGGGAGAGGAGCAGGAAAAATAACTATTGGATACTGGGCTTAATACCTGGGTGACAAAATAATCTGTACAACAAACCCCCGTGGCATGAGTTTACCATATAACAAAGCTGCATGTGTACCCCTGAACCTAAAATGTAAGTTTTTTTAAAATTCTATACCTGGCCAGGCACAGTGGCTCACGCCTGTAATCCCTGCACTTTGGGAGGCCGAGGTGGGTGGATCACCTGAGGTCAGGAGTTTGAGACCAGCCTGGCCAATATGGTGAAACCCTGTCTCTACTAAAAATACAAAAATTAGCCAGGCATGGTGGTGATGGATGCCTGTAGTCACTGGGGAGGCTGAGGCATGAGAATTGCTTGAACCCAGAGACGGTGACTGCAGTGAGCCGAGATCGGGCCACTACACTCCAGCCTGGGGGACAACAGCAAAACTCCGATATATATATATATATGTGTGTGTGTGTGTGTGTGTGTGTGTGTGTGTGTGTGTGTGTGTGTATGTATATATGTGTGTGTGTATATATATGTGTGTATATATGTATATATGTGTATATATGTATATATGTGTATATATGTATATATGTGTGTGTATATGTATATGTATGTATATATGTATGTGTATATATATGTATGTGTATATATATGTATGTGTATATATATGTATGTATATATATACTGAATTAAAAATACTAACCCTTCCTGAATCTTATTACTTTTTTATTTTACTTTTTTTTTGGGGTGGGAGGAGATGGAGTCTCACTCACTCTATTGCCCAGGCTGGAGTACAGTGGCGTGATCTTGGCTCACTGCAGTCTCCACCTCTGGCTTCAACCAATTCTCATGCCTCAGCCTCCCCAGGGACTACAGGCACCCATCACCACCACGCCCAGCTAATTTTTGTATTTTTTGTAGAGATGAGGTTTTCACCATATCGCCCAGGCTGGTCTGAAACTCCTGACCTCAAGTGACTCAGCCTCCCAATGTTCTGCGATTACAGGCATGAGCCACACCTGACCTAACCCTTCCTGAATTTTAATAAAGTATTTTATAATATTAAAATAATAATAATAATATCAAGCATCCGTCCACTCTGCAAAGCTTGTTCCTATTTGCATACCCACCCCCGCACGGGCATCCCTCAGGAGCACCTGTCCTGTGCGCGCCCAGCAGCTCCCACGGGGTTATCCAAGTGTGGTGACAGGGGCTCACCTCCTGGTGACTGAGGGCCTCTGTCTTGCTCAATATCTGAGTCACACCCTTCCTCAGGCCTTAGGGGCAGGGCCATGTCTCTATTGCTCTCACATCTGTCACTCCAGACAAGCCTGGCTGCACCTCCATCTGGTTATCTGACTCGCCTCAGCTGAGTCAGGCAGAGGGAATCTGTGGGGAGGAGGGGAGGCTGGAGAGGGGCTTTGCTCATCAGCTGACGCTGAGATCCGGGGATTCCAAGGCCCATTTAGGTGTTCAGGGGTGTTCTTTAAAGGGTGGAAGTGGTCCCTTTACCTTGGACTTTTCCCTTAAAATTTTTTTTCAGATACAGCACATGATCAAAAGTGTCAAGAATGAGGCCAGGTGTGGTGGCTCATGCCTGTAATCCAAGCATCTTGGGAGGCTGAGGCAGGAGGATCACTTGAGCCCAGTAGTTGGAGACCAGCCTGGACAATATAGCAAGACCCCATCTGTACAAAAACACTAAAAAACTAACTGGGCATGGTGGTGCGTGCCTGTGGTCCCAGCTACTTGGGAGGCTGAGGTGAGAGGATCCCTTGAGCCAGGAAGGTCAAGGCTGCAGTGAGTTGTGATCACACCACTGCACTCCAGCTTGGGCAATAGAGCAAGATCCTGTCTCAACAAAAAAACAATGTCGGCTGGGCGTGGTGGCTCACGCCTGTAATCCCAGCACTTTGGGATGCCAAGGCGGGCAGATCACCTGAGGTCGGGAGTTCAAGACCAGCCTGACCAACATGGAGAAACCCTGTCTCTACTAAAAATACAAAAATTAGCCAGGCTTGGTGGTGCATGCCTGTAACCCCAGCTACTTGGGAGCTTGAGGCAGGAGAATCGCTTGAACCCAGGAGGCAGAGCTTGCAGTGAGCCGCGATGGCACCATTGCACTCCAGCCTGGGCAACAAGAGTGAAACTCTGTCTCAAAAAAAAAAAAGAAAAAGAAAAACCAATATCCAGAGTACACAGAGTCCGGACACCATGGCTCACGCCTGTAATCCCAACACTTCGGGAAACTGAGGCGGGCAGATCACCTAAGGTCAGGAGTTCAAGACCAGCCTGGACAACATGGAGAAACCCCGTTTCTACTAAAAAATACAAAAAGTAGCCAGGTGTGATGGCAGGTGCCTGTAATCCCAGGCAGGGAGCTGAGGCATGAGAATCGCTTGAACCTGGGAGGTGGAGGTTGCAGTGAGCCGAGATTGCTCCCCTGCACTCCAGCCTGGAGGATAAAGGGAGACTCCGTCTCCAAAAAAAAAAAAAAATACATAAGAGTATAGAGAAAAAAATAAATTGTCTCCCATCCCTTCACCGGGTCCCCATCCCGTTTCCAAAGGCAATTTCTTGTGTCCTTCCTGAGGATACAAATGGCTGCATGTGTGAGCCTGTAACAAGTGGCTGCAACCACATACACAGCCACACACCTTCCTTGCTTCACAATGTATTTTGCAGTCCATTTCATTTCTGTTCAGAACCTTGACCTTTTTAACAGCTGTGTAGTATTTTACCACGTGGCTATCCCGTCATCATTTAAATAGCCTTCTGCTGACGGATATTTTAAATGTTTGCATATTTTGCTATGACTACAGTGCCATAATGACTGGCTTTCTCAGATATCTCTTCCTTGCAGCTTTTAAGGGGGCTCGGTGTCGGCTGGGCGCGATGGCTCATGCCTGTAATCCCAGCACTTTGGGAGGCTGAAGCGGGTGGATCATTTGAGGTCAGGAGTTTGAGACCAGCCTGGCCAACATGGTGAAACCCTGTCTCTACTGAAAATACAAGAATTAGCCAGGCATGGTGGTACATGCCTATAATCCCAGCTATTCGGGAGGCCGAAGCAGGTGGATCATTTGAGGTCAGGAGTTTGAGACCAGCCTGGCCAACATGGTGAAACTCCATCTCTACTGAAAATACGAAAATTAGCTGGGCATGGTGGTACATGCCTATAATCCCAGCTACTCGGGAGGCTGAGGCAGGAGAATTGCTTGAACTCGGGAGCCGGAAGTTGCAGTGAGCCAAGATCGTGCCACTGCACTCTAGCCTGGGTGATACAGCAAGACTCTGTCTCAAAAAAAAAAAAAGTAGGGGGGCTCATTGTCCACTGCTGCCCAGCATGGGGACCCCGGAGGTGGGCAAGAAGCTGAGAAAGACAGACAGACAGAGGGACAGCACAGTCAGCCTCTGTCTCCTCCCCAGGGAATCGGCTTCTCCATCCACACAGGCGGGGCTGGGAAGGACTCCATCTCCCAGTCCTCTTATAGGCTCTAATTTTGGGGGTTTTTTTGTTTTGTTTTATTTTGGTTTTTGAGATGGAGTTTCACTCTTGTCACCCAGGTTGGAGTGCAATGGCGCGATCTCAGCTCACTGCAACCTCCGCCTCCCAGGTTCAAGCGATTCTCCTGTCTCAGCCTCCGGAGTAGCTGGGATTACAGGCGTGCGCCACTACACCTGGCTAATTTTTGTATTTTTAGTAGAGACGGGGGTTTCACCACGTTGCAGGCTGGTCTGGAACCCCTGACCTCTCAGGTGATCCACCCGCTTCAGCCTCCCAAAGTGCTGGGATTACAGGTGTGAGCCACCACTCCCGGCCTGGGTTCGAATTTTTTAGCTAGCTCTGGTTCAGTCTCAAAGGCCAGAAGCAGGAGGGCTCTGGGGTTTGGGCGGAAGGGGAAGCCAAGGAGGCCAGGGCAGGTGGGGGCCCAGATCCAGCAAGAGCCCTGAGCCAACCAGAGCCAGGTCAGAGTGAGGCTTTCTCCCTGCTGCAGGCAGCCCCGGAGCTCCGCCTGGCACCCCAGCGGCCTGGCTGGGGCCCAGCTCTCTAAGCAGATAATTCAGGGCCCCAGTCTCAAAAAACAAAAAACAGCCTCCAAAGCCTTCTGGGCAGCTGACCCTCTGTTGCTAGATCTTCGGGGTCCCCCTCCTTCCCACCCAAGTGTCTGAGAAGGGGTCGTCTCCCCACCCACCACTTGAGGGTGAAATAGTGGAGGTGGAGTTAGCAGTAATGCCCAGGGGAGTGGTCCCAAAGAGCTACCCAGGTGGCAGGAGGCAGTGGGAAGCCAGAGCCAGGAAGGGTGGGGCCCAGGGCCATTTGCCCAGTGCCCGTCCAGGTGCCCCGTGACTCAGAGTGCAGCCTGCGCGGCCTGGGGTCCCGCTACTGTAGAGTGAGGCCCGGCCCAGCCCCCACTACCTGACACCAGGCCGGCTCTCCCTTCCTGTTCTCCCCGGGCACTCCCATGCTCCAGGGGGGCACTTGCTGTGCCTCACCCTGTGCCTCCAAGCCATGCTGGGGTGCAGGCACGAATCCTCCTCCAGGGGGCATCCACCCAGCACTGAAGGAGTCATTCAGAAACTGCCTGGCTCACGGCCATGCCGGGCTTAAAGCTCTCCAGTGGCTTCTCCCTGAGTTGACTCAGCAGCTCACCATGACCTTCAAGGCCGTGGAGAGGTGCCGCCTCACCACCCTGACCTCATCCTTCCTCCTCTCCTCCACTCTGGCCACGCTGGTTCCTCAATCGCTCTCCCCCACTCGGCACCTTTGCATCGCCGACCACTCAACTTGGAGCTCAACATGTCTGAGTCACACACTCCCCAACTCCCTACACACACACATTCACACATGCTCACACGCATGCACATTCACACATGCTTACACACATTCACACATGCTCACACACATTCACACACACACACGCACACACACACACACCCTTTCCCCTTATCCCATACTGGTCTCTCAAATGTCCCTTTCTCAGAAAAGTCCTTTCATGACCTGGCATGGTAGCTCACACCTGTAATCCCAGCACTTTGTGAGGCTGAGGCAAGAGGATTGCTTGAGCCCAGGGGTTCAAGACCAACTTGGACAACATGGTGAGACCTCATCTCTACAAAAAAATCCAAAAATTAGCCTCACATGATGGAGCACACCTGTCATCCCAGCAACAAGGGAGGCTGAGGCAGAAGGATCACTTGAGCCCAGGAGTTCAAGGCTACAGTGAGCTGTGATCACACCACTGCACTCCAGCCTGGGTGACAAAGTGAGACCCTGTCTCAAAAAACAAAAGAAAAGAAAAGTCCTTTCTCTTGTAAAGCAGCCCCCATCCTCCTCCCACAGCAGGGTTCCACTCCATGCACCCGGCACCTTCGCGTGCTTGCTTTGCCTGCTCCCCTGTCAAGTGGAAGCCATCATGGGCTCACCCATGACTGCAGTGCAGAGAGCGCAGTGCTGAGCCCACTGGGTCCATGAGAGCACCGATGTCCGCTGCCCACTGATCTCTGCTGGGCTCCATTCTAAGCACTTCCCACATCTCAATCACTTAATCCCCTCCTCAGCTGCAAAATACAGGAGCTGGCCGGGCGCGATGGCTCACACCTGTAATCCCACCACTTTGGGAGACCGAGGTGGGCAGATCACAAGGTCAGGAGATCAAGACCACGGTGAAATCCCGTCTCTACTAAAAATACAAAAAAAAAAAAAAATTAGCCGGGCACGGTGGCGGGCACCTGTAGTCCCAGCTACTCGGGAGGCTGAGGCAGGAGAACGGCGTGAACCCGGGAGATGGAGCTTGCAGTGAGCCGAGATTGCGCCACTGCACTCCAGCCTGGGCGACAGAGAGACTCCATCTAAAAAAAAAAAAAAAAAAATGCAGGATCTATTGGTTATCCCCACTTTACAATGAAAAAAATTGATGCCCAGAGAGGTTAAGTCACTTGCTTAAGGCCACACAGCCAGGAAGTGGCAGAGCCAAGATACTGAAGGCAGTTTTTTTTTTTTTTTATGTTTTTGAACAAATGAACTCTTATTTCAGAGGCCAGGAAAGTGCAGCTCAGAAGGGAATGGGGGCAAGTAGGGCAGCTGAGGCTGAAATCTCAGTCCTCCTCTGGCGCTAAGAGCTCGCAGTCTCCCAGCCCCACTCTACCCACAACCCCACCCCACCCTCCACCCCCTGCTCCCCGCCACCTCCTCCACTCCATTCCTTTGTATTTTGTTTTGTTTTGTTTTGTTTTGTTTTGTGTTTTTGGAGACAGAGTCTTGCTCTTACCCAGGCTGGAGTGCAGTGGCTCGATCTCAGCTCACTGCAACCTCTGCCTCCTGGGTTCAAGCAATTCTCCTGCCTCAGCCTCCCACATAGCTGGGATTACAGGCAAGCGCCACTACGACCGGCTAATTTTGTATTTTTAGTAGAGACAGGGTTTCTCCATGTTGGTCAGGCTGGTCTCGAACTCCCGACCTCAGGTGATCCACCCGCCTCGGCCTCCCAAAGTGCTGGGATTACAGGCGCGAGCCACTGCACCCGGCTCCACTCCACTCCTTGTTGCTGTCGGGTGGGACAGCAAGGCTGGAGCCCAGCATCCAATTAGGAAACAAGGTGGAAATCCAGGGCCAAGCCCCATGGCTGCCAGTTGCCCTCGTAATTAAAGACACACACATTAAAGACAGCTCCGAGGTGCCATTAAACATCCATTAAACTGGCAAAAAATAAATCCAAAAGGTAAAACTCAACTCTAGTTGGCAACTGCAGCAGAGAACACAGCACAGGTCACAGGTGGCTCAGAGGCAACAGCCCTCACACCTGGCTCCCTGTCCCTGCCCTGAATTGTTCCATGTGGGAACTGGGCCACACTGGTCAGCTTCATCAAAGATAGATTTGCCAAATTGGCATACAATTCACATGTCATAAAATTCACTCTCTAAAAGCGTACAAGTCAGCACGGTCTCAGAATTTCCTGAGACCAATAAAACCTCCGGAGCCCTTTGACCCAGCACTCCAGCGTTTGGGAATAAGCCCTGTAGAAGGAGCCCAAGAGGAAACAAAAATAGAAGTGTGTCCAAAGCTGGAAGCTGCCCCAGCCAAACACTGGAAACACCCAGCTCTCCACCAAGATAAACCACGCGAGCCACAGCTTGCGGGCAATATCCCATCTCCATCCTCACCACTGCTCAGCCCAGACCTCCCTCATCTTCCTGGCCTGCAGACCTTAGCAGTGGCTGTTCCCACCCCTGGAACACCCTTCCCACCTGGTACCTGATGCCTGCAGGGCCCATGCACGGCATATTCACTGCTGTATCCCCAGAGCCTCGCACAGTGCCTGGTGCAGAGATGATTTTCAGCAAAGAGGCACTGAAGGGAAGATACCTATGTGACTGTGAGGAGACACAGGTGAGCAAGTGGAACCTCTGAACACCTGATTGGGCCACTCATAATGACATGAGAATTGCAATGCTCAGAGGAGAAAAGCAGCTTCTTTTGGTGAGAAGTCACTGAGATTAAAGATCTGTCTTAGGGTCGGGCATAGTGTCTCATGCTTGTAATCCCAGCACTTTGGGAGGCCAAGGCAGGAGGATCACTTGAGCAGAGGAGTTTGAGACCAGACCAGGCAACACAGAGAGACTTTGTCTCTACCAAAAAAAATCAAAAATTATCTGAGCATGGTGGTTCATGCCTGTAGTCCCAGTTACTAGGGAGACTGAGGCAGGAAGATCACTTGAACCCAGGAGGTAGAGGCTGGTGGTGAGCCGAGATCGTGCCACTGCACTCCAGCCTGGGTGACAGAAGGAGACCCTGTCTCAAAAAAAAAAAAAAAAAAAAAAGGCCGGGAGGCCTTTGGGAGGCCAAGGCGGGCGGATCACGAGGTCAGGAGATCGAGACCATCCTGGCTAACACGGTGAAACCCCGTCTCTACTAAAAATACAAAAAATTAGCCGGGCATGGTGGCGGGCGCCTGTAGTCCCAGCTACTCAGGAGGCTGAGGCAGGAGAATGGCATGAACCCGGGACGCGGAGCTTGCAGTGAGCCGAGATTGTGCCAGAGCAAGACTCCATCTCAAAAAAAAAAAAAAAAAAGATCCGCCTGTGCCTTAGTGGTGATGGTTGCACAACTCGGTGAATATATTGAAAACAACCGACTTGTACACTTTAAAAAAAAAAAAGAGACAAGGTCTCATTATATTGCCCAGACTGGTCTCAAACTCCTGGACTCAAGTAAGCATCCCCCTTCACCCCCACAAAGTGCTGGGATTACAGGCATGAGCCACCATGTCTAGCCTTTGTACAATTTTACAGGCTGAATTTTATGATATGTGAATTGTATGTCAATTTGGCAAATCTATCTTTGATGAAGCCGAACCATGTGGCTCAGTTCCCGCAGAAACTAATTCAGGAAAGGGACAGGGAACCAGGAAAGAGGGCTGTTGTCCTCAGCAGTGAAACTGACTTGGGGCCCTGAAGGTTAGAGTGATCTGGGCAGGGGCATCCCAGCGGGGAACATTGTCTGGTAGATGCTGAAAGGGAAGAGATTGGAGGACCCACAATTGGGAATCAGGGTGACTTTGGTGACCAAGGTTGCAGGGAATGGGGACAGAGGCTTGGAGAGAAGTCACTGGGGAGATGAGGGGACCACACGTGGATCTGGGCCAGCTTCGTATTAACCATGCCCTTCCATGGCTGACAGGAAAGGCAGGGAAGTGGGCATCTCCTGGGAAGCATGGAACCTCAAAGGTCCCTCTTCTCAGAGGTGATCCCTGTGTGGCCACACTGCTTGCTGTCCACCCAATATCCTTTCTCTCTCTCTCCCTGACTAAAAAAACTCATAATTTTTAATTTAGACACATGGCACCCTGGAATGAAGTTGATACTTCTCAGCTTCCTTTGCAGCTAGTATGACCATGTGACTAAGTTCTGTCCAGTGAGATGTAAGTGGAAGGGATATATGACAGCTTCCAGAAAAAGCTTCTTGACAGACAGCTGGCATGGGCCTTTTATCTTCTGTTCTTCATTTCCTCCTTCCTGCAGGCTGGACGATGAATGTGATGGCTGGAACTCAAGCAGCCACAGTGGATCATAAGGTAAAGACGTGTTTAAAATGGCAGAGCAGCAAGACAGAAGGAATAATCACACAGCTAGCATACTAGCTCAACCTCTCTAGTGCATACCTGTGAGCTAAGCCTTTGTTTTTTTGTTGTTGTTGTGTTGTTTTGTTTTGAGATGGAGTTTTGCTCTTGTTGCCCAGACAATGGCACAATCTCGGCTCACTGCAATCTCCACCTCCCAGGTTCAAGCGATTCTCCTGCCTCAGCCTCCTGAGTAGCTGGGATTACAAGCATGCACCACCACGCCCTGCTAATTTTGTATTTTTAGTAGAGACGGGGTTTCTCCATGTTGGTCAGGCTGGGCTCGAACTCCGGACCTCAGGTGATCCGCTCACCTCTGCCTCCCAAAGTGCTGGGATTACAGGCGTGAGCTACCACGCCTGGCCTTCACTTCTTTACTCCTTCCCAAAACGTGTTAAGTATTATCTGTGTTTCCCACCCTGAGCAGGGCTCCTTACCTGTGTTAAGTAAAAAGACATGATTCCCAACTCCAGGAGTGCGAGTTGATGATACAAATATAATCACATGGCAGGCCAATATGCATGCTCGTTAACACCAAGAATCTGTGCCTTCGCATAGATGTTACCTGAACTTCTCCAGAAGTTATACCCATGCACACTTTGCACTATCTGCTGTCACTTCTCAATGCCTGTGTCACCAAACCCCAACCACGCCCAGTAGAGTGTGTCCCTTTGGGGCCAGCAGCCTCCACTGCCCCTGATCACAGCACCTTCATGGCTGCAGCCCAAGCCTGATCTAGGCCAGGAACACCAGGACCCCTCCAACCTTTTCTTTGTCTCAGAAACCCAGACTTGACTCCCTTAGGGCCTATTGAAAACTCCCCCGATAGGCCAGGCGCGGTGGCTCACACGTATAATCCCAGCACTTTGTGAGGCTGAGGCGGGCAGATCACGAGGCCAGGAGTTCAAGACCAGCCTGGCCAACATAATGAAACCCCATCTCTACTAAAAAATACAAAAAGTAGCCGGGCATGGTGGCACGCGCCTGTAGTCCCAGTTACTCAGGAGGCTGAGGCACAAGAATCGCTTGAACCCGGGAAGCGGAGGTTGTGGTGAGACTCATTCTGTTGCCCAGGTTGGAGTGCAATGGCGTGATCTCGACTCACTGCAACCTCTGCCTCCCAGGTTCAAGTAATTCTCCTGTCTCAGCCTCCCAAGTAGCTGGGACTACAGGCATGGCACCACCATGCCTGGCTAATTTTGTATTTTTAGTAGAGATGGGGTTTCACCATGTTGGCCAGGCTGGTCTCAAACTCCTGACCTCAGGTGATCCGCCCACCTCAGCCTCCCAAAGTGCTAGGATTACAGGCGTGAGCCACCATGCCTGGCCTGATTTTTATCTTTCAAATAACCTTTTATTGAGCCTTTTTTTTTTTTTTTTTTTTTTGAGGCAGGGTCTTGCTCTATTACCCAGGCTGGAGTGCAGTGGCATAATCATAACTCACTGCAGTCTTGGCCTCCTGGGCTCAAGTGATTTTCCCAACTCAGCCTCTGGAGTAGCTCGAACTATAGGCACGTGCTACCACACCCACCCAATTATTTTATTTTTTTGGTAGAGACGGGGTGTCACTAATTTATTTTTATTTAGTTGTTTTTGTTTTGGGTTTTTTTTTTTTTGAGACAGAGTTTGGCTCTTGTTGCCCAGGCTGGAGTGCAGTGGTGAGATCTTGGCTCACCAAAACCTCCGCCTCCCAGGTTCAAGTGATTCTTCTGCCTCAGCCGCCCGAGTAGCTGGGATTACAGGCATGAGCCACCACACCTGGCTAATTTTGTATTTTTAGTAGAGACGGGGTTTCTCCATGTTGGTTAGGCTGGTCTCGAACTCCCGACCTCAGGTGATCCGCCCACCTCAGCCTCCCAAAGTGCTGGGATTATAGGTGTGAGCCACCACACCCGGCCTATTTTTATTTTTTTAGAGACAAGGTCTCGCTCTGTCACCCAGGCTGGAGGGTAGTGGCACGATTATAGCTCACTAACTGTAGTTAGTCACCAACTCCTGGTGTCAAGCGATCCTCCCGCCTCAGCCTCCTGAGTAGCTACGACCACAGGCATGCACTACGACAACTTATTTATATATTTACTTATTTATTTATTTATTTATTTTGTAGGGACGGTGTCTTGCTATGTTGTCCAAGCTGGTCTCAAACTGGCCTGAATCAATGCTTCCACCTCAGCTGCCAGAGGAACCGGGATTACAGGCCTGAGCCACTGCAGCCAGCCAGTTTGTTATTTTAATGTAAATTCTTAGTAAACAACTCAGGAGCTCTCTTGTCCTTTTAAAATCCATTTCAACTTCTGCTAATCGGAGTGTATATTCAGGGCAACTTGAATCTGTGCTCCTGGGATGCAATCCTCAAGCTTGGCCCAAATAAAGTCTCCGCTGATATTAATTTTGCCTAGGCTTCTTCCTTTTAGGTCAACACTCTTCAGGCTCATGTTGGGGTCTGTTCAGCTGCGTTTCAAAGGGACTCTAGACCCAGGAAGGCCCAGAACCACTGATGCTGAGTAACACCCTTGGCCTTCTGGTCTCAGTTGCTATGGCCTTGGGCATGCTAGGACAGGCAAGTGAGTTTCACTGGGGCATGTGTTGTTGGGTGGATGTTTCAGCTTCTTTTCTTTTTTTTTTTTTTTTTTTTTTTTTTGAGACAGACTCCTGCTCTGTCTCCCAGGCTGGCATGCAGTGGCACGATCTCGGCTCACTGCAACCTCCACCTCCCAGGTTCAAGCAATTCTCCTGCCTCAGCCTCCCTCCCCAGTAGCCGGGATTACAGACATGCGCCACCATGCCCAAGTAATTTTTGTATTTTTAGTAGATATGGGATTTCTCCATGTTGGCCAGGCTAGTCTCAAACTCCTGACCTAAAATGATCCACCCGCCTTGGC
Source organism: Homo sapiens (assembly GCF_000001405.40). Classification (NCBI taxonomy): domain Eukaryota; kingdom Metazoa; phylum Chordata; class Mammalia; order Primates; family Hominidae; genus Homo; species Homo sapiens. The sequence goes on along the minus strand of NC_000011.10, from coordinate 64,324,556 downwards.
CTCCCACGGTGCTGGGATTACAGGTGTAAGCCACCCCGCCTGGCCTGTTATGTTTTTTAACATTGGTCTTTCGGCCACCAAGAGCCCAGGAAGGCCACACGCACAGCTCTGCCAGGTGCAGCCCAGATGTCCAGGGCTCTCTGGTCCAGGACACCGTGGCCTGGTCTGCCCTTATCTCCAGGCCTGAAGCCCCACCTGTCCAACCTGGAGACAGCTATGCAAGGTTCTCTTGCCAGGTGCTGTTTAATCTTGGGCCCTCCAGGGCCTGGAGCAGCTTCCAGGGCCAGTCCTCCGTGCCCCCACCCAAGGACGTCCTCACTCCAGCAAGCTCAGCCACATGCTCAGCAGTCAGGGCCACTGAGGCCACAGCCCCACCGCCACCCACACCAGGCTGTCCTAGAGGGCCACCCCAGCCCTGGAAGCCCTCTCAACCCTTCCTAGAGGCCCAGCCAGTGGCAACAGACCTTGGAGGGGACACTTCCTCTAGAGGCCTTGCTTGGCCTCAGCCAGCCCAGATAATAGCCCAGGAGCAGAGGAAACAGGCAGCAGAGTGACAGAGACGGAGCTGGGCTTCCCCGATAGCAGGGAGCTGCCTGGGTAGCGTGGGGTGCACAGCCAGTGGGGTGGGCTATTTGCTACCACCACCCCCTATTTACTAATGGAGACACTCATTAGCTCACAGGTGCCCTGTAGGAAGCTCCACGTCTGTTTTCTCATTTGTATGATGAGAGGATAAAGAGGTGGTATCCGGGAAAGAAAGGGGCTTTGTGTTATGCGTGTCCATGAGGACAACACTGTACCCCCGAGTTTGGCAGGAGAGGAGAGGCAGGCAGTTTACCAGGGCAGCTCGAGGTGCAGTCAGCCTCCTTCCCTGCCCCCACCTGGGACCCCTGAAGGGGTGGCAGGTTGTGGGAGAGAACCACAGTGACAGAGGTTGGTGGGCAGCACGACTCGGGTAGGCTGAGCACCTGCAACCCTGGGCAGGGAGGCTGGCTCCCCTCCTACTGAGTGTCTGTTCTCACAGACGTGACCACAAGCACCCAGCCCCTCCACCTTCAGCAAGCAGCTCCCTGGATGCACCCTCCCTCCCAACACATCTCCACCTCCACCTCCTGGGCATTGCTGTCATCATGGGTCCTGCTCCCTGCTGCCCATCTGGTGCCTCTCCCAGCCTCCCAGCTTGGGGGCTGCACACGGTAGCCCATGGCCAAGGTGCCTGTAGGGTGGAAGGCAAGCTGCTCATCAGCTTCAGAGAGCCCACTGACCTCCAGGCATCCTCTCTTGTCCCCAACATTCCCCCCCTACTCCTGCTACCCACCTTGCTGCGGCAGCATGGGATTGTCCCACCCTCCACCCCTAGGGCTATGGGGCTCACCCCTAGGGCTATGGGCCTCCCTCCGCCTCCCACTTGAGGCGCCACTCCCACTGCCTCAAGGGTCATTTGCTCTATGAGGCCCTGCTTTGACCTTCTCCCTGACCTCTCAAGAGTGTGGCCTGCCTGAGTCAGCAGTGGGGGCTGACCCCTGGGGACCACTACGCAGGAAGTGCCTGGGAGCCAGGTATTGATGTGGTTCATGGCAGGGCAGCTCCACGCGGTGATGGAATGCGGACTCCCTGTAGGTGGCTGAGAGGCAGCAGCAGTCCACACCTCACCAATTCTTGTGAGGGCTGTTACCACACCTGGGGTGGGCAGGCAGGCAGCATCGCGCAGGGCACAGAGGCCCCCTAGACTCCACGCAGTGGGGCCTCACCATCACAGGCGTGGCTTCCCTGCACCAAGGGGCAGAGGCCCAGGAGCAGGGCCTGCCGTGGCAATGGCCCCCATCCCCACACCCTGCTGGTGTCCCCACTTGAGGCCCCTCACACCCAGCCACCACTGGTCAGGCCTCACCAGCATCTTCTCCCCTCCACAGCTCACCTAGACTCTTCCCCCAGGGAGCCCTCCTGGAATGAGCAAGTGCTGTGCCAGAGCCCCTCTCCCTGTCCATCAGATGGTCCTAAAGTGACCTGAGCTCTTCCTGGGATGAGGGTGTGCCCAGGAGGGGGTCAAGTCTGAAAGGATGGTGGGGCTGGGCCCCGGCAGGAATGCTGGGAGCCAAGCTTCCCGCCATGGGGTTTCCAGACTAAATGGCATCAGGCAGCACCCAGAGAGCAGGTACAAAGGCCACACTGTGCGCCACATGCCATCGGCCAGGCCTCGCCCTCTGTGCTGCCTCTGTGGGGAGCGCTTCTTCCCTTCCTCTTCAGATTGCTGGCTCCTTCTCAGTGCTCAGTAACACCTGCCTCAAGGCTGGGCACAGTGGCTCACACCTGTAATCCCAGCACTTTGGGGGGTGGAGGCGGGTGATCACCTGAGGTCAGGAGTTCGAGACCAGCCTGGCCAACATGGTGAAACCCCGTCTCTACCAAAAATACAAAAACTTAGTCGGGCGTGGTGGCAGACACCTGTAATCCCATCTACTGGGGAGTCTGAGGCAGGAAAATCGCTTGAACCTGGGAGGCAGAGGTTGTGGTGAGCCGAGATCATGCCACTGCACTCCAGCCTAGGGGACAGAGTGAAACTGTCTCAAAAAAAAAAAAAAAAAAAAACTTCCCTTGAAAGGCCCTCCCTAGCTCCCCCTTAATTAAGCAGGACCCCCTACATTCTCCCTTTCAGCCCATCTGCGCCCTCACCATTCTCACCCAGTCTGTGATGATGCCAGAATGCCTGGCGCTCAGCGAAACAGCCATTCATAACCAAGGAGATGGCCGCAAACCACAAGTGTTTATTGCAGAAATCTGGCCAACATTCCAATTGCAGGGCCCCAGCACAGGGCTGGGCAGGTGAGATAGGGAGGGGTGGAGGAAGTAATCTGGCCCAGGGCCTCAGAGCTGTGAGATGATATTGGGTGCCAGGCTGCAGGTGAGGCCTGTGCCATCTGGTTCCACATTCAGGGCCTTCACTATGCCATCCTGTACCACCATGGAGAACCTGCCGGAAAGAGGGGCCCAGCCAGCTGCATCAGCCTGGGCTTGGAGGCTGGGCATGGAGACAGGCAGTGAACAGCCAGGGGCCCAAGAGAACTCCAGAGAGGACTCCCCCCACAGAGGACTCTCCCCCACAGAGGACTCACCACCACACAGGACTCTCTCCACACAGAGGACTCTCCCCACAGAGAACTCTCCCCCACACAGGACTCTCTCCCCAGAGGACTCTCCCCTACAGAAGACTCTCCCCACACAGGACTCTCTCCCACACAGGACTCTCTCCACACAGAGGACTCTCCCCACAGAGGACTCTCCCCCACACAGGACTCTCCCCCACAGAGGACTCTCTCCACAGAGGACTCTCCCCACACAGGACTCTCCCCACAGACGACTCTCCCACACAGAGGACTCTCCCCCACAGACGACTCTTCCCACAGAGGACCCTCTCCACAGAGGACTCTCTCCCACAGAGGACTCTCTCCCACAGAGGACTCTCTCCACAGAGGACTCTCCACTTTTACCTCTTGAGACGTCGATTCCCAAAGATGGACACCAGCGAATCATCTAGTAATAAGTCTGTCTCCTAAGAAGAGACAGAGAAAAGTGTCAGAAATCCTTGAAGAGGCTAAGGGCCCCCACTGCTCCCCGCACTGCCATGTCCCTGTGGCGGTCAGGGGAACACTCACCTTCCCAAAGGCCCCAGTGGGATCAGCCAGGAGCCGAACCTGCAGAGAAAGTAAAGGTCACAAGAAGAATATCCTACCTGGTCCTGACTCCCTGCAGGCCCCTCACCTCACCTTGCCTTCCGCCTTGTGGGCTCGGCCCCACTCGCCAGTCACAAAGGCATCATTAACACTCAGACAGGCCACCACCTGGACTCCCTTGGCCTTCAGAGCCTCAGCCTGCTCCACAAACCCTGGCAGGTGTGTCTGAGGAAGGGGAACAAAGGGTCGGCAAAGGGATAACTGCATCTGACCCCCAGCCCACCCTTTATCTCCAGGCCCTCCTCAGTGCTCTGCCTCAACACCTTTGATCAGACAATGAGAGCTGTCTAAACCATTCTATTTCCTTTTTGCCTTGGCCACTAGGAAGCTCAGAATGAAACCTAATGCCTTATGGTCCAGACGTGAACTTTCCATGGGCAGATCTATGTCTTATTTATCTGAGTCCCAAGCACCTTCCACAGTGCCTGTCATTTAGCAGGACCAACAGGGGTGTTGGATTTAATTGTAGTATGTTTTTCTCCAACATTCCTGGTACTGTTCCCTTTTTGCAGTCTCTACTTGTTTTCTTTTTTTTTTTTTTCATTTTGAGACGGAGTCTCGCTCTTTCACCCAGGCTGGACTGCAGAGGCACGATCTCCACTCACTGCAACCTACGCCTCCTGGGTTCAAGCAATTCTCTGCCTCAGCCTCCCCAGTACCTGGGATTACAGGCGCCCGCCACCATGTCCGGCTGATTTTTTTGCATTTTTAGTAGAGACAGGGTTTCACCATCTTGGCCAGACTGGTTTTGAACTCCTGACCTCGTGATCCACCCGCCTTGGCCTCCCAAAGTGCTGGGATTACAGGCGTGAGCCACCGCGCCCAGCTCTACCCAGCTCTACTTGTTTTGTGATGGCACTGAAATGCTTTTTAGGAGTCCTATCAGGACTATGTGGAGGACTTAAGAGCAACACAAAAGATCCCAGGTCCTGATCTTCAGAAGGGGAAGGGCCTCACCTTGGAACATCCAGGGGTGAAGGCCCCAGGAACTCCAAACAGCACACCCTTCTTGCCCTTGAACAGCTCTGCCAGGTTCACCTTGTTCCCTGGCTCCCCTTCAAACACCTCCACTGCTGGGATGGCATCTCCCACCTAGAAGGAAGGACTCCAGGGTAAGGGGGGTGAGGGAGCCGGGGCAAACCAGAGGCAGGAAGGTGAACAGAGAGCCTGGCAGCTGTGCCTGCAGGAACCGGGGCTGAAACCCAGCAGGATACTCCAGCCCTGTCAGTTTCCAAGGGCCCTCCCTGCCCGCTCCCACTGGGTTACCCCATATCCTCCAAGTTTCAAGGTGGCCCTGCTCCTCTTAAGGGGCCATTGGTGACAACAGAGAAAGGGAGGGAAGGTTTCCCCATGTGTCGCAAAGGGTTGCATAACATGCTGTCTAGGTTACAGGAAAGGAGTGGAATAAAATGGACAGGGGCTAGAGGGCTGTATTTGGGGGTGAGGAGGAGTCCCTGACAACATGGAGGGAGAGGATCTTGGCCAGGTCTGAGGGTCCCACCCTCAGGAGGAGGAAGAGGAAGGGCAGCGGCAGGTGGAACGTTGGGGGAGGGTGTCCAGGCCCCTACACCCAGGAGGTGTAGAACAAAAGAAGGAATCTTTTGAAGGGGGAAGGATCCATCCCCAGAGTACTTGAGGGCTTCATGGGACCAGAGTGGGTAGGGAGAGAGAGTCAGAGGTGAGGGCCTCTGAGGAGCCCAAAGGTTGAGAGCAGGATGAAGTAGAAAGGGAATGGGGTCTCACAAGGTTTGGGAGGAGAAGGGGGAAGGTCCAAGGCCCTGGGGACGGTTCCAGGAAGTGAGTGAAAGACAGAAAGGTGGGAATTCGCCATGGGGGGAGGGGAGGTCATGGAGTGGGATGGGGTAAGCCCCCGCGGGGGCGCTAAGGGACAGCTGTTTCAGAAGATAGGGGAAATCAGGCCGGGAGTGGTGTCTCACACCTGTAATCCTAGCACTTCGGGAAGCCGAGGCGGGGGGGGGCGGGGGGGGTTCACCTGAGGTCAGGAGTTCGAGACCAATCTGAACAACGGGGTGAAATCCCGTCTCTACTAAAAATACAATAGCTGGGCGTGGTGGCTCGCATCTGTAGTCCCAGCTACTCAGGAGGCTGAGGCAGTAGAATCGCTTGAACCCGGGAGGCGGAGGCTGCAGTGAGCAGAGATTGCGTCACTGCACTCCAGCCTGGGCGACACAGAAAGACTCCGTCTCAAAAAAAAACAAAAAACAAAAAACACAATGCCTCGGGACTGTCCCGGGAGGTGAGGCCCCCACGATTGGCGAGAAAGGTGGGCAGCCACGAGGGCCTTCTGAAGGGATGAGCCGGGCGGGCGGAGGGGAGGGGTCTGGCAGGCAGGAAATAAAGCGATACTCTCAGACTAGCGGGACGGGGATTGCCATGGGGGTAGTGGGGGATGTCAGGCCCGGCCGGGCCAGCGGTCACCTTGATTGGGGCCATGGCTGCAGCGGCTCTGCTGAAACTGCGGACCCCGCCAGACGCCCACTCTCCTTCACTGTACCGTCTTGCTGCCGCTGCCGCAGACTGACCGCCGGCCCCACCGACGAGTATATAGCCCGCTGAGCGTCTCAGGGCGCACACGCCAGCTAGTCCCATACCCGCCCCACGGCCACTTCCACTCCGCCTCCTGGCTGGTGCCACCGCAGCAGGCGGGGCACCGCTAGCGGCACAGCGGCGACACCCTGCGGAAGGCGGGCCTGGGCCGCCTCCACTGCGCAGGCGCGAGCGGCCACCCGCAGAACAGAGCTTCCGGGACCCACGCCTCGTTTGCACTGGGTGCTGGACAGCCGACGCAACTACAAATGGGGCGGAGCTTTCGGCACTGGAGCAGCTAATTTGCATATAGGAATGAGGTGCGGCTCGGCTTCCATGGGCCTAATTTACAGATAGGGCGGTATTTCTGCCCCTTAACCGAAAGTGGGATACAGAGGACGACGGTGTTAGGCGCCTGTGTAGGAGTAAAATGTGTTTATTTTGCATTCAACGAGAGCTCCTGCATTGCAGCTATTTTGCATATGATTTGCATCTTACGAAGAATTTGTGGCAAAAAAAAGCTGGGCGTGCGCCGTAGGAACCTCCTGCTGAGACGCTTCCGGTAGCGGCGCGTGACCCGACAGGTCTTTCACCTACCTACCTCAGCTCCCACAAACACGAGAAGTTCCAGCAAGTTCGCCACTTCCGGTTCTCCTGGCTATCCAATAGCATCGAGAGGAGCATCCCCGGAAGTGAGGCAGCGGAGGACGACCTTTTTCCGGTTCCGGCCTGGCGAGAGTTTGTGCGGCGACATGAAACTGCTTACCCACAATCTGCTGAGCTCGCATGTGCGGGGGGTGGGGTCCCGTGGCTTCCCCCTGCGCCTCCAGGTACCCGCCGGCGGCAGTCTTCCCTTTTCGGGCGGGATGGTGGGCCGGGGTCCAGTGCTTGCCTAAACTCCTCCGCCCTGCAGGCCACCGAGGTCCGTATCTGCCCTGTGGAATTCAACCCCAACTTCGTGGCGCGTATGATACCTAAAGTGGAGTGGTCGGCGTTCCTGGAGGCGGCCGATAACGTGAGGATCCTTACCCCGCCCCAGCATATCCCGGGGAATGCGGGGCGGGCACACCTCAGCCGGGCTGAGGCGGGAGTTCGGGATGCCCGGAGATAATTTTGGCCTCTTGCCCACAGTTGCGTCTGATCCAGGTGCCGAAAGGGCCGGTTGAGGGATATGAGGAGAATGAGGAGTTTCTGAGGACCATGCACCACCTGCTGCTGGAGGTGAGAAGCGGCCCATCACTTGCTTCCCGGGCCACCTGCCTCCCGCACTGAGGCTGCCAGTGCTCAGCTCTGTCCCTCCCTGCCCGCAGGTGGAAGTGATAGAGGGCACCCTGCAGTGCCCGGAATCTGGACGTATGTTCCCCATCAGCCGCGGGATCCCCAACATGCTGCTGAGTGAAGAGGAAACTGAGAGTTGATTGTGCCAGGCGCCAGTTTTTCTTGTTATGACTGTGTATTTTTGTTGATCTATACCCTGTTTCCGAATTCTGCCGTGTGTATCCCCAACCCTTGACCCAATGACACCAAACACAGTGTTTTTGAGCTCGGTATTATATATTTTTTTCTCATTAAAGGTTTAAAACCAAAAGCGGTTTCTCTTTGCAGCAAATATACATTAAAATAGAGTCTCTGTACAGCCAAGGGCTCTGGGCCCTGGCTTGCCCCATGTCCCTGCGCCTCCCTGGCCAAACCCAAAAATAAATATAGTGTTATTGCTCTGCAGGGCATAGAGGCAGTGCTCTCCTACCCCCTGAGGAGGCTCGTTGGGAGCTGATGGGGAAGCCCTGGCCACCCCAGGGGTCCAGGGGCTGGAGTCTGCTTGGAGTTATTGCTTCAAGGGGGGACACTAATGCCCAATGCAAATGATGAGAGGAGGAGCGAAGGGGGCATGGGCCTTTGCTCTCCAAGTCCCACTCTGCTTTGAAGAGGGGGTAGGATTAAGCAGCAGCAAAAGCATCACCCACTGGGAGACTCTGGCCTCCATCCCCTTCCCTCCCTGAGATAGGTTTCTGCCTCCCACGCATCCCGTGCAGCCCCCTATGGCTTCCGCAAGGCCCCCTACACTCTGGGGGCACGTTATGGCTTGCAAGGGGCAGCACTGTGCCCAGAGCCTGGACACACGTTCCCAGCTTCTGACACCCCCTAGGAGGGGGAGGAGAGGGCGTGGGGCCTGTTCCCAGGGGCTGATGGCATTGCCCTGGCCCTGCCAGCAGGCTGTGGCACTGCCCAGACCCCAGCTCCGCCCCAGCCCTTGGGGCTGACCCCATGCTAGGCAGGTCCTGCCAGAACCCCCACCAGTCCCACCCCTTGCCTCAGTCCATCATGGCCTCGAGCATCTCCAAGAACAGCTTGTGCATGGGCACCTTGCCCTCCAGCTTCACCCCATAGAAATGGGCCAGCACTTTGCCCGCTGTCTGGCGGAGGAGCGGTAGCGTGAGCAGCAGCCTGCCCGCCCGCCGCCGCTCAGCACCCCCTCCGGGGCCAGCCCGGCCGGCTTCATACTCCAGCAGGGCCTCGTGCAGAGCTTCTCGCAGCTGCTCCACAGCCTCGGCATCTTCGATGTGCACAGAGTCTGCAAGAAGAGAGGAATGTGGTGTTGGCCTGGGCTATCTCTGGCAAGGGCACTCCCCGTATCTTGAGCACTGCTGGATGGGGCCTAAGGAAGAGCCAAACGAGGATTTGTTGATTGGCTGACTGAGAGGCACCACTCATTGCTGCGGCTCGTGGGCCAGGACCCCACCCTCTCTCCCTCAACTGTGGCCACCTTGTACCCTCCCCACCTTCCCTCCCACTAAATGACCTTTCTGCATTAGTGTGGCACTAGGGCTCAAAATCCTGTGTGCAGTTTGGAGCCTGCACTTGGCTTGCTTTTTGACTTCTAGCAAGTCATTGTTCTTCCCTAAGCCTCAGTTTTCGTTATCTGCAAAATGGGGCTGTGCTACCGTCACTGAGTTAACCTGAAGACCTTACGGAGACACCTCACCTGTCAGTGCCTGCCCCAGACTCACCTGAATTGGCAAGGGCCAAGGCCTTTAGTAGAACATACTCCTCTCGCTCCAGCCGCAGGGCCTGCAGCCGCCGCACTAGTTGCAGCAGGGCAGCCCCCAGTTCCCCCAGGCCAGCTGCCCGTGCCCCCTCTTCATCCAGGACTAAGTCCTCAGCGAAGGCCAGCTCATCCTGCAGTGGCAGTGAGCGCTGGGCCACACCCAGCACCAGCACCTCCATCCACACGCTCTGCAGTACTGACATCTGGTCAGACAGCGACAGCGATGAGAAGCCTAGGGGGCAGCGGGGAGCGGGCCTGGCTGAGCAAGCGCACCAGAGCCGGGCCCGTTCAGGGCAGCCCCGGGTCACCTGGGCCCTTTACCTGGGATGCTCTTGGCCCAGCTGATGGTGACCACAATCTCTCGGTCAAAGAGGTCACAGAGGGTAGCCACGGCTGGGAGGTGCCCATCAGGGCCTGCGGGGTCAGGCATGGCATAGAGCTTCTCAGGCTCAACCACCAGCAGATGAGACACCAGTGCATTCACTGGGGCTGCTGTGACAATTAGAGGACAAGAGTCAGGAGCACTCGAATCTGTCAGGCCTCAGGGGTCAAGCATCTTCCCACAGTGGCTCCCCCTGTGGCCTTCCTCAGTAGCAGCTGTCCAGTGACTTCCCTCCAGGGAAGAGCGCTAACTGTCTCCCAGGGAAAGCCCGTGTGTTTGTGGACAGGCTGTGAGTGTTGGAAAATCGTCCCTGTTCCCAGTTCTACTACTTTTCCTGATGCAGGAAAAGGCAGTTTCACATGTCTTGGGGAAATGAGTGAGTGAAGAGACGAAGGGGAAATACAGGTCCCAGTGCCCAAGGTAACTATGATGCCACACATAGGCCTCCGGTTTCGTAGCCCCAGGTACCCACAGTGCTCTCACCTGTCTTCCGGGGGCCTCCAGCGACTGCCAGGGGCCCAGCAGGGAAGGGGCCCGGGAAGGGCAGTGGGTCCACCTCCGGCCGCCGCTTGTACTTCTGCCGCCCACCCCGGACGCGGTCCAGGCGCACTCCTTGAATTGTGGGACAGATAGGACTGTGACTGTGGTGCTGTGGGCAGGGTGGGGCTTGCTCTCCAGAGCTGTCCTCCCCGAGTCCACTCACCAGAACTCCCAGGCCTCACCCCCACCTGGCCCGGGTCCCCGACTCCCCCAGCCCTCGCCCAGCCCCTGCCCAGCGCTCACCCTCCTTGAGCATGCCCACCCGCAGGCACTTGGTGAAGCGGCAGGCCTGGCAGGCCTTGCGTCTCCGCTTGGTGATCTCACACTCGTTGGAGGCCGGACAGCTGTACTCGATGCTCCCTGCCAGGAAGAGGCAGGGCTCCAGTGGCGGCCTCCCGGGGCTGGGAGGGGACCCAGCTGACAGGAGAGCCCTGACTCTCCCCGGGCAAGCACAGGTCTGGGGGTATGGGGAGGAAAGGGAGAGCAGGGGGCCATGAGCAGGCAGGGAGGGGAGTGGCTGCTGGGCGGGGGAGCCCTGCCTGGATGAGGGAGGAGCTGGACCAGGCAGCGGGGCTGCATCTCAGCCCCAAGCCTCATCTCTGGACCACACTGCCCTCATCTGCCGACATCAAGGGCCACAAGGACCTCTGCATTGCTAAATCCAGTGGTCAATTCTTAGTCCTCATGTTACTTGGCCTAAAAGGAGGATCTAAGGCTGTTGATCACTTCCTGCTCCTAGAAACACTGAAACACTTTCTTCTTTTGCTTCTAGGACAGCATACACTCTGGTTTTCCTCCCACCGCACCAGCCACTTTGTGGTTTCTGAGCATCTTCCCAAGCTCTTCCATCCAGACTGCCAGGGCTGTCCTTGGAGCTCATCTCCAATCCCATGGCAATCTTCCCCAGCCGTGGGGCTCTCACGTTTCTACCTCTAGCCTGGACTTGCTGTGAGCTCCAGACCCATCTCTCCAGCTGCCTCCTTGACATCCTGCATGTCTAGAAGGCATCTCGGACCGAACACAGCCTACGTGGACTCCACGTGTTCACTTGCCCAAGAAGAAACCTAGGCAGAATCTCTGGTTCCTCTCACACCCCACATCCAAGCCACCGACACATTCTGGTGGGCTTTACCTCCTCCAAGGTCCAGAATCCGCCTCCTGCCCCTGGCAACTACTTCCACCCTTGACCTGATAGTCACTGTCACCTCGCCCCTCGCTTGGCTGTCCCTGCTTGCTCCAGTCTGTTCTCGACTCAGCAGCCAAGAGGGTCCTATTAAGCCTCCATTACATCCTGTACCTCCTCTTCTCAAAACCCTCTGGGGATTTCCCTTCTCTGAGTCCAAGCCAAAGCGAACCTATGTCCTCCTAGGCCTACGCCCCTGCTTCTTGCCTCCTTTTGACCTCTACTCCTTGCTCTCGCCTCCTCCATGTTCCTCAAACAGGCCCTGCCTGGAGCTCTAGTCCTGAAGTCCACACAGGCTCCCTCACCTCCCTCTGCTCACTGTCACCTTGAAGATCTTCCCTGGCCACCCTGTGATAATGCCAAATCCCTTTGCAGAGTCCTCCTGGCCTCTGAGCCCTGCTTCTGGTTTCTCTTCAGCCCTCAGCACAACAGACCACGCTGCATATGCACTCACCTATCTTGTTTATTACGCCTCCCCCTTCAGTGGCAGCTCCACCGGGGCAGGAACTGGCCCCAGCACTAGCAACGAGGCCTGGCACATGGTGGGTGCTGGCAGCCCTCCCGGCCTCACAGGGCCCCGCAACGACCAAATGACACAGCTAGACAGCAGGCCCGCAGCACATTTCTCCTCGCGGTGCATTTTCTCCTACCCCCTATTTGCGCTTCTGCACTCAGCTCAAGACACCACGGCCGGGCACGGTGGCTCACGCCTGTAATCCCAGCACTTTGGGAGACCGAGGTGGGTGGATCACCTGAGGTCAGAAGTTCAAGACCAGCCTGGCCAACATGGTAAAACCCCGTCTCTACTAAAAGTACAAAAATTAGCTGGGTGTGGTGGCAGGCACCTGTAGTCCCAGCTACTCAGGAGGCTGAGGCAGGAGAATCGCTTGAACCCGGGAGGCAGAGGTTGCAGTGAGCCGAGATTGTGCCACTGCACTCCAGCCTGGGTGACACAGTGAGACTCCATCTCGAAAAAAAAAAATTAGCCGGACATGGTGGTGCATGTCTGTAATCCCAGCTGCTCCGGAGGCTGAGGCAGGAGAATCGCTTGAACCCGGGAGGCAGAGGCTGCAGTGAGCCAAGATCGTGCCATTGCACTCCAGCCTGGGCAACCAGAGCGAAACTCTGTACCAAAAAAAAAAAAAGGCCAGGCGCAGTGGCTCACGCCTATAATCCCAGCACTTTGGGAGGCCGAGGCAGGCAGATCACGAGGTGAGGAGTTTGAGACCAGCCTGACCAACACGGTGAAACCCTGTCTCTACTAAAAATACAAAAATTAGCTGGGCGTGTGCCTGTAGTCCCAGCTACTCGGGAGGCTGAGGGAGAACAATCGCTTGAACCTGGGAGGCGGAGGTTGCAGTAAGCTGAGATCGTGCCACTGTACTATAGCCTGGCAACAGAGTGAGACTCTGTCTAAAAAAAAAAAGAGGCCGGGAGCGTAATCCCAGCACTTTGGGAGGCCGAGGCGGGTGGATCACGAGGTCAGGAGATCGAGACCATCCTGGCTAACATGGTGAAACCCAGTCTCTACTAAAAATACCAAAATTAGCCGTGCGTGGTGCCATGCGCCTGTAATCCCAGCTATTGGGGAGGCTGAGGCAGGAGAATCGCTTGAACCCGGGAGGCGGAGCTTGCACTGAGCCGAGATCGCGCCACTGGACTCTAGCCTGGGCAACAAAGCGAGACTCCGTCTCAAAAAAAAAAAAAAAAAGACAAGCCCTCTGGAGCCTCAGAACCAGCACCTCCCCTTCCTGCACATACCACAGCGGTAATAAGACAAGTCTGTGCAACTCACTGTTGCCCAGCTCTCCCCTCTGCCAGGATGTAAACTGCCTGAGGGCAGAAACAGCCCTGCTTCAGCCCCAGCTATGTCCCCAAGGCCTGGAACACTGGCCAGGACAGCAAAGAACAGGTCTGTGCCGAACAGGGACTCTGGCTACCACATACCTTTATGACCTTGGGCAAGTCCCATACCTAACCCCTTGAACCCTCAGTTTCCCAGCTGTAAAAGTGCCCCACAGAGTTGGGTCGTGAGAATTAAAGGGGATAATATGGTCAAAACATCCAGCATGGTTCATGACACCTAAGTGCTCAATATACAAGTCCTATTCACAGCCAGCACACAATAAATATTTGTCAATAGTCAACATACAGTGAGGGGCCCCAGGGTAGGTAGGAGATACCCGCACCCTGGCCGGCTGGCTCACTGTTCTTCAGAGTGGGAAGGGTGCACAAAGTTTAAGATTGGTGGATTTTGGCCAAGTTAAAACTTGCTGGATTGGCGGGGTGCAGTGGCTCACACCTATAATCCCAGCACTTTGGAAGCCCGAGGAGGGCAGATCGCCTGAGGTCAGGAGTTTGAGGCCAGCCTGGCCAACATGGTGAAACCCCATCCCTACTAAAAACACAAAAATTAGCCGGGCATGGTGGCAGGCGCCTGTAATCCCAGCTACTTGGGAGGCTGAGGCAGGTGAATGGCTTGAACCCGGGAGGCAGAGGTTGCAGTGAACCACGACTGCAGGCCGTTGCACTCCAGCCTGGACAACAAGAGCAAAACTCCATCTCAAAAAAAAAAAAAAAAAAAAAAAAAACCTGGCCAGGAGCAGTGGCTCACGCCTGTAATCCCAGCACTTTGGGAGTCCAAGGCAGGTGGATCTCGAGGTCAGGAAATCAAGACCATCTTGGCTAACACGCTGAAACCCCGTCTCTACTAAAAGTACAAAAAATTAGCCAGGCGTGGTGGCGGGCACCTGTAGTCCCAGCTACTCAGGAGGCTGAGGCAGGAGAATGGTGTGAACCCGGGAGGCGGAGCTTGCAGTGAGCCGAGATCGTGCCACTGCACTCCAGCCTGGGCGACCACACGAGACTGTCTCAAAAAAAAAAAAAAAAACGTGCTGGAATGTCACAATCAGTCATTCAGCGTCTGTCCAAAGTTCGGTGTTATTAGTAATAAGCAGAGGAAGCAGTCTAACATTGAAGAGCTCAGCTCTGGACCTATACTGACCCAAGTTCAAATCTTGGTTCTGCCATTTCCTAGTTGTGAGACTTCAACAAAGTTTCAAATGCCTCTCTTAGTTTCAGTTATAACAGTACTGACACCTTATAGGGTTGCTGTGGGGACTAACTGAGATCATAAAAGAATACAGTGCCTAGCACAAGGTAAGCACTCAAGATTTTTTTTTTTTTTTTTTTTTTGATACGAACTCTCACTCTGTCACCCAGGCTGGGAGTGCAGTGGCACGATCTTGGCTAACTCCAACCTCTGCCTCCTGGGTTCCAGCAATTCTCCTGCCTCAGCCTCCTGAGTAGCTGGGACTACAGGCACCCACCACGACACCTGGCTAATTTTTGTATTTCTAGTACAGACAGGGTTTCACCATGTTGGCCAGGCTGGTCTCGAACTCCTGACCTTGTGATCCTCCCATCTTAGCCTCCGAAAGTGCTGAGATTACAGGTGTGAGCCACCACACTTGGCCTTTTTTTTTTTTTTTTTAATTATACGTGTTATAGCCCCCAAAGTAACCAATGGTTACATAAAAGCAGAAATAACGGAAATAATAGGCCCTTCCCAGGCAATGCTTAATGTCAGCATCTTGCTCATTCCCCCAAATTCTGATAAGCTTTCCTGAGTGAGAAAAAAATTAGTGACTTTTAAGAGCAGACATGCCTGTAAGTCCTTTTTTTTTTTTTTTTGAGATGAGAGTGTCTCATTCTGTTGCCCAGACTAGAGTGCTGTGGCATGATCTCAGCTCACTGCAACCTCTGCCTCCCGGGTTCAAGCAATTCTCCTGCCTCAGCCTCCCAAGTAGTGGGATTACAGGCACTCACCACCACGCCCGGCTAATTTTTGTATTTTTAGTAGAGACGGGGTTTTACCATGTTGGCCAGGCTGGTCTCGAACTCCTGACCTCGTGATCCGTCTGCCTCAGCCTCCCAAAGTGCTGGGATTACAGGCCATGAGCCACCAAGCCCAGCGTTTTTGGGTTTTTTTGTTTTTGTTTTTGTTTTTGTTTTTTGAGGTGGAGTTTCACTTTTGTTGCGCAGGCTAGAGTGCAATGGCGCGATCTGGGCTCATTGCAACCTCTGCCTCCCAGGTTCAAGCAATTCTCCTGTCTCAGCCTCTTGAGTGGGATGACAGGCGCATGCCACCATGCTTGGCTAATTTTTGTATTTTCAGTAGAGACGGGGTTTCATCACATTGGTCAGGCTGGTCTCAAACTCCTGACCTCAGGTGATCCGCCCGTCTCGGCCTCCCAAAGTGCTGGGATTACAGGCATGAGCCACCGCGCCCAGCCTTTTTTTTTTTTTTTTTGAGACGGAGTCTCACTCTGTCGCCCAGGCTGGAGTGCAGTGGCGTGATCTTGGCTCACTGCAACCTCCGCCTCCTGGGTTCACGCCATTCTCCTGCCTCAGCCTCCCAAGTAGCTGGGATTACAGGCGCCCGCCACCATGCCCAGCTAATTTTTTGTATTTTTAGTAGAGACAGTGTTTCACCGTGTTAGCCAGGATGTTCTCAATCTCCTGACCTCATGATCCGCCCGCCTCGGCCTCCCAAAGTGCTGGGATTACATGAGCCACAGTGCCCGGCCTTTTTTTTTTTTTTTTGAGATGGAATCTCGCTCTGTCACCCAGGCTGGAGTACAGTGGTGTGATCTTGGCTCACTGCAACCTCTGCCTCCTGGGTTCAAGCAATTCTCCTGCCTCAGCCTCTCAAGTAGCAAGTAGCTGAGATTACAGGCGCGAGCCACCATGCCCAGCTAATTTTTTGCATTTTTAGTAGAGATGCGGTTTCACCACCCTGGCCAGGCTGGTCTCGATCTCCTGACCTCAGGTGATCCGCCCACCTTGGCCTCCCAAAGTGCTGGGATTACAGGTGTGAGCAACTGTGTCCGGCCTTGCCTGTTAGTCTTTTTAAAGTTGGGTGCTAAACTATGATGTAGCCCCTCTCAAGTACTGATAAAAATCTGCCTTGTTTTGGGAGGCCGAGGCAGGTGGATCATTTGTGGTCAGGAATTCCAGACCAGCCTGGCCGACATGGTGAAACGTCGTCTCTACTAAAAATACAAAAATTAGCTGGGCGTGGTGGTGCACACCTGCAGTCTCAGCTACTCAGGAGGCTGAGGCAGGAGAATCTCTTGAACCCAGGGGCAAAGGTTGCAGTGAGCAGAGATTGTGCCACTGCACTCTAGCCTGAACAACAGAGTGAGACTCTGTCTCAAAAAAAAAAAAATTAAAATCTGCCTTGTGTTGGTGCTGCTTTGGGAAAATTAACAAAAAGGGGACATGTTCTATGCTGGGGAGAGGTCAGAAGCTGCCAGAAACAAGAACAAAGCTTAGGAACAGACAGAGGCTGCCTTGGACTCTTTCAGAGCCACTGTAGAAGGTGCTGGGCCTAGAGTACCCAGGTGGTACCCTGAACTCACTCACATCCACTGCAATGCATCAGCACACCCGGTGCTTTTACCATACTTCTCAGGGAAAGAGTGTCTCTGGGAGGTAGAGGGACTGGAAACACCAGATTGTTAGCCTCAAGCGGTGCCACAGCCATCAGGGGGCCTATTGCACCCAGCAGTGTACCCAGAGGGTGCAGGGCAAAGGACAGGGGAGTGGGCTGGGGGCTCACCCTGGATGGTCCTCTTGAAGAAGGCTTTGCAGGCCTCACAGGATGCCACACCATAGTGGTAGCCGGAGGCCACGTCCCCACAGACCAGGCAGAGGCGCTTGGGCAGGGAGCTGAGCACCAGCTTCCCACCGCCCTGCTCGCCAGGCCCAGCCCCCTCCCCATCCTCCTCTTCCTTGTGGCCTGGGAGGCAGCGAGTGGGAGCTGGACCAGGGGCCAGGGCCACAGGAGGCTCGGTCTCTGTCTCCGAGGAACCCTTTGGACTGTCAGGGCTGGCCGGCTCTGCCTTGATGTAGAGAGGCTCAATGCCCACCACCTGGCTGGACATGGCGCTGGTCACCTGCACGGAGAGACCCATAGGTTCGCAGGAAAGCACTGGTATGGGGGATGGGAGACACCCTGCCACACGGGTTGCCCAACCTCGGGCCTAGGGCCAGGCTTCCAAGCCCAGCAAGTGGGGAAGAAGGGGGGCAGAGTCCAAGGAAGGACTGCCCAGGAACACTGCCCCCTCCTAGCTGTTGCCATGGAAACAGAGTCTTCAGGGCCAGTAACTGACAGCAGGTCTCCCCCTTGGGAACCTGGGGGAGGCTTAGAAAGCCCCTACTCCCACCCAGGCCAGGGAGCAGGGTAACCGTAGCCCCCAGGCAACCTTCAACCCCACCTGGAATCCCTAGCCAGGAGCAGGATACTTCCCAGTTTTCTCCAGATGTTGGGGGGACCTCTGAGACCCTGCCCTCATCTGGGTATTCTGCATTGGAGAGCAGACCCAAGGCCAGTGGACGTGCTCACACCGAGTTCACACACTCCACTCACCGGGGTGCTCAGGAGCCCCACAAGCCCACGCAGGCTCGCTCTCTGCTGAGGGCTTTCACACTTGCACCGGCCTTCCCAAACCCGTGCTCACTCCTGCTCACACTTGTGCTCACACACTTCTCCTGGAGCGCACACCCCATCCACGAACTCAGTCAAGGCTCATGATCACACACACTCTCACTAGGTCTCCCCACATCCACACGCACAGGCACGGACTCATGAAAACACCTCCAGAGCTTTTCACACCTGACACGCGGCTGCCCTCCTGCCCCAGCATGCCGGTCCCAGGCACACGGCGGGCGCCGCTCCACCTCCTCGCGACCAGCCTGCAGGTCCACTCTTATACTCCCGCTGTCGCAGAGGCCGCCACCTCCCGGGGCGCCGCGTCCCGCCCCCAACCTGCGCACACCTTTGGGAAGTTGCCTAAAGTTGCTACGCCTCCCCCTCCCCGCCCGCGGGAGACCTCTACCAGGTTATCAGGAAGTAAGTGGGGAGAGCCAAGGAGGAGGAAGTTCTCCCCTGCCGGTGCGATGACCTTTGACCCAGAGAGGAGGGTGGCCCCAGGCCCCTTCGAGCGCCCCCACGTGGTCTTCAGAGCCCCTTCCCAGACATAGAGCCCTCCCCGTCTTCCACCCCGGCCAGCCCCAGGGACTTCGGCAAATGCGGGATTGAACCCTGCCCCGGAGCGGGCTGGATCGGAGGCCCAACCCTGACCCGAGTCAGGACCCGCAGCCAGAGCCAGATCCTGCCCCAGGCCGGCCCACCAGGACTCGGACGCCGGATCCCGCCTGAACCCTGACCAGTCCGACCCTCGACTGGGTCCCAACCGTGGCCCGGACTGGCCCCAGAGTCGGACCCCGCCTGCAGCCCGCCCCGCCCGCCTCCCTGCCGCGCTCGCACATGGCCCCCGCGCCCCGCCCGCCCACCCCCGCGGCAGCGCTCCCCTCCGCCCCCGGACCTGGGGCTCCGGCAGCGCGGTCGGGCAGGCATGGGGGCCGAGCGGCCCGGAGTGCCGGAGTGAGCCGGGGGCCGCGGGCGGCCCCTCCTCCGCCGCCTCCTCGGGCCGCGCCGCCCCACCGCGCCGCGTCCCCTCACTCGGCGGCGCCGCCGGCTGCTTGTAGGACACAAAAGGACATCGCGGCCGCTTCCTACTCCGCTTCCTCCAGCTGACAGCGGGGGTGGGGCCGGCCGTGCGCATGCAAAGCAGGGGGCGGGGCCCGGGGTCCTATGCTAATCAGACCAGCGGGGCGGGCGGCGCCTGCGCGCCCGGACGAGTCGGGGCGGAGCCGGCAGCGCCAGTGGGCGGGCCTTCGTGCAGGTCCCGCCCCGCAGCCCGCCGAGCCACTGCGGCGCACATGCGTACGCGGCCCCTGGGAGGGGCGGGGCCGGAGACGCGGAGGGCGGGGACAATAGAGCCGAGAGCAAGTGGGGCCAGAAGCGCTCTTTCGTAACGGAGGAGGCGGGGCTTGCTGCGCGCGAGAGGAGTGGGCGAGGCGGTGCAGGCTGCAGTCGCGGAGCCAAGAGACCACTTACAGATGAAAACGCAAGGGCGGGACGAGCGGAGAGGCTGGACCTGCTACCTATGCTTGAGGGGCGGAGCCTAGCGCGCCGTCGCGAGGAGGGAGGTGCTGCCCCGTTCCCCCTACCCCCTTCCCCCAAAGCGACACCAACTGAGCACTCGAACCGTAGACCCAGTAGCCCCACAGAGCTGCGGAACTCGGGGTGGGTGAAGCCGACTTAAAACATGCAATAAGTCCTGGATTGCGAGTCCCGGAAGGTAGGGCCGATAGGGCCCGGACGGAGAAAGCTCAAGGTCACTGCGGTGACCGAATGAAGGTCACTGCGGTGACCGAATGAAGGTCACGGGGAAGGGCGGGGCCACGTGCGTCCGCCTCACGCGGGCTGTCCTGCACTGACTCACGGACCATGCATCGACTCTTTTATTTCTTTAGGACTCAAATTCCACTCGGATGGGGTCAGGCTTGGGTCTGGGGACCGGGCTGGCACGGGGCTGGTTCGGGTCGCTGCTCGAGCCCAAGGTGGCGTTTTTAATTCACGTACAGCCTCTTGCTCCGGCGCTTCTTGAGCCCTTCGATGTATCGCTGCAGCTCCTTAGTCAGGAAGTGGTCCCTGCCGATCCCTAACTGGTAGCCTAGGAGGAGGGCAGAGCTCGGCTCAGGGCAGTGAGCAACCGAAAGGTCTCCCCACCAGGGGGCGCCGCATGTGTGATTCGAGGAACCGCAGATGATTCGAGGTAGCAGTAGCGCAGGGCACTCAGGTCTGTGTTAGCCTGGGGAACTTTGCATCTCTAAGGGTGCTGAGTGTTAAGGTGGAGGATGGATGAGGTCAAGGCTAGGGAAGAGGTTGCAGGCCTGAACTAGGGCGGTGGTAGCGAGCAGTTTGCCCACCTTCTGGACCAGCCACCCACTCTAAGCCATCAGCTGGCCCTTTATCACCGCTGGGCTTTCCTACCACAGCAGCAAAAGTTCACCCACATAATCCACTGTCCAAAGGCTCCTCACAACTCCCCAACCAGAGGCAGTCGAGGCCACACCAAGGCGGTCATCCCACTGTGCAGGTGGAGAAACAGCCACAGAAAAGCCTCCCTCAGCTGGAGAGGGGCTGCACTCAGCCTGGAGCCCAGGCCTCTGCCCATCACCACATGTCCCCCACTGGGTCTTCCTGTGCCCAGTCCCTCAGCTTTTAACTTTTATGGGGCCCTTGGAATACTTGTGAGTGCCAAGGGCATCTGACAAGACATAAGGCACCCTGAAACCCCACCCCCCTGGGCCCCAGCCCTGCAAAATCCACCAGAATCTGTCGTGGGAGTTCTTGGGGGTTGGCGGGGAGCTTACTCCGGAGGGCTTTGGTGAGGATTTCCAGAGCTTCATTCTCCATGAGTTCCATCAGGGGCAGTGGCAGCTGGAGAAGCAGCAAGAGGCTTAGGCGTCCAGGTACTTCATCTCTGCCCACAGCTGAAATGCCCCCACCTCCTCCCTGTGGCCCCCAAACCCCCAACCAGCCTGCCTGCCCCTCCACCCTGCCAACCACCCCCAACTTTCATATCCTATCAACCCCCAATTTGCCTATCCCCTACCCCACCGAAACGCCCAGTCTCCCCAGCCCCTCCAACCCTGCTCTGCTGCTCTGCCCAGTAGGCTCGATGGGGCATGTGCTTCGCAATATTGAGTGATGACATTGAGGAAGACTTTTCTGGGAGAAGAGAAAAAAGGGTTAGTCATCCGCAGACTCCTGGGCCTTCCCTGGAGCACAGGAGATGGGTAGGCACCTTGTGAGAGGGAATGGCCTTCAGAGACCAGCTCCTGGTGCAGCCTTGGGGTCAGCATGGGACAGAGGTTACAACCCTGGGCTTTAGAGCCCCACCCACATGGTTCCAGTAATGACTGCCCCACAGTGTGACACTTAGGACCAGTGACTGACACTCTCTGACCCTCAAGTTCTTCATCAGTAAAATGGGGTAATAAGAACAGCTCTTGGCCGGGCACGGTGGCTCATGCCTGTAATCCTAGCACTTTGGGAGGCCAATGTGGGCGGATCACAAGGTCAGGAGTTCGAGACCAACCTGGCCAACATGGTGAAACCCCCGTCTCTACTAAAAATACAAAAATTAGCCGGGCTTGCTGGCAAGTGCCTGTAATCCCAGCTACTCGGGAGGCTGAGGCAGGAGAATCACTTGAACCAGGGAGGCGGAGCTTGCACTGAGCCGAGATCGTACATCTGCACTCCAGCCTGGGTGAAGAAGTGAGACTCTGTCTCAAAAAAAAACTAAAAAAAAAAAAAAAAAAAAGAACAGCTCTTGGCTCTTGGCCAAGTGGTGGCTCACGCCTGTAATCCAGGCACTTCGGGAGGCCAAGGTGGGCAGATCACAAGATCAGGAGTTCAAGACCAGCCTGGCCAATATGGTGAAACACCGTCTCTACTAAAAATACAAAAATTAGCCAGGCATAGTGGCAGGCACCTGTAATCCCAGCTACTCAGGAGGCTGAGGCAGGAGAATTGCTTGAACCGGGGAGGCGGAAGTTGCAGTGAGCCAAGATCGCACCATTGCACTCCAGCATGGGCAACAGAGTGAGAATCTGACTCAAAAATAAATAGCCGAGCGCGGTTGGCTCACGCCTGTAATCCCAGCACTTTGGGAGGCCGAGGTGGGCGGATCACGAGGTCAGGAGATTGAGACCATCCTGGCTAACAAGGTGAAACGCTGTCTCTACTAAAAATACAAAAAATTAGCCGGGCGTGCTGGCAGGCGCCTGTAGTCCCAGCCACTCCAGAGGCTGAGGCAGGAGAATGGTGTGAACCTGGGAGGCAGAGCTTGCAGTGAGCCGAGATGGCACCACTGCACTCCAGCCTGGGCGACAGAGTGAGACCCCGTCTCAAAAAATATAATAAAAATAAATAAATAAAAAATAAATAGCTCTTTATGGAGGTTGTGAAGTTTGAAGGTGACAATCCAGGGGAAGCCCCGTGCCTGGCACACAGCAAGTGCTCAATATGTAACCATTGTTATACTGTTATTGGTTCTTACTCTCTGATGAAGTAGTTTGAGGGGGTGCCAGACAGTGCCCAGCACGTAGTAGGGGCTTAGAAATTGTAACCAGCAACTGACTAATGGAAAGACGTACACCTCCTCAACCAGCGCAAATCATAAGACAAGGAGTTAACTCTTGCAACTGGTGGGATGATTCCATTAAAAACACAGGTCTCGCCGGGCATGGTGGCTCACACTTGTAATCCCAATACTTTGGGAAGCCGAAGCAGGAGGATCACTTGAGCCCAGGAGTTTGAGACCAGCTGGGGCAACATGTCGAAATTTTCTCTACAAAAAATAAAAAATTAGCTGAGCAGGATGGTGCCGGCCTGTCCTCCCAGCTCGGGGTGGTGGGGGTGGCTGAGGTTGGAGGATACCTTGAGCCTAGGAGTTTGAGGCTGTAGTGAGCTATGATCACAACACTGCACTCCAGCCTGGGTGACAAAGCAGGACGTCATCTCTAAAAAACAAAGGCCGGGCGCAGTGACTCAAGCCTGTAATTCCAGCACTTTGGGAGGCCGAGGCCGGCGGATCACTTGAGGTCAGGAGTTCGAGACCAGCCTGGCCAACATGGTGAAACTCCGTCTCTACTAAAAATACAAAAATTAGCCGCACGTGGTGGCGCGCGCCTGTAATCCCAGCTACTCGGGAGGCGGAGGTTGCAGCGAGCAGAGATCGTGCCATTGCACTCCAGTCTGGGCGACACAGCGAGACTCCGTCTCAAAAAAAAAAAAAAAAAAAAAAGTGGGAGGCGGGAGGATCACTTGAACTGCAGTGAGCTATAATCGCACCACTGCACTCCATCCAGCCTGGGCGACAGAGTGAGATCCTGTCTCAAAAACAAAACAAAACAAAACAAACAAAACAAAAAAACCCCGCAGGTCCTACCACGGGGTCTTTGCGCAATTTATTTGGTGCGTCCTTCCCCGGACTCTGCGCGTCACGACCGAAAGGCCTGTTACAACGCCTGCCCGGGAGGGGGCGCTCCAAGAATGCCTGGCGGATTTAAAGGGCGAAAGATTGGCGCGGGCGCCTCTCCCAGAGAATCCTAGAAACTTGGATCCCATCAGCTTCCCCCCATTTTACAGCTCCAGAAATTGAGTCCCTGGCCAGCTTATTGCCCTGCGGGTGCCCACGGCCTGGCGAGGCCACACTGACCGGCCTCGATCTGGGATGCAGTGTCCTTCTCCCCCAGATTGATTTCCATGGAGCTGCCGCGGTGCAACTCCAGCTCCACCAGCGCGTGCTCGTCCAGTTCCTCCGGCTTGTGGCTGGCCTTGTACCCCTCGTCCAACGAGCCCCGCCCCGGGCTGTGCCACCCGCGGGTCTTGCTAATGTTGCGGCCCTCCTCGTCGAAGCCCTCGCAGACCTCGGACAGCGGCATGTTCAGCTGTGCCTGGGACAGCGTGGTCGTGGTCCACAGGTCCCGAGTGTCGCTATGCACGCTCTCCTCGTCCGAGCCTTGGCGGTCGGAAGACTTGAGCGACACCTGTGGGCCACATACAAGGAGGGAGCCAAGGGTCGCGGATGGCTGGAGCGGGAAGGAAGAGCGGGCTGGGGAACTGAGCCGGGCCGGGTTGGGGATCCCGTAGAACGTGGGGTTGGGTGGGGGCTGCGGGCAGCCAAGGCTGAGTAAGAAATAGCGCCAGGGGCCCGAGTCGGACCAAGGGTGGGTTGGAGCGGACAGGGTAAGGGGCCTAGGGAGACGTCTTACTTTCGAAGGCTTTTCCTCCATGGTTCTGCCCCAACGGACCCAGACGCCACAGGCCTCGAGACGAGAAGGGAGTCAACGCTCCAGGAAGGGGGCGGGGCAGGGTCTCTCGCGCTGGGAGAGTTCAAACGACAGCCCTCCACGCGAGATGCCATTCTCTCTCCCCTGCCTCTCCCTCCCTGCACCCCACCCGCCAATGTGTGTGCAGAGGCTGGAGACGCGCAGCCCATCCTGGCTGATCCCCACGCCGGACCCTACACAGTCTCCTCCAGGCAGAGACGCGGGCCTGAGAGGGCCGAGACTTGACCGACCTGGGTGCCCGGGGACCCTCGGCCTGGGGGTCACGGGAGGCCAGAGGTGCCCCCACGGTGGCCCGAGGAAAGCAATTCCACACCCACTCGCGTCCGGGAGCGTCACGCCCGCAGCGGTGCAGACCGTTTTCATTTATTGATGCAGGCTTTGAGGCACAGTCGTGAGGTGCTGTGAGGGATACACCCGCCCGGGGCAGCGACACAGAAAGCCTTGGGGGGGTCTAGAGATGGATGGAAGTGAGGGAAGGGCCGGGGCCAGGGAGGAGGCGGAGAGGCAACTGTAGCCTCCTCCCCAGACTTCAGTCTCGTGGAAAGAGGGCTCTTTGGTCAAACAAGCCAGGCATGCCGGGGAGAGCAGAAACGAAGCCCTTGAGAGGCCCGGCCAGGGATCCTGCCCCTACACCGGCACGCCTTTGTCTCGGGGACGCCCGGGGCCGCGGGGCCGCACGGGCTTCCTGGGGGGATTTGGGCGGCGGCGACCTCTCGGCGCGCGGGGCAGCGGGCAGCCGCGCTCGCTCTGCGTATCCGAGGACTCGTCGATGAAGGCCAGGTTCTCGCTGGGATAATCCAGGGCCGAGGCCGTGGGCGGGGAAGGCGGCTGAGCCTTCTCGGGGGGCGAAGGGGATCGGGGCCTGCCCAGCGGCTGCGCTGGACAGGGCGGTGGAGGCAGCAGTGGCTGCTCCTTCTCCGGCGGCGGGGCGGCGGGCCCGGCTCGCTGGGTCACGCGCGCTGTCACCGTGCCAGTCCAGCTGGCAGCCTGAGCCGTGAGGCCGCCCATCTGCACGGAGAGGGAAAGCAGCCCTCGACTAGAGGTCTAGACCCCCTCCGCGACCCCCCGGGAACCTGCCCCTTCACCAGCAGGGATCAAACCCCAACCCTCTTTTCTGCCTGGTCCTCCAGCCTCAGCCAGCCCCAAGGATGGAAGGGCTCCTCCACTGGGTGCTCCCAGCAGGGTGGCAAAATACAAATCGCCTGGCTAAATGTGAATTTCAGAGAAACAACAAATAAAATTTTAGTATAAATATATCTCGTGCAATATTTGGGACATGCTTTTTTTTTTTTTTTTTTTTTTTCTTCTTTTTTTGAGACAAGTCTAGCTCTGTCATCCCGGCTGGGGTGCAGTGGTGTGATTTCAGCTCACTGCAACCTCTGCCTCCCCGGTTCAAGCGATTCTCCTGCCTCAGCCCTCCAAGTAGCTTGGATTACAGGCGCCCGCCACCACGTCCAGGTAATTTTTGTATTTTTAGTAGAGACGGGGTTTCACTGTGTTGGCCAGGCTGGTCTCGAACTCCTGACCTCGTGATCCACCCGCCTCAGCCTCCCAAAATGCTCGGATTACAAGCATGAGCCACTGCCCCCCGCCATAATAAAATTTTATTTATTTGGAATTCAAATTTAACTGAGTTTTGTTTTTGTTGTTGTTGTTAATGTTTGTTTGTTTGAGACCAGGGCTTACTCTGTCACCCAGGCTGGAGTGCAGTGGTGCAATCATGACCCACTGCTGCCTCGACCTCCCCTGGCTCAAGCGATCCTCCCATCTCAGCCTCCCGAGTAGCTGGGACTACAGGCACACACCACCACGCAGGGCTAATTTTTGTGCCTTTTCTAGAGGCGGGATCTCACCATGTTGCCTGTGCTGGCTTTCTGCATTTTTATTTGCTAAATCCGGCAATCCTACCCATGAAGGAAGAGGTGGTGAAGGTACCCACAAACTTATACCCCTCTGTTCCCTGCGGGGCACACACAGAGGCTCACTCAGCCCCTGCCTCAGGAGCCCACGCCCTGGATAGGAGACAGCCTGATCAACCCCCTGCTAGGGAACAGCACATTTGCACCACAGTGCGCAGGCACAGTGCCAACCCTGGGGCGCCTACCTCTGCCCGAGTGCGGCGGGACACTACTCGCAGCCAGTTCCCGATGGTGGTGAGCACTGAGGCGAAGTAAGCCAGGCCGAGCAGGATCCAGAACCACACCAGCGGCTGATAGGCCGGGGAGTCCTGCCTGGGGTCCGCGCCTGGGATACCACCAGGGAAGGTAGAAAGAATTGGATTGTGGGGCAAGCCTGTGAGCTCTGGTTCAGTGCCCCCCTCCCAGTTCCTGGAGAGGACCTGCCCTCCCTAGGGCAATGGGTATGTGCTTGAGTGTGTGAGTGCAGGCAGGAAAATGAGTGGTGTGCATGAGTTGAAAGTGTGCAAGATAAAAGCATGCAAGAAGGGGCGCTCCCGTGCAAGAATGTGACACATGCGAGGGGTGCATTTAATATATGTGTGAGCATGCATGGGACTCAAGCATATAAGAATGTGAGTGTGCATAAGGCGCTGGTGTGTGTGCAAGGCTGTGATGGTGCATTCCATGATGGATGCAGGGGTTAGAGCAACCACATGGGATCTGGAGGGAAAGGCAGGAGTGCAGAGCCCCTGATCAGGAATAAAGTAGATGGGAAAGTGCAGCACAAGAAGGGCGGCCTCACCGGCCACATAGTCGCCAAAGCCCACGGTGGTAAGCGTCACTATGACAAAGTAGATGGCCTCCAGCTTGCTCCAGTCCTCCATATAGCAGAACACGAACGTGGGCGTGAGGACAAAGAGCAGGCAGCCGATCAGCAGGAAAAGCATCGCCGACAGCACTCTTACTAGCTCCGGTGGCACGTGCCACTTCTGCGGGATGGGGCAGTAGGCAGGACCCAGGAGACACCAACAATCCCCACTCCCATACTCCCCACTCCCGCCCCCAGGAGCCTGTGGGAGAGGCTTATGGTCTTTGGGGGCGCGCTCATGTGCCAGGGACATGGGGAAGGGTAGCCGGAGCCCAGCACAAGGGCAGGCAGGGCATGGAGCAGCTCACCAAGAAGATGGCTTCAATGTGACCGATGCCATGGCGCAGGGAGGAGCCCAGCCGGTCCCCGACCCCTGCCAGTAGGATCCCAAACAGCGGAATCCCCACCAGCGCATAAAAGATGCAGAAGAGGCGCCCGGCATCTGTGCGCAGGGCCACATTGCCATAGCCTGGGCAGAGGGGCGATGCAGGAAGTCTAGGGGCCACCTGGGACCCCTCCGTCTCCCTGCACCTTCCCCCATGAGGAAGCTCCTTGCCGCCCCCCACATGCCAATCCCCTCCCCCACCGATGGTGGTGATGATGGTCCCTGAGAAAAAGAAGGCGCTGCCCAGGTCCCAGGCTGAGTGGCTGCTGTTGCTGGTCGAGTTGGTTTCTGGGTCCGCACCCCCTCCCAGGGCATCAGCCACCTCCTGCAGGACAAGGTGCAGAAGGAGGAGCTTCAGTTCTTCCCTCCTGTCTAGGGCAACTCGTGGCCCCTCCAGTCTCTAGGGTGGCTCCTTCCCTGCTCCTCCCTGTTCTCCCCTTCCCTTTGGTCTCCCAGGAGGCAGTCCCTTACAGCAGAAGATACAAACTGGGTCCAGTCTACCTGCAGGTGAGTTTGTTTGACTTCTACAATGTTTGAGAAACATTTTCAGTATCTGGCCCCTAACTTCAGACAACAAATTTCCACTTTTACCATGGTCAGGAGCACAGACCCTGGGACCAGACTGCCTGGGTTCAAATGTTGGTGCTATGGGACTTGAGCAAGTGAACTCTCTGGCCTCAGCTTCTGCATGTCTCAAGTGGGAAGGATAGTGACAGCATCTGCCTCCCAGATTTTTTGTGAACGTGCAACAAAGTAAGCACTGACTGTTGAGTAAGTTCCCAAGCAGTGACCACACCCTGTGTTTCCAGCTTTCCAACCCCACCACTCCCATTGCACCTATGGAAGCTGAATTTGAGTCCCTTTCCTTAGAAAATCTCAAGAAAGCTAGGGACTTTCTCTCCAGGAAGGTTTATATGCCACAAAATTTTGCTCCCAATTTTTAGGAGGTTTATATGCACACACAAAAACACACACATCCCACCCCTGAGGAAGCCCAAGCCAAACCCTGTGCTGCAGTGTAAATCATATTGATTGAGCACCTCTCAATAAGTATTATTATTATTTTAAGGCTAGTCAAGTGAAGCAGTGGGAGTGGAGAAGGGACCAAGAAATCTGTAACTGGTTGTGATCAATTAGTTGTAAACACTACTGTATTCGGACCAGCCAATACATATTATTAAATGAATGTAATGTCCCTATTTGGGTGTCTCCCCCTCTCGCCAGCATGCAGGTCCCATGGGCAGGGACTATTTTGAGAGTGCTTGCCCTAGGTGAGAGGAAGTCAGAGAGACTCTTCCCCAAGCAGCAGTGTCAAGGTACCAGAATGGTGTCTGTGGGGCGTATCATAAAGCACCTCTTCGCCCCCTGACTGAAGTCCTCATTAGCAAGACTTAGTCCAAACTAATCTTCCTAAAGTGGCTGCTCAACACCCTCCATGGCTCCCCACTCCTTGCAGGCCTAAACACCCCAGACCAGCATTCCTTTTTTCAAACTGGTCCCCACCCCCCTTCCCCTAGTCTTCTCCCTGGGACTCCAATTTGGCACCCCATGTTACAGCAACCTTCCCCCCAGATTTTCTGAGATGATTCCATTTCCTGTAATAACTGTTAATAAAAGCAAGAAGCGAAATAGCTAATTAAAAGTGATTTAATGTGTATTTTGCAACACTTTTCCAATAAATTCACGACTTAAGGGAAAAATCCTTTGTCATCCTGTGTGTTCTAATTTTTGCTTCAAATGACTAGGCATCTGCTAACTCCAGGTTCTGCAAAATGCTCCGGAACTTTCCAGCTTCCACGCCTTTGCCCATGCTGTCTCTCCACATGGGCATCTCTTGCCCCTCGTCTCTACTCTCTACCCCTCTCGCCTGGTGTATTTCAATCACCAGGTCATCCCTCAGGCCCCTGACATCTCCATCCTTGTCCCCAGCCCCTAGCTCAAGGTCTAGCACAATTGGTGCTTAACAGAAAGAGGGAAACTTCCTTTCCACTGAATCCTACAGTGATCTGTCTGACCATGGATCTCTCCCCTTGCCTAGATGTGACACCCTCCAAGGCAGACCCTGTGTCTGATCCACTCCAATATCCCCTTGGCATATAACACTACAGCACCTAGCACACAGTAGGTGCACAGTTGCTGCACAACTAATTCAGGGAGTGAATCCTACTGTGGAAGAGAAATAAAGCGGCTGTCACCCACCCTTCTAGGTCCTGCCTCTCCTTTTCTTCCTTTTTCTTATCCAGGAAAAAAGCAATTCCATTGTGAAGACAAACTAGGTCAGATTCCCTCCCTCCCTCCCTCCCTCTCTCTGCCCTGTGGTCTGGCCAGATACATTCTTCCCACGCCTCTCTGAGCCTCCACTGGCATTCTGTAAGTGTCAGAGATGCTGTCGGGTGGTCTGTGTCCCAACCCCACCCCACACTCATCTCTGCCCTGAGTCCTGCTGCCTTGAGAATCTGCTGGAACACTGAGGCCTCCGTGCCAATGGCCCCTCTCTCCACAAAGAACAGGCAGGGAACAAAGGGTACTCTTCAATTTCAAATAATAGACATTAATTTATTAAAGCTAAATCTTAATTTTTTTGTATGACAGTGACTCCGAAATCAGAAAAAGTAACAGACGTGCCTGCCTGACTGTATCCCAGAAGGCTGCAGCCCAACACTTTCTTTTTTTTTTTTTTTTTTTTTGAGACCGATCATCCAGGCTGGGCTGGAGTGAGTGCAGTGGTGTGATCTTGGCTCACTGCAATCTCTGCCTCCTGGGTTCAAGCGATTCTCCTGCCTCAGCCTCCCGAGTAGCTGGGACCACAGGCATGCACCACCACACCCGGCTAATTTTTGTATTTTTAGTAGAGATGGGGTTTTGCCACATTGGCCAGGCTGGTCTTGAACTCCTGACCTCAGGTGATCCACCCACCTCAGCCTTCCAAAGTGCTAGGATTACAGGCATAAGCCACCGTGCCCGGCCAACACTTTCTTGAGTCTATGGTTGGAGTCTGACCAGAAGTGCCTCAGGGAACCCTGACGCACCCCCCCTTCTCCCCACATGGTAAGCATGCATGCTGGGGGAAGGGGCACCTGACCTGGCATTCCTGGTGGCATGGATCCTGGAACCCTCCCAAATCACCTGCACATGTTCATATGCACACTTTTCCAGGGGGAGGGGGTGTGTTCACCATGTTCTTGGGCTTTTCTAAGGCACATGACTCCAAGAAAAGTATGGGAACCGGTGTAGGTAGGGTTGCCAGATTTAGCAAACAAAAATATTGCTTGGGATGGACTTGTATTAAAAAGGCATTTGTGGGCCAGGTGTGGTGGCTCATGTCTGCAATCCCAGCACTTTGGGAGGCCGAGGCGGGTGGATCACTTGAGGTCAGGAGTTTGAGACCAGCCTGGCCAACATGGTGAAACCCCATCTCTACTAAAAACACAAAATTTAGCCGGGTGTGGTGATGAATCCCTGTAATACCAGCTGCTTGGGAGGCTGAGGCAGGAGAATCACTTGAGTCTGGGAGGCGGAGGTTGCTGTGAGCTGAGATCACACCACTGCACTCCAGCCTGGGTGACACAGGGAGACTCCGTCTCAAAAAAAAAGGCATTTGCAGTTTAACTGTAATTCATGTTTAAATGAGAGTCTTGGATTTTGTGTGGCAATCTAGACCGGTGAGTGAGACCTGTGCAAATGTAACATAGCCCATGCGCTATGGCCATTCATTCATTCATTCATTTCCCCCTCATCCCACCACCATCACACCCTGAAGGAGACATTATAGGTGCACAGTCCTGTGCCAGGCTCTCCAGGAAAACAAATGACCCCACAGTTGCCCTATTGAAAACACAGAGACCTGGTCCCCAGCCTCTGTCCCACAGCCTCCCACTGCACCCGTCCTCAGGGATACTGATCTGAAAGCAGCACTGGCACAGGGCCTCACTGGCACACAGCTAGCGCCAGGGGTGATGGGTGACAGCTGAAGGGGCTGCGGCCCACCCACGCACCTTGATGAGGAGGCCCAGCTCCTGGTCGCTCACACACGGATGGGCCCTCAGGAACTTCTCTCGGACCTCCCCCAGCTCCCTCTGGGCCTGCTGCTCGTGGGGCTGCTCCAGGGCCCGGAACACCAGGGCACCAGACACCAAGTAAAGCAAGACCAGCGCCAGCAGGGCCAGGAGCGTGGTGCTGCGCATGGCGCGCCCAGGCGCCGGGCCAGCTCCACTGCCCGCCTGGAGGGGCCGGGCGGGGGGCTCCTGGGGAGCTGTCGTCACTGCGGGCAAAACCAGGGATGCTGGGGTCACTGAGCTGGCCTGACACCCACACCCTCCTCCTCTATCCCCTACACACCCAAAGATCCATAAAGCCCCCAGCTGCACTGTCCACAGACATCCCTCTGGCTGGACACACCCAGTCCCCCTCCTATCTCCAGCCTTCCCCTTACCTCCGCTGCCCGGCCCTCAGCCCCTGTCTGGGACTACCGGGTGAGGAAAGAGAGGAGGGCACCGAGAAGGGAAAGGAAGGCGAGTGGGAGGCCGAAAGAGAGCCTAAGCCTGCCTAGGGGGAAGCGGGGCGAGCGAGGAAATGTGTGGAGCTTGGTGGGGGTGCGGGGAGCTGGCCCTCGAGGAGGAGGCTGAGGGGGCTCGGAGGCGTCCGAAGGGAAACCCGGAGGAGAGGCCGGACAGCGCAAGGCGGGGACAGGGGAATGGTGGGTCCCTGCTCGCCCGCTGCGGCTGTGACAGCATCTCCGCGGCTTCTCCGTCCCCTCTCGCCTCGCCCTGCTTCCTGGCTGGCCCTCCAGGGTGCCCCCGCGCCCCGCCGGGCTTTCGAGGAACCCAGGGGCGGGTCCCGGCCGCCGCACCCAGGCGAGGAGGGGTGCTGGGGACGCCCAGTTCCCGGAAAAAGCGGGGCGGGGGTCCGCAAAGGCCACACCGGGGCGACAGCCCCCGAGACAGCTGTCAGTCCGAGACAGCGGGCGGCGGCGCCCACGCGCACACACGCCCCGGCACGCGCCGCCAAGCGCGGGCACAAAGACCCGCGCGCCCACGCTCCATCCCGAGGCTGCAGCGCCGCGCCGCCCCGCTGCACGCACGCACCCCACCTGCACTCTCCGCAGACGCCCCGGCATCCCCGGCCCCCATGGGCGTGCCGGCCGCGCCAGGGCACCCAGAGCCCACGCACACGTGTGTGGACACTAGCGTGCACACGCCAGACAGCAGGGCCACCGCGCAGCGCCCGCAGCTCGCTCCCACCGCCTCCCCCGCGTCCGCACAGCGACGCCTCGGAGCGTGGCGGGCGGCGGGACCGGCGGCCACACCACTCCCGGAGGCGCCCACGCGCGAGAGGTGGGCACCCCGCCCGGCCAGTCGCCCCTGGGGCGTCCCTGCCCCTGAGTCCTGCCCGCGCACCGGAGCCCGCACCGCACTTACTGTCGGCCCCGCTGCGGCTGCGGCTGAGGCCCGGGTTCCAGCACGGCCTCGCCGGTGCCGACTGGGCCGCGGAGGCGGCAGGGGCGGAGCGGGCGGCCGCCGGGGCTGGGACCCCCCTCCCGCCGGCAGAAGCCCCCCTCCTCCCGCGGTTAACCCCTCCGGCGCCGCGCTTCCCTCCGTGCAGCGCCCTCGCCGCCGGCGCCGCCCCAAGCCGTTTACCTGCGGCCGCCTGGCTCCCCACAGCCGGCCAGCCCCGGGAGGTGGGTGGCAGAGGAGCCGGAGAGGGGTTGCAGCAGGGGCCAGCCTTCTAGCCTTGGACCGGAGCCCAGTGTGGCCAGCGGCAGGGCCCCGACCTGGGCATCAGCTGGCCCGTCTCTCCGGACAGGCACCACGCTAATCTGGCATCTCCCAGGCCCATTACCGGATCGGGAAGGGTCCGCAACTCTCCGCCCCTGGGGACAGCCTGGCCCTTGGGCTCAGCACTCATGAGGGAGGGGCTCCGCGGGACAAAGGGGTGGGGGAAACCCGGTGGGGCCACCTGGAATTGGCCGACGTGGAGGTTGGGACCCACCTCTGGGGGAGTTGCTGCTGGAGCACCTCCTGCCCCCACTCCAGGTTTTGGCCCTCTACCTGCTCCCCGGCTATCCCTCCAGGGTGCTCCCTGCCCCAGCTTTTGGTTCTCACTTCCATGCCCAGAAATCAGCCCCGGAAGGCTGTGGCTGAAGCTGCCTGCAGATCCCAGCATGGCACTGGTGCCAGCATCCACTCTCCCACTGCCTGAACACCCAGGCCCTGGCTGGTCCTGAACTTGCCCCGCCCTGTTCTCACCCACTTGACAACCTGTGACCTCTCCAAAGACCCTCTGGTGCCTGCTGGGGTCCTCAGCCCTCATGCTGGATGGCTTTCAGCCTGGGCTTTGAGGCTGACCACCCGCTACTGGTAGGGAACCTGAACAGGTTACCAAACTCTGGAGTCTCCCTGTTCCCACTTACAGAAAAGGGATGATTAATCATCACTTCGGGGTGCTGTTCTGGGCATTAAGGAGGCCAGTGTTTAGAAATCCTCAAAACAGAGCCTGGCACACACAATAAAGTGCCCCACAAACGTTAGCAGTTTTTATTTCAACAAAAAGTGATTGTCCAGCTTCAAGCTGATTCTCTATGAGTCTCAGATGCCCTCTCTGGAGGCCCTGAGGGCCTGGTGCCCAGGATGGTCCCAAGTAAAGGGTTTTGAAGCAGGCCCAGTGATAAGCCAAGGGAACTCTGAAAAGCTGGGACAACCACCTATGTGGGCAGGGGACAGACCCTCCAGCAAAGGACTCCTAGCCATCAGACAGACCTGCCAGGGCCATGGAAGCAGAGGGCAGTGACTATGCTACTAAGGACAGTGGAGAAGAGGGCTAACGGGAGGGCATAGCTAGGGGACCACCTGTACATCTGGGCAAACCCACGCCCTGGTAGGAAGATGGGGGCTGCTCAGTCACTGCGCCAACTCCCCAGCAAGCCCTGGACTAACTCCTGACTCCTAAAGACCAGGTTGGGGTGGTGATAGGGAAACAGGGCCTCCAGAAAGTCTAATCCATTGGGGTTAAGACTCAGAAGCTGCCAGGCATGGTACCTCATGCCTGTAATCCCAGCACTTTGGGAAGCTGAGGTGGGTGGATTGCTTGAGCCCGGGGGTTCGACACCAGCCTGGGCAACATGGTGAAACCCCACCTCTAAAATTAAAAATTAAAAAATTAGTCAGGAATGGTGGCATGTGCCTGTATTCCCAGCTACTCGGGAGGCTGAGGCAGGAGGATTGCTTGAGCCTGGTAGGTTGAGGCTGCAGTGGGCCATGATCGTGCCACTGCACTCCAGTCTGAGTGACAGAGTGAGACCCTGCTTCAAAAAACAAAACAAAACAAAGAACCTCAATGGCCACATAATCAGTAATGTGGAGCTGTGGGGCCCAGCAGAGGGGCCATGTCCCTTGACCAGGAGACAGAAGGCTTCCTAAAGGAGGTAACAGTTGACGCAGGTCTTGAGGAAAGAGTAGCAACTGTTCAAGTGGAGAGGGATCTGGAGGTAGTGGGGCAATTCTGGGCCAGGAGAGCTTTGAGAACAAAGGCCTGTGTGGTCTCCTTCCCTTGCAAACTGCAGGCCCCTCCTCTCCCAGCCCACCAGCCTTGATGGGGTAAGTCACCCCTGCCCAGCCTAGCAGCCCACTTCAAGGGCTAGTGTCTGTTCAGCCTTAGGCCAAACAGGCAAAAGTGATAGGAACACAAGGCAGATGACAGACAGGTGCACAACTGTGGGGCGCAGACACTGTTTATTGAGTGGCAGGCACAGGAGAGGTAGCTGGCTCCGGTGTGGAAGCAGAGGTGGCAGGTCATGCCAGGGTGCTGTGGGCATCTGGCAGCCAGGGCCATGCCCCCCATCCTAGGGGGACGGCACAAGCTCACTATGACAGGAGCAGCAAGGAGCCGGCCAGAGGAGGGGGTAGCCACGACCCCCAGGATCCTGGGCAAGAAGCGGCAGACAAACTTGGCACAGGGGCCTAGGGTGAGGGGGACTGGGGCCTGGGTATTCTGTGGGGGAGGGAGGGGGATCACGTCTGTGGGGTGGAGTAGAGACTGTGGTGGTGGCCGCCTGGTCCTGGCACCTGGGAGAAGAGCAGAGGAGTGGTCTTCGTCTGGCTGCCCCCATACCAGCCCGGCTCACGCCCGATGGCACCATACCAGCTCCCAGAGCCTAGACTGCCCGACATACTGCAGCAGAGAAACAGGGTCAGTCTCAGGACAGTGACCAGGGCCACAGTCACAAGAGCTGCAGGAGGAAGACAGGCTTAGAACAGAACCCCTGTGACCTAGACCTTCGGGGCCCAGGACAAAGTACATCTCTAGGCAAGAGGTGGAGGCTTTAGCAATAGGAACCCAGGGGACCTCACCTAGTACAGATGGGGAAGCAAAGGCCATGGCAGGGGTGGAAGGCAAGACCCGGCTATCTCGGTCCCCCATAGCTTGATGGAGCCAGCGGGGTGGGCGGGTAGGGCAGGGGTACTGAGGCAGTGCCACGGCTCCTACCTGGTGCTCTCACCCCGGCTGTGCTCCCAGGAGCAGCCCTCATCTTCACAGTGCCCAGCCCGGTCAAAGAAGTAGGACCGAGAGGCAAAGACCTGCCCATTGAGGATGTGGCTGGTGCTCTGGGGGAGGAAGCCATCATCGATACTTACTCCTGTCCTGCACTGGCCTCCCAGGCCCAACCCCAGACTCCAACCCAGGATTTGCAACATCCGCCCCCTCCACTGGCCCCACAGAAGAGGGAGCAGACCCTTACCAGGTCCTGTGGGGGCCGGTGCACCCGGAAGAAGCCCACCAGCAGGGTGGTGGGCAGTAGCTCCCACACGAAGAGGATGAGGCCAAATACCAGGTAGCCTTTGTTCCCCAGGTCATTCACCAGGTCCGCCTGTGGGAAGGCAGGGGCTGGTGCCAGTCTGCAGTCACGCCAAAGGGGTAGTGGGACAGGGCCCAGGCCAGCTGGGGCCAAGGTGCCACGGCTACTAAGGAGGTGGCAGACATGCGTATGCCCACCTGGTCAGACACATTGTACCAGTCGTAATCGAAGGTGTCCAGCCGGCTCTGGGGGGCCAAGGCCAGTGCTGTCAGGTTGTAGCAGGCCCGGCTGGCATAGAGCAGGACCATGGCGCCACCCATCGCGGCCGCCTGGCACACACTGGTCCCCTGGCACAGGTAACAACAGAGGACCCTCAGGGAGAGAAGGCTCCCAGCTTCCTCTACACCCTGAGAACCGCTGCCGAGAGACCCAAAAGACACCTGGGCATCAGTGCTGCAGCCCTACCTTGGCCTCCAGGTAGATGCTAGTGGAGGGCGCCCGCCTGGCGACGAGGCAGAGGCAGGCAGCAAGAGACAGCGCGCAGATGACGAACAGGGAGTCGCTCACCAGGACGCGGACAAGCAGCAGGGCCCAGGGCTGTGCCCGGCGCCGATGGGAGAGCACAGCACACAGCACGTTCACCAGCAGAAAGAGCAGCGAGGCCCCCACAAAGGCCCCTCGGACAGCGAGCCTGCAGCCACAGCACAGTCAGCGCGGGCCCTCAACAGCCCTCAGCACTCACCACCTGCCCCACCTCCTGCAGGAAACCCCAATGTCGACAAAACTCAGGGCATCCAGTCTGAGCCCTGTTCCTCCACTCTTACAGATGGAGAAACTGAGGCCCAAAAAGGTCAGAAGGTGACTGACAGCCATGGTACTTCGGAAGGTGCACCAACTGGAGTCAGAAGTCTCTGTCTGAGCCCCAGCTCTGCGACCTTGATCCTGCTGTCTTACCTGGCTGGGCCTCAGTTTCTTCATCTCTCAAGGGAGGATAGTAGCCTCTCAGGGAAATTGTACAAATAAAAGATGGCTGGGAAAGCTCTTTATAAACCGTAAGACACTGTACAAATGACGAGGGCATTGCGGCCCCAGGTCACCCAGGAGTGCATATGGCTTTGGTGCTTCCATGGGCTGGAGCCTCCAGCTCGCCCTCCATGGTGGATGACACTGGGGCCCTCTCCCTCACACTACCACAAGCATTCCTATTCCTGTGCCTTGCAGATCTGCAAGGCCTCTGCTGAGCCATCTGCGCCAGGTGCTTTAACTTTTCCAAGATCTTCCACAGACATTCCCTGGGTTGCCTTTGTCTCAGCCCTGAGAGGTGGGAAGGGATCTACATGGGACTGTCACCTGCCCCTGACCTGGAGGCTGAGCCCACCAGTGTCCCGAGTACTTACAAGCCTCGGCTCATCTCCGGCCGACGCTTCACCTTGGCCTTGAACACCACCTAGGAGCAGAGATGCCCTTCACTCCTGTGGGTCCTTGAGGCTTGCCACCTCCCGCCCCCCACCCGGGACCACAGTTGGTTACCTGGGCAAAGTAGAGGTTCATAAGCGTCAAGGTGAAGAACTGCAGGCAGACGGGGCAGCAGTAGAGAAGCCAGAAGGGCAAGGGCCCCAGGCGGTTGGCGCGGGGAGTATCTCGGAAGTAGAAGGAGAAGAGGGTGGTACGCAAGGCGGCCCAGAGCAGACAGAGGGCCAGGAACACCGTCTGATAGCTGAGACGCTTGTGCCCATACAGAAGCACCAGCCAGAGCTGGGCATAGACGGAGAAGAAGAGCAGGGCATACAGGGTGGTGTAGGCAGCTGTCAGCCCCAGGGTCACAGCAGGTGGCAGCGCAGGCACCAGCCCGGCAGCAGGCACCAGGCCAGACAGGTTACTCTCCATGTCAGGGAGGGAGGCCTGAATCCCGGAGACAGACAAGGAGGGACTGTCGGCGGGACCAGGGAAATAAATACGGAGGGGTGGGAATTGCAGGGTGCAGAGAGGGAGATGGGGCGCTCAGGAGGAAAGAAGTTGTGGCTGACAGGCCCCTCCTCCTCAACAGAGAGACCCTTGCCCTTGGGGAACACAGGCAGCCTGGGCCCCAGGCCCCTCACTCAGGGGCATGGAAGGGCAGTCTCTTTTCTCCAGGACAGACCGGATAGGGGTTGGGGGTGTCTCCTCCCTGGGCCTACCCCAGAGCCAAGGATGGGGGGATGCAGAGGCCCAAGGAGAGGACTCCCTGGCCTCGGTCGTTCATGTCGTCCTGGGTGGAGGGGGAGAGCCGGCTGATACCCGTCGGGTCAGGGCAGCGGCCGCTGCGAGGGGCGCCCAATGCCCCGCTCTCCCCCTCCCCAAGCTGGGGGAGGCTCTCTCTCCTCCAATAATGCGGATGGGGAGGGCCTCTGCCTCCTGTCCTCGTAATTCTCGAAAGCTGCCCCCGCCCCACCCTCCCCCACCGCGTCCACGCTCCAGCCTCAAGGGGAGGGAGGAGGCGGACGCCAGGTCCTCAGGCCGCTGATGGGAGAGCCGGCTCAGGTCGTGGGGACCCGGGGCTCCGGCTCCCCGGCTCCCGCTGCTCCGCCCCCCTCCCCCTCCGCGCCTGCGCGGGCGCCGTTCGCTACGCAAATTGCGCAGCGGCCCGGCTGGCTCCGCAGTCCAGCGCCGCACCCGGCGTGAAACCGTACGAGAATTGGCGCGAGCTGCGCCGCTGGCGGGCGCCCGGGGTTACGGGAGGCGGCAGGAGGGCGGCCGAGTTGCGGGGGCCGTGCCGCATCCAGGGGGTCCCCGGGTGGGCCGTGCCCCGTGCCGCCCGCCTTTACTTGTATGGGGGTCCGCCAGTTCCCACGCTCCTCTCTCCTATACCCAAATCGGGGTCGTGCCGCCCGGCCGGGGGCGGCAACGGATTCCCGTCCCTCGGTCTCTGAAGAAAACTTCCGCCCATAGCCAAGATGGCCCCCGGGCCCCGCCCCCGGGCCTGAACCCGCGGAGCCCCGAATCCCCCGCGCGGGCCCGCCCCTCGCCCCGGCGCGCCCGCGGCCCTGCTCACCTGGCCGGCCGCCTGCCAGGCGTGAAGCCCCCACGGGCCCTACGGTCCTCCCTCACCGGGTCCCCGGCCCTCCTCCCGCGCCCGGGCAGCCATCCCAGCCAGGGAGGAGGTTCCTTTCCTTATCTCCAGTGCCCCCGAGATGGCGCGGGAGGTGTCCCCCGAGGCGGGCGGCGCGAAGCTTCCGCGCCTGGGAGGAGGAGCGGGGAGCGGGACTTTCCGACCGGGCACCCAGTCCAGGCGGAGCGGTAACAATAGCAACAATAATCACATCCGACGGCTGAGCTTCAGTTGTGGCTGTGCCAAGCGCCTTCGCCCGCAGTAATCACTCCCTTCACAAAGTTTTCACTGGCTCCCGGGGGAGCTGTCACTATCC
Source organism: Homo sapiens (assembly GCF_000001405.40). Classification (NCBI taxonomy): domain Eukaryota; kingdom Metazoa; phylum Chordata; class Mammalia; order Primates; family Hominidae; genus Homo; species Homo sapiens. The sequence goes on along the minus strand of NC_000011.10, from coordinate 64,285,007 downwards.
CCACTTCACTGGGGGGAAACTAAGGCCCAGAGGGGCTGAAGGACTTGTTGGCAGAAGTGGGTCTCCAGGTTCCAAATGGGGACCCCAGAGAATCCCTCTCCTGCTCCCACACACGCCCAAGGTGTGAGGCAGCGAGGATGTGAGCCCCGGGGCCGAAGGAGGGAGGAAAAAGGATGCGGACGAGGAGCCTTGGATCCGGCGGGGGGGCGGGGCCGGGCCGGGTTGACCCCGCCTCTGGACCTACCCGAGTGACGTTCCGAGAGGTGATTGGGCCAGGTCGCTGACAGTTCCCGTTGCCCAAGCAACTAGGGCCCGGAGCCCGGGGTGCTGGAGGGAGGCGGCAGGCCCGGGTCAGGGGCCTCGAGATCGGGCTTGGGGTGAGACCTGTGCGCCGTCACCACGGGCGGGGCGGGGCCTGGGTCCACCGGGGTTCTGAGGGGAGACTGAGGTCCTGAGCCGACAGCCTCAGCTCCCTGCCAGGCCAGACCCGGCAGACAGATGAGGGCCCAGGAGGCCTGGCGGGCCTGGGGGCGCTACGGTGGGAGAGGAAGCCAGGGGTACCTGCCTCTGCCTTCCAGGGCCACCGTTGGCCCCAGCTGTGCCTTGACTACGTAACATCTTGTCCTCACAGCCCAGAGCATGTTCCAGATCCCAGAGTTTGAGCCGAGTGAGCAGGAAGACTCCAGCTCTGCAGAGAGGGGCCTGGGCCCCAGCCCCGCAGGGGACGGGCCCTCAGGCTCCGGCAAGCATCATCGCCAGGCCCCAGGCCTCCTGTGGGACGCCAGTCACCAGCAGGAGCAGCCAACCAGCAGCAGCCATCATGGAGGTAAGTACCCCACCACCTCCACCTGCCGGGACACCTCACCCCCAGCCCACTGGCTCCCTGCATCCCAGTTGCATCCACAGGCACTGAATGCTTTGGGTCGGTCCCCAAACTCTCAGAGCCCCAGTTTCCTCTTTCGTAAAACAGCAATTAATAACCACCATTGTAGGACTGTTGAGTTAATTAGCAGGAACATATAGGATGCACTTGATTACAGAGCTGGTGCACATTAAAGCTAAAAAATGGTTGCTGCCGGGCGTGGTGGCTCACACCTGTAATCTCAGCACTTTGGGAGGCCAAGGCAGGAGGATCGCTTGAGCCCAGAAGTTCAAGGCCAGCCTGAGTGACTTAGGGAGACTCCAGCTCTTAAAATACATATATATATATATAGCAGCTATTAGTGTGGGGTTAGGACAGAAATCAGTGACAGGCAGGCAGTGATCCGAAAAGGAAAAGGGGCCTGCCTAAGGCCACACCTTCCTGGTGTTTCTTTCCTTAGAATGTGGGGGCTGGAAGCCTCCTTGGTGCCCTGCCCCAGGCTACATGCTTTCCCTGGGATTAGGCCTTCCAGCTCCCAGATGTGTTCTTTCTTGCCCTGTGGCTCGTACCCACAGCAGGACTGTCCTGGCACAGTGGCCAGGGGCAGATGACCTCAAGGGGCAGACAGTCCTCCCAGACAGCAGGGCTGTGTGGGGTGAGAAGCACAGGCTCCAAGATGGAAGGATGGACACTGGGGTTCTATGTCCATTTCTCAGTAGGCTCTAGCACCCCTGTGCCCAGCACTGGCCTTGGCACCTGGAACAACAACAGATATCTTCTGAACACAAAAACCAGGTCAAGCTGGGTGGGGTGGCACATGTCTGTAGTCCCAGCAACTCAGGAGGCTGGCTTGAGCCCAGGAATTCAAGACCAGCCTGGGCAACATAGCCAGACCCCATCTCTAAAAATAGAAAACTAGGTCATGTCACTCTGGCACTGCAGCTTAAAAGACCTCCTCCCCATTTTCAGGATTAAGAAGGCTTAAGAGGCCTCTTTCCCCTCGCTCTCTTACGGATAAACACCCACACTCGATTCTCTCAGATTGGACCCCATAGCTTGCTTTCTTTTTTTCTGTTTGTTTTGTTTTGTTTTGAGACAGGGTCTCGCTCTATCACCCAGGAGGGAGTACAGAGGTGCGATCTCAGCTCACTGCAGCCCGGAACTTCTGGGCTTAAGTGATCCTCCCACGTAACTGGGAATACAGGTGTGTGGACCACACCCAGTTAATTTATTTTTTACTTTTTCTTTTTTTTTTTTTTTTTTTCCTGAGACGGAGTCTCACTCTGCTGCCCAGGCTGGGGTGCAGTGGTGCAATCTCGGCTCACTGCAACCTCTGCCTCCTGGGTTCAAGCAGTTCTCCTGCCTCAGCCTCCAGAGTAGCTGGGACTACAGGCGCGTGTCACCATGCCGGGCTAATTTCTTGTATTTTTATTAGAGATGGGGTTTCACCGTGTTAGCCAGGGTGGTCTCCATTTCCTGACCTCGTAATCCACCCGCCTCAGCCTCCCAACAGTGTTGGGATTACAGGCGTGAGCCACCATGCCCAGCATTTTTCACATTTTCATGAGATGAGGGCAGGGGCGGGGTCTCCTTTTGTTGCCCAGGCAGGCCTCAAACTCCTGGGCTCAAACGATCCTCCTGCCTCAGCCTCCAGAACAGCTGGGACCACAGGTGCATGCCACCACACCAGCTCATTTTTTATTTTTTGTAGAGGTGGGGTCTTGCTTTGTTGCCCAGTCTTGTCTCGAATTCCTGGGCCCAAGCAATCCTCTCACCTTGGCCTCCCAGACTGTTGAGATTACTGGCGTGAGCCACCATGCTCAGCCTCCACAGCTTTCTTTAACTTCCTGAGCTTGCACTTGGCCATTTTTCTGCTCACAAACTTCCCCTGCTCTCTGCCCCCCACACACACTCAGCATTCACTCGCGCCACACAGTGAGTGCTCACCGTGTGACACAGGCTGTTCCAGTTGCTAGGGGGCCTCGGTGAACCCAAGCGTCAGGAATCCTTGCCCTTGTGGAGCTTACCTTCTAGTGAGCTGGTGGGGCCATGAGCAAACAAGCACAAAAGCATCCTATCATGCGTGAGAAGATTTGTATGGGGGCAGCATGTAAAAGAGTTAAGAGAGGCCGGGCGCGGTGGCTCACGCCTGTAATTCCAACACTTTGGGAGGCCTAGGTGGGCGTATCACAAGGTGAAGAGATGGAGACCATCCTGGCCAACATGGTGAAACCCCATCTCTACCAAAAATACAAAAATTAGCTGGGCATGGTGGCGCGCACCTATAGTCCCAGCTACTCGGGAGGCTGAGGCAGGAGAATCGCTTGAACCCGGGAGGCGGAGGTTGCAGTGAGCCAAGATCGTGCCACTGCACTCCAGCCTGGCGACAGAGTGAGACTCATCTCAAAAAAAAGAGTTAAGAGAATCCGGAGTCACAGGGGCGGGGGGAGTGATGGTAGCAGAGGTGGTCAGCACTCACCTTGGTGAGAAGCACCACTGGAGCCAAGGCCACAGGGATGATGGGAAGAGAGTTCCAGGCAGAGAGAAGGGCAGATGGTAAGGCCTCGAGGGCAACACCTGCTCCTGGCTAGGGTGGGCCTAGGGGAGGGGGTTTAGGAAAGGGTATTTGGAGACCTAAAGTTGAAGGTCATTCTAAGGACTCTGGCATTGCCTTTGAGTAAAAACCTGGAAAGGATTTGAGCAGAGGCAGCATGGTCAGATTTAGACATTCAGAGAGTCACCAGGGAGGTGGTGAGAAGTAGCTGATCCCTGGATTTATTTTTAAAGCAGAACTGGCAGGATCTGCTGATGGACTGGATGTGGGGTGCGAGGGAAAGAGAGGAGTCAGGATGATGCCAAGGAATTTTAAAAAAACTATTAGGCTGGGCGCGGTGGCTCACGCCTATAATCCCAGCACTTTGGTAGTTCGAGGTGGGCAGATCATGAGGTCAGGAGATAGAGACCATTCTGGCTAACACGGTGAACCCCGTCTCCACTAAAAATACAAAAAATTCTCTGGGCGTGGTGGTGGGCGCCTGTAGTCCCAGCTACTCTGGAGGCTGAGGCAGGAGAATGGCGTGAGCCCGGGAGGCGGAGCTTGCAGTGAGCAGAGATTGCACCACTGCACTCCAGCCTGGGTGACAGAGCAAGATTCCGTCTCAAAAAAAAAATTATTATTGGCCGGGCGTGGTGGCTCACACCTGTAATCCCAGCACATCGGGAGGCTGAGGCAGGCAGATCACTTGAGGTCAGGAGTTCAAGAACAGCCTGGCCAACTTGGTGAAATCCTGTCTCTACTACAAATACACAAATTAGCTGGATGTGGTGGTGGGCGCCTGTAATCCCAGCTACCTGAGAGGCTGAGGCAGGAGAATCACTTGAACCCAGGAGGTGGAGGTCGCAGTGAGCTGAAATCCTGCCACTGCACTCCAGCCTGGGTGACAGAGCAAGAGTCCGTCTCAAAAAACAAAAAATAAATAAAAATAAAATAAATTAGGCCAGGCGCGGTGGCTCACGCCTGTAATCCCAGCACTTTGGGAGGCCGAGGCGGGCGGATCACGAGGTCAGGAGATCAAGACCATCCTGGCTAACACGGTGAAACCCCGTCTCTACTAAAAATACAAAAAATTAGCCGGGCGTGGTGGTGGGTGCCTATAGTCCCAGCTACTCGGGAGGCTGAGGCAGGAGAATGGCATGAACCCGGGAGGCAGAGCTTGCAGTGAGCCGAGATGGTGCCACTGCACTCCAGCCTGGGCGACAGAGCAAGACTCCGTCTCAAAAAAAAAAATTATTATTATTATTATTATTATTATTTTATTTTATTTTTGACATGGAGTCTTGCTCTGTCGCCCAGGCTGGAGTGCAGTGGCACCATCTCAGCTCACTGCAAGCTCTGCCTCCCGGGTTCACGCCATTCTCCTGCCTCAGCCTCCAGAGTAGCTCGGACTACAGCCTCCCGCCACCATGCCCAGCTAATTTTTTTGTGTGTTTTTAGTAGAGATGGGGTTTCACCATGTTAGCCAGGATGGTCTCGATCTCCTGACCTTGTGATCCGCCCGCCTTGGCCTCCCAAAGTGCTGGGATTACAGGCGTGAGCCACCGCGCCTGGCCAAATTATTATTAATTTTAGAGACAAGGTCTTGCTATGTTGGCCAGGCTGGTCTTGAGCTCCTGGCCCCAAGTGATCCTCCCACCTTGGCCTCACAAAGTGCTGGGATTACAGGCATGAGCCACAGTGCCCAGCCAACACCAAGGAATCTGGCTTGAGCACCCGGTAGGATGAAGTTGCTTTTAATGGAGAAGAAACACTGAAGGGTGAGGGAGGATCTGGAGGCTACCCTAGAGGGTGGGATAGAGGGGGATTTTTTTTTTTTTTTTTTTTTTGAGATAGAGTCTTACTCTGTCACCCAGGCTGGAGTGCAGTGGCACGATCTCGGCTCACTGCAACTTCCACCTCCTGGGTTCATGCCATTCTCCTGCCTGAGCCTCCCCAGTAGCTGGGATTACAGGCATGCACCATGCCCAGCTAATTTTTGTGTTTTTAGTGGAGACGGGGGTTTCACCATGTTGGCCAGGCTGGTCTCGAATTCCTGACCTCGTGATCCACCCGCCTCAGCCTCCCAAAATGCTGGGATTACAGGCATGAGCCACCGCGTCTGGCCGCTAGAGGTGGCTTTTAAGCATCTGGTGGGATTTTTAGCAGGGTGCTAGTGGGAGCTGGCAGGGACTTGGAGTCTGAACCAGAGTTGTGCTTGTCTCAGTCCAGTTAGGGGTAGGGGCTTCAGGTGTGTGCAAAGGAAGGAATGGTAGATGTGGGGTCCAAGCTGGCTGAGCTTCAGGGAAGGGAGCAAGCCCTGGGAAGCCGCAGCATCGTTGGAGTTGGGGTCCCGGGGGCATGATCCACACAGGTTGGGTCAGCTGGTGGGAAGCTTGGGATGGAGTTATTTGATGGTGACAAGGCCTAGGTTATGTCCCTGGGAATGAGTCTGAGGGGAGAGTGGGACAAGATCATGGTAGAAGGAGTAGCAAGGTACAGAAAGGAGACAGGGTGCTGGTGGAGTGGCAGAGGACAGGAGTAACATTCTGCACAGGCCAGGGACGACACCTCCCCCCAGCCCCAGCTGCAGACCCGTAGGAAAGAGGGCTGCGGGAGAAGACAGCTGCCAGGTGAGGACAGAGCTGGATTTCTTAACCTTTTGATTTAGTTTTCAGTGTCTCCAAAAGCAAGTGGTTTCCCAGAAAAGATCAGCAAGTGCCAGTGCCCCGCCAGAGCCACGGGGCCTCTGCCCTCTCTACCTGCGCAGAGCAACTCACACTTGGTTCGGTCACTCCTCATAGTCCCTGCCACCAGGCCCCCCTGCTGGATGGCTGAGGTGTCCCCAGGGCAGGGACTGCAGCCACCTTGTGCTGTGACAGCCCACACAGCCCAGTGTCTGAAACAGGTGTGGACAGTGGAGAGGCAGAAAGAAGCAGCCCAGTGCTAGCCCCTGGGCCAGACTGCAGGGTTCAAACGTGGCTCTACCCTTCCTAGCAGGTTGAGCTTGAGCAGGTTAATTAACTCCATCTGCCTGAGTTTCCTCATCTGTAAACGGGAATAGAACTAGTCCCACCTCGCAGGGCTGTGGCGAGGACCTGATGAGTTAATATAGGAAAAGTGCTTGGAAACAGTGCCTGGCGCAGAGGAGGGGCTAAGTGTTTGCGGCTCTTATTATTAGAACTGCCATTGTTATTATTTATGTATATATATATTTATATATAAATATATATATATAATTTTTTTTTCCAAGATGGAGCCTCACTCTGTCGCCCAGGCTGGAGTGCAGTGGTGCAATCTCGCCTCGCAGCAACCTCTACCTCCCAGGTTCAAGTGATTTTCTTGCCTTTATGTACATTCTTGGCTTTATATATTTATAAAGCCTCAAATTTCTGGGCTCCAGCCATCCTCCCACCTCAGCTTCCTAAGTAGCTGGGACTACAGGCGCACGCCACCATGCCTGGCTAATTTTTTTATTTTAATTTTTGTAGAGACAAGGGTCTTTCTGTGTTGCTCAGGCTGGTCTCGAACTCCTGGCCTCAAGCAGTCCTTTTGCCTTGGCCTCCCAAAGTGTTGGGATTACAGGCATGAGCCACCACATTGGGCCTATATTTTTAAGTTATGGACAAAAATCCAAAGAACTATATTTTGTAACGTGAACATTCTATGAAATTCAAATTTCAAGGTCCCTAAAGAAAGTGTTAGTGGAACACAGCAAGGTGCAGTGTATTCATTTACACATTGATTATGGTTTCCTTTCAGCTCTGGCCACAAAGGTGAGTGGTTGTCACAGAGACCACGTGGCCCACTGAACCCCCTTTATAGAAAACATTTTCAGCTAACTTAGGAAAAGGGAAAAGAAAGTGAACAAACATTTGCCAGCCAGCCTTTCATACCTGTAATCCCAGCACTCTGGGAGGCCAAGGCAGGAGGATCACTTGAGCTCAGGAGTTCGAGACCAGCCTGGGCAAGATGGCAAGACACTTCTCTAAAAATTTTTTAAATTAAAAAATTAGCCGGGCATGGTGATGCCTGTAGTCCAAGCTACTCAGGAGGCTGAGGTGGGAAGATCGATTGCGCCTAGGATTTTGAGGCTGCAGTAAGCTGAGATCGTGCCACCCCACTCCAGTCTGGGTGACAGAGAGAGACCCTGTCGCTGTTTTTTAAAAACAAAAAGGAAACATTTGCCAACTTTAGAGTACTTTCTGATTTTATGAGCTCTGAGCAAGGTTGGGGGTGTTCTCTGCAGGCCTGAAGGGGCTTCTGTACCGGAAGGCTATAGTCAAGGCTGAGGCCTACAGGTGCCGGAGGCGGACAGGCTGCGAGTGTCTGCCCAGGGTGGGGTGGCAGCACTGGCCACTGTGCTGGCCACTGACGTCAGCCTCCCCCGGCAGCAGATTGTGTGTGGTCGGCATGTGGTAGGGGCAGGATCCAAACCCAGCCCTTGCCTGATGGCAGAGCTTCACTGCTCCAAACGGTCTGGAACACCACTGTTTTAATTAAGTGTGCAATTCAGTGTGCAAGTGTCTTGTAATTAAGTGTGCCTCTGTTTCCTCATCTATAAAACAGGGAGAACTTCGTATTCTCCTTCTTGGGAATCTGAGGACTCTGAAAATCCCAGTGCAGGGATGCTCGCGGAAGCATCAGCAGGGATGTCCGCCCCAGCCGCTGACTCAGAAGCCCAACACGCAGAGAATGTAAAGCTAGAGGTGCCATGCTGGGGCCTGGGGCACTTCTAGCCACAGCCACTACCCTCCACTTCCACACCCAGCTCCGGGCCAGGCTCTAGGCGGATGGCAAGAGTGGGCAGGCCTGGGCACCCACCCACGTTCACACCCAAGGAGGAGCCACACCCCTTCCCTTCCCCAGAGAAGGGAGAGTCTGGCCCAGGCCCTGCCCCAGCCCTCTCCTTCCCCCAGGGAATTCACAGACACTCCCCCAGGGTTTTTCCCTGTAAATAGAACACTTTTTAAAAATTCAATTTAGGGCTGGGCACCGTGGCTCACGCCTGTAATCCCAGCACTTTGGGGGGCCGAGGCACTTGGATTGCCTGAGGTCAGGAGTTAAAGACCAGCCCGACCAACATGGTGAAACCCCGTCTCTACTAAAAATACAAAAATTAGCTGGGCATGGTGGCGGGCACCTGTAATCCCAGCTACCCAGGAGGCTGAGGCAGGAGAATCATTTGAACCTGGTGAGCAGAGGTTGCAGTGAGCCAAGATCACATCACTGTACTCCAGCCTGGGTGACAAAGCAAGACTCCCTCTAAAAAAAAAAAAATACATATATATATATATACACACACACACACACAAATATATACACACACACACACATAAATATATGTATATTTGTATTTACATATATATAATTCAATTTACACAAATGGGTATCATCTTGATAACAACTAGCTTGGCTAAGTCCACGAATTTGGTGAAAAACTCCCACCCCATAGGACAGGTTCCTGGCAGAACTGGTGCTAGCAGAAGGCCCAAAGGGGCCTTCCCCAGCCTAGGCCTCCAAGGCAGCCCAAGGTACAGCTGGAAGGAGCCTGGGGCATGACAGCTAAGCACACAGCCCCTGAAGCCACATTGGTTGGGTTGGGATCCCAGCTCTGCTACCTACTAGATCAGTGACCTTGGGCAAGTTACCTATGCTCTCTGCCTTAGTTTCTTCCTCTGTAAAATGGCAACCATGAGGAACCTCCCTGATAGGGTGTGGCAAGGATCAAATGAATGAATACACAGGGAGGGCTTCCGACCATCCACCATACCTGCCCAGTGTCTTCTGCTTGTTCTGATCCCTGGGCAAGGGGCAGTGCCCAGGCCAAGTGCCTGGGTGCAAGTCACTCACCTTCCACCTGTGGGGCCTTGTGTCCGGCAAGCGTAGTGGTCCTGTGGCCCCACTCAGAGCTAGTGGAGGAGAACAGCTGCCGTTTCCTGCGTATTTAGGTGGCTAAGCAGGCTGTCCCAGCCACACGGCCTCAGGCAAGTTCTTAACCTCTGCCTCTGTTTCCTCATCTGTACAACAGGGAGAGCTGGATATTCACCTGGCTGGGACTCTCAGAGGCCTCAGGCTATGAGGGGCCGGTAGGGGGCTTTCCTGCTCTCATTTGTTGTCATGGCGATCCTGGCAGATGGGGAACTGCCCCCATTTCACAGAAGACACTGGGGCCCCAAAGGGTTGGAGAATGGGCTAAGGTCAGAGCAGGAATGTGGCCAGGGCCTGGCCCACCTAGCTGACCCCTGCTCCACAGTCACCGCACCACAGAACTGGAAATTACTCTGCAGACAGGCCTGTTCCGTCAGTGCCCCTTCTGTTCCCGGCTCTCCTGCCCCTATCCGAAATCCTTCAGCCTCCCAAGGTGCTGGGATTATAGGCATGAGCCGCCACGCCTGGCTGTCATCTGTAATCTTTACTCCTGACCTAGTATGCCTCTCCCCACTGCCACCTCACTCCTCCAGGGTCTTGAGGTATCCCCACCTGACCTGGGGGCAGCTCTGGGCTTTGGTGATGCTCAGAATGCCCAGGCACTCTGATCACAGCCTATCTTACCCTAGGCCTTTCCGGATTCCGTCCTCTCGTTCCCTTACTCGCTTTTTTTTTTTTTTTTTTTTTTTGAGACAAAGTCTCACTCTGTCTCCCAGACTGCCAGACTGGAGTGCAATGGTGAGATCTCAGCTCACTGCAACCTCCGCCTCCCAGGTTCAAGTGATTCTTGTGCCTTAACCTCCCTAGTAGCTGGGACTACAGGCCCACACCACCATGCCTGGCTAGTTTCTTTTTTTTTTTGAGACAGAGTCTCACTCTGCCACCCAGGCTGGAGTGCAGTGGTGCAATCTCGGCTCACTGCAACCTCTGCCTCCTGGGTTCAAGTGATTCTCCCGCCTCAGCCTCCTGAGTAGCTGGGATTACAGGCTCGCGCCACCACACCTGGCTAATTTTTGTGTTTTTAGTAGAGACAGGGTTTCACCATGTGGGTCAGGCTGGTCTCGAACTCCTGACCTCGTGATCCACCTGCCTTGGGCTCCCAAAGTGCTGGGATTACAGGCGTGAGCCACCACACCTGGCCTTTTTTTGTATTTTTAGTAGAGATGGGTTTTTGCCATGTTGGGTCAGGCTGATCTCGAACTCCTGGCCTCAAGTGATCCACCTGCCTTGGCCTCCCAAAGTGTTGGGATTACTGGCGTGAGCCACTGCGCCTACTTGCTTTTTTTTTTTTTCTCGAGGTAGAGTTTCACTCTGTCACCCAGGCTGGAGTGCAGTGGCGTGATCTCAGCTCACTGCAAGCTCCGCCTCCCGGGTTCACGCCATTGTCCTGCCTCACCCTCCCGAGTAGCTGGAACTAAGGCGCCAGCCACCATGCCCAGCTAATTTTTTGTACTTTTAGTACAGATGGGGTTTCACCGTGTTAGGATGGTCTCGATCTCCTGACCTCGTGATGCGCCTGCCTCGGCCTCCCAAAGTGTTGGGATTAAAGGCGTAAGCCACCGCACCCGGCCACCTACTTGCTTTCTTAGTCATGTGTCTCATTTATGTGTCCTAGCTGGGACCCCTGGAGGCCCTGCACTGGCCCACAGGCCAGGTCCTCAGGTCCTCTGAGGGGAGAAGAGACATTCCAATGGTTATCCCCCGCCTTCAGTTCCTGGCCTGTAATTTACCTCCTCCAAAGAGCCTCCCTGACAGACATATCTTGCCATAAACACCCAGCATGTTTCCCTACCTGCCTCTCTTTTTTTTTTTTTTTTTTTTTTTTTGAGATGGGTGCAGTGGCGTGATCTTGGCTCACTGTAACCTCTGCTGCCCAGGTTCAAGCGATTCTTCTGCTTCAGCCTCCCGAGTAGCTGGGATTACAGGTGCCTGCCACCGCGCCTGGCTAATTTTTTTGTATTTTTAGTAGAGACGGGGTTTTACCATCTTGGTCAGTCTGGTCTTAAACTCCTGACCTCGTGATCTCCCCAACCTCGGCCTCCCAAAGTGCTGGGATTACAGGCGTGAGCCACTGCGCCCAGCCCCCCACCTGCTTCTCACTCTGTCATTGCACTCTGAGTGTTTGCTCAGGGGAGTGGTTCTAAGTCTTTATCGGTCTGGGTAGAGGAGTGGAGTTGGCAGGAGTTGGGAGATGGCACAGAGCACAGTTCAAATAGACCATAGTAGGCGGGCCTCTGAATAATAACCCATAGTGCACTTGCAGCCTACAAAGCACTTTCTTTTTTCTTTTGTTATTATTATTATTATTTGAGACAGAGTCTCGCTCTGCCACCCAGGCTGGAGTGCAGTGGCACAATCTCGGCTCACTGCAACCTCCACCCACTGGGTTAAAGCAGTTCTCCTGCTTCAGCCTCCTGAGTGGCTGGGACTACAGGCGTGAACCACCACACCTAACTAATTTTTGTATTTTTAGTAGAGACGGAGTTTCACCAGAGTTTGAGGCCAGGCTGGTCTCGAACTTCTGACCTCAGGTGATCCACCTGCCTTGGCCTCCCAAAGTGCTGGGATTACTGGCGTGAGCCACCACGTCTGGCCTTCTTTTATTAATTTTTTAAATTAATAGAGATGGGGTTTTGCAATGTTGCCTAGGCTGGTCTCGAACTCCTGAACTCAAGCAATCCACCTGCCTCAGCCTCCCAAAGTGCTGGGATTACAGGCGTGAGGAATCACGCCCAGCCACAAAGCACTTTCACATTTTTTAATTTTATGTGATGTTCACACAGCCACTGGGAGTCAGGGCTAGGATTATCCCCTCATAAAGGTGAGGACACAGGCTAAGAGAGTCGAAGGCTGGCTAGACAAGGGGAGAGACACAGAGCTCCGCTGATCATCACTGGACTCTGGATTCCACCAAACCTTTGGAACCTTCCAGCCTCAGGCCTCCACAGCTTCACAGAAACTGGGCAAGTCTTAACTCTCTAAGCTTCTGTCTTCTCACCTAAGCATGTTTGGTACTCACCTCCCAGGGTGGTTAGGAGGATAATAAGGGAATGTCTCGGCCTACACGTAAGTGCACCATCAATGGTACCTAAAAACGTCAACAGTTCCAGACACTGTCTCCAGAGAAGGCTCTGTGGGGGATGCGGACATGTAGCGGCCAAGTTCTTGTTCTCCAGGGGCTCTGCAGGTCCCTTGCAGAGGAGGCATTCAATCCTGCCGGCTGTGGCAGGACACTTTCCTATCCAAGGGATTGGCTTCCTCCGATGTAGAACAGACACTATGAAATAGCTACCAACCCAGGGGTTGCCAGGAGGCCCCATGAAGGTCTTGCACTAATAATACTTCTTGCTTTTTTTTTTTTTCTTTTGAGAAAAAAAGCCTGTCGCCCAGGCTGGAGTGCAGTGGCGTGATCTCGGCTCACTGCGACCTCTCCCTCCTGGGTTCAAACGATTCTTCTGCCTCAGCCTCCCGAGTAACTGGGACTATAGGCACGTGCCACTATGCCCAGCTAATTTTTGTGTTTTGAGTAGAGACAGGGTTTCACCATGTTGGCCAGGATGGTCTCGATCTCCTGACCTTGTGATGTAACTAGTATTTCTTATGCCCTTATTTTGTGCTAGGCACAGGGCCTCACCCATTATTGGCACTCGGTAAGGATTCGTGGGATTAATGAGAAGTTAACCTAAATCTTCACCAAAGGCCCCTGAGCTTCCCCTCGATTCACATACAAGGGACTGGGGCTCTGAGAGGTGGGCTGTGATGCGCCCCTGGAAGACCCACGAGTGGGCCTGCAGAGCTGATGGGGAGGGTTCAGGCAGGGCCAGGGGCTTAGAGGAGCTGAGATTAACGTCGCCCCCCTACCCACTGACCCTCTGCAGGCGCTGGGGCTGTGGAGATCCGGAGTCGCCACAGCTCCTACCCCGCGGGGACGGAGGACGACGAAGGGATGGGGGAGGAGCCCAGCCCCTTTCGGGGCCGCTCGCGCTCGGCGCCCCCCAACCTCTGGGCAGCACAGCGCTATGGCCGCGAGCTCCGGAGGATGAGTGACGAGTTTGTGGACTCCTTTAAGGTGAGCGCCAGTCCCCAGCGTGCCAGGACCTGAAGTACCAGGCCGCCCCCCGCCGGTCTGTCCCTGCCTTGTCCCAAGGCACGCCCGGATCTGGAGTCCCACGACCCCTCCCCAAAGCCGTCCTGTTCCTTCCTAGCTCCAGAGCATTCTGGGATTTGTAGTCACAAGACTTCCCCGCCCCCACTCCCCAGCTCTTCCCCCGCCTGGTGTGTGTGTGTGTGTGTGTGTGTGAGTCACAGGGCATGCTGGGATCTGTAGTCTAGATCCCACTCCAGGCGTGTGTGTGTGTGTGTGTGTGTGTGTGTGTGTGTGTGTGAGAGTCACAGGGCATGCTGGGATCTGTAGTCTAGATCCCACTCCAGGCGTGTGTGTGTGTGTGTGTGTGTGTGTGTGTGTGTGTGTGTGAGTCACAGGGCATGCTGGGATCTGTAGTCTAGATCCCACTCCAGGTGTGTGTGTGTGTGTGTGTGTGTGTGAGAGAGTCACAGGGCATGCTGGGATCTGTAGTCTAGATCCCACTCCAGGTGTGTGTGTGTGTGTGTGTGTGTGTGTCAGTCACAGGGCATGCTGGGATCTGTAGTCTAGATCCCACTCCAGGCGTGTGTGTGTGTGTGTGTGTGTGTGTGTGTGTGTGTGTCACAGGGCATGCTGGGATCTGTAGTCTAGATCCCACTCCAGGCGTGTGTGTGTGTGTGTGTGTGTGTGTGTGTGTCTCACAGGGCATGCTGGGATCTGTAGTCTAGATCCCACTCCAGGCCAAAGCTCCTGGGTTCCCCGAATTCTTGGAAGACCAGGCATGCTGGTATTTGTGCTCCTTGCTGGCACCTGTGCGCTCTGTCGCCCAGGCTGGAGTGCAGTGGTGCGATCACGGCTCACTGCAGCCTGGAACTCCTGGCCTCAAAGGATCCTCCCGCTTCAACCTCCCAAAGTGCTGGGATTACAGGCGCTCACCATCGCTCCCGGCCCTTTGATTCTCGAATTGCGGTCTCATCTTCTGGGTGCTAGGTCTCCAGCTCTGGCCTTTCCATTTAGGGCCCTAGGCATCCTCTCTTCCCGTCTCCGGCACGGAGTTCCTGGGATCTAACCAGTTCCCATTCCTGGGGGCCCATGCGTCCTCGCGAGCGTCCCTGACCGCCCGGCGTGGAGCCTCCTGGGAGTTGTGGCCTTCATTATCTCCCCCCCGATCTCACTTAGAGGAAGGCTCACGGAAGTGGAGAGCCTGGCTCGAGCTGCCATGGTAATCTAACTCATGTAACCCTTTTCTCCCTCCACCAGAAGGGACTTCCTCGCCCGAAGAGCGCGGGCACAGCAACGCAGATGCGGCAAAGCTCCAGCTGGACGCGAGTCTTCCAGTCCTGGTGGGATCGGAACTTGGGCAGGGGAAGCTCCGCCCCCTCCCAGTGACCTTCGCTCCACATCCCGAAACTCCACCCGTTCCCACTGCCCTGGGCAGCCATCTTGAATATGGGCGGAAGTACTTCCCTCAGGCCTATGCAAAAAGAGGATCCGTGCTGTCTCCTTTGGAGGGAGGGCTGACCCAGATTCCCTTCCGGTGCGTGTGAAGCCACGGAAGGCTTGGTCCCATCGGAAGTTTTGGGTTTTCCGCCCACAGCCGCCGGAAGTGGCTCCGTGGCCCCGCCCTCAGGCTCCGGGCTTTCCCCCAGGCGCCTGCGCTAAGTCGCGAGCCAGGTTTAACCGTTGCGTCACCGGGACCCGAGCCCCCGCGATGCCCTGGGGGCCGTGCTCACTACCAAATGTTAATAAAGCCCGCGTCTGTGCCGCCGAGGCTTTTCTGTGCGTCGACTGGGGCTCCGGCAGGCCGGGGTAGTGCTCTCACGGATACTTTCAAAAGAGGCCGCTGTCTTACGAGGGAAACTTAGGCTCTGCCTGACATCCAGCGACAGAGACGGAAGGGGTCGCGGCGGCTCGCGGGCCTGGGCTGCGCGGCCCAGGTCCAAGTCCCCAGCACGCGCATTGGGACCGCAGCGCTGCCGGCAGCCCGATCCCGCGCTCTGCAAACCGTGCCGCGGCCCCCCAGAGAGGGTCACTCGCTCCTATTTGGGTCAGCCCTTTCCAGCAGCTACTGTGTGGCCGGCCCGGGGCCAGCGCCGCCCGGGTACCTCGCGGGGCGGGAGGGAGCGGCTGAGCCAGGCTGGCAGCAGCGCGGTCGCTGGAAACTGAGGCTTCATGCGGGGACCCGGACAGAGCGGGGGCTCCGTTCCAGAAAGATTTATTGGCGCCCCCTATAACCCGGGCCGGTTCTTGGTGCCGGGCACAGAGATGCATTGCGCCACGGCCCTGCTCGCGGAAGCTCCCGAGGGCCCGGAATCGGCAGGGCAGTCAGAGAGGGCTTCAGGGAGGAGGCAGCTAGAGCTGCGACCGGAAGGTGAGGTGAGGGTCATCCCCCCCGGCGCAAGGAGGAGTGGACCCATGGAAGGACAGGGGAGCAGCAGAGGCCAGGCTTCTAGGGGCTGGAATGTCACACCCAGAAGTTAGACATTCAGCTGGTATTTGAGGACCTGGGAACTGACTTGGAGTGTGTCCCTCAGTGGACACCAGCTAGAGTCAGGAAGGTGGGAGTTGGCTGCTGAGGAGCCTAGATACGGAATACACTGGAGTGAGCAGAACTGGGGGATAGGGCAGCGTCCCACAGAAGAAGTGAGGAAGTCTGGGGCCATTGCATTGACCCTGAGGGAGGAGGGCCCTACTCCGGAGCCTGTTTCCCTGGCCTCCCCACCCCATCTGTTTGCCTGAGGCTGCAGCAAAAACAAAGCAAAGAAGATACTCAATTGGCAGGAGATAAGCCCAGATAAGAGGCCGCCTTCCCCTGGAGGAGGGATGCAGGCGGGCAGCCTGGGAAGAGCCAGGAAGCTGGGAGAGGCCTTGAAGAGGTGCCAAGCCGACCCTGCTGCGAGCCCAGCCCCGCCCTGGAGCCCGCACTGTGGGCTCTCTGCCACTTTTCGCTGGTCTTGAGGCATGGGACAGGTCCAGGCTGGCTGAAGACAGTCCACCACGGAGGGTCCAGGCCTGCCCTGCCTCCAGGTCAGGACGTCTTGACTTAGCTGTGGCCTAGCACACGACAGATGGCTCCGGGCCTCAGTCTCCTCATCTGTAAAACAGGCATAACATCTCCCTCACAGGGATGAGGGGATGCTGGGTGGCCCAGCCCCTGCGTGTCTGTGACTGTCCACTTCCCTTCCCCCAGAGTCACAGGCAGGCCTACTGCCCACCTATTTCTGAAGACCCAGGTCCCCCGGTGTTGGGCAGGTTCTGAGCTGCCCTGCTCCACCCTGGCCGATCCATCACCTGATAGAGTCAACTGCCTGTCGGGGGCCCAGAGCAGCCCCAGCGGAAGATACTAGGCGTTTGGGTCATATCAGGCCACAGGAAGCGGGGCAGGGAAGGCTTCCTGAAGCAGAGGCCTGAGCCTCAGAAAAGAGAGAACAGGGAGAGCCTCGGAGAGACGAAAGTCATGGGGATGGGGGAACAGGAACAGCGGCTTGGGGGCAGAGGGCACAAGCAGAAGGCCACGGAAGCTCAGCAGACTCGGCAGGGCAAGCTCAGGTTCAACCCAGCAGCCCTTGGCTGGAGGCGTGACCTCAACCCCACCAAATGCCCAAAGTCCATTTTATAGATGAGGAAACTTAGGGCCCAGAGTCCTGTCACCCCAAATCACACTGCACACAGGGTCCCTGAAATCCACTTTTATTCATGTAAAAAAAATCCCCAAAGAATAGAGAAAAAAATGTGACTCCTACTTCCCGGAGCTCCAAGTCTCCAGCCAGCTCTCCCGGGGAAGGGAGGAGACGCTGCTAGCTCGAGGGTGTGGGTGTCACAGGGAGCAAAGCCCTGACCAAGGCCCTAACCTAAGACTGAGGGCAGGAAGGAGGGGCCCCAGGAGGATGAAGGGAGTTAGCTGAGGTACTTGCCCCGGGTTTAAAAAAATAAAATTTCTAGATAAAAAGTTAAAAAAAAAAAAAAAAAGCATTAGTGTCATTGCCTCCTGCCCTCCACCCAGCGCCCGCCCTGGCCCTGTGGCCACCTCGCTCAGCCAGTTCAGAGCTGCGTGTTCTCCTCCTGGCTCTCCGAGTCAGCGCCCGACAGGTGCCCGCTGCTCCCGGGTGCGTGACCGTTGCTGGCACAGGCCACCAGAGGCCCGTCCCCCAGCCCCTCCGGCATCTCGCCCAGCAGGCTCCGGCGGATCTCCTGGGGGAGCCTCGCCCGCTGCTCCTGACACTCCTGGGCCAGCTGGGCCAGCAGCTGTGGGAGAAGGATGGGCATCACAGGCGAGGCCTGGCTGCCTTGCACCCCGTCTGCCCACCTGTTCGCCCATGGCCTCACCTTGGGCTCCTCTTCTGCCAGCTGTTGCAGGACCTGCTGCTGCCCAGCCACAAGACGGTCATGCCGCTGCTTCTGGGCCTCCTCCAGCTACAGGGGTGGGCAAGGGCTCAGCTGAGGGGCCCTGAGGGAGGGGCTAGAGCCTCGAGGCTCTGGCTGGGTATAGAAGTCAGGTGGGCGAGGCCGGGTGCAGTGGCTCACATCTATAATCCCAGCACTTTGGGAGGCCAAGGCGGGCGGATCACCTGAGGTCAGGAGTTCGAGAACAGCCTGGCCAACATGGTGAAACCCCATCTCTACTAAAAATAAAAAAATTAGCCAGGCATGGTGGCGGATGCCTGTAATCCCAGCTACTCGGGAGGCTGAGGCAAGAGAATTGCTTGAACCCAAGAGGTTGCAGTGAGCCAAGATCGCGCCACTGCACTCCAGCCTGGGCGACAGAGTGAGACTCTGTCTCAAAGAAAAAGAAGTCAGGTGGGCGAAGGCTCCCAGGGCAATGTATCAGGGTTGTGAGAGGACTGGGCCCAAGGACGCCAAAGCCAGGGACACTGGTACAGACAGTTGGCTTTGGGTATGATGTGGGTACCCTGGGGCTGTTGGGCACTTGAGAAAGGCCCTAGAAGAACCTTGAGGGCAACGTGGCACCAGGCCAGGCATGGAGATGGGTGTCTGATGAGTGAAGGAAGGGAGGTGGGGTAGGGTGGCCCGGGAGCCTGACTCACCCGACGGATGGAGTTGACTGACTCAGTGATGTGCCGACGGTTAATCTCCGTCAGTTCCCTGCACGGGAGCAACGCAGGATGGCTCGGGGCCCAGACACCTGCCCTGCCTCCCCAGTACCCAGATGGCCCCCGGTCCCGGTGCCCTTACGCCTCCTTCTTATGCTTGTCCCTCATCTTGGCCTCCGAGATGCTGTTATGGCGCTTTCTGTCCAGGATCTTCTGCAGCTCCTTCTTCTCCCTGGAGAAGCCGGCAGGGGAAGAGGAGGGGTCAGCGGCAGAAGCACAGACTCTGCCCTCCTTCTGGTACTAGAAGTCCCCAGCCCTTCCCATAGACAATCCTCGGCTTTCACCTCTCGTTCATCTCTTTCAGCCTCTTGAACTGAGTTGTGTTTGCATCAAGGACGACCTCCCTGAGCCGCTGCAGAGCCTGTGGACACAGGGAGCTGACAGGTGATGCCGGGCTGACGACGGGTCTATCCAGCAGGCTTTCCCTGGCCACTGCAGGCCCCCTACCTGTCTCAGGTGTTCCAGCCTCCGCTGGGCCTCTGCGTCCACCTGGGCCTCCCGCAGCTCCAGCAGGCTCTGCACCTGTCTGTTCTGGAACTCCTGATACCGCTTTGCCTCGTCCTCCCCCTCCTTCGTGTCCTCCACATCAGCGGCCCCACCTCTGCGAGGAGAACCCCTCTGGGTGATGCCTGGGCCCGTCACATGGACTGGGATGGGGAGGGTGTGTAGGGGGGCACATCCTGGCAAGCGATGGCAGACACCATCCCATGGGGCCAGGTCTGTTATGCAAACCAGGAGGCCTGTTAGCTCCACCCAAGTGATGGGAGCCTGTTTGGGCAACATGCTCCTCATGGACTTCAAAAGAGATGTCACTCCCTGGGGGACACAGGGACGCCTGGTGTGGAAAGCCTCCTCCATCCTTGCACTGAACCCTCCTCCCTGGGGGTCAAGGAGCAGCTCTTGCCATCTCTCCATGCCCACCGACCCCCATGTTCACATCAGCACACCCAGCACACATAGCACACAGGCGGCCCAGACACTCACAGGGCACCTGGCCGCAGCCGGCACCTGCCCTCAGCCTGTGCCTGAGCCAGGCCATCCAGCAGGCGGCGGGTGAGGGTGACTGCCTTCCGCTGATGCTTCTTGCGCAGCTCCCGCAGGTCTCGCTCTTGCCGGCTCCGGAGCTTGACCAGAGCCTTGTGACCTCGGAGCTCATCCAGCGGGGTGGGGGCCACCTCTGGGAGCGGCAGAGCAAAGGTGGGCGGGGGGTGGGGGAACCTGCAAGGCAGCCCCCTGCCTCCAGGTACCCCGCCCCCTACCTGAGAGGATGCTGGCGATGAGATCATCACGCTGCCCTGGGGAGCAGAGGCCCTGTGAGGAGCTGGAGGACAGGGTGGGGGGTGCCTCCCTGCAGCCCACCCCCGACCCAGGCCACTCCTTACCTGGGCTGCTGAGGGAGGTGCTGGCAGGGGAGGTGGTGGGGCCAGGGGGCCGGCGGGGGGAGGCATCCAGTGGGCTGGGGGTGGGGTTTGAGGACGGCTGAGACCCCAGCTGCTGAGACTGGGTGTCCTGGCACGTCTCTTGGCCAGCCTGAGCCTATAGGGAGAAAGGAGAATGCTCTTTTCAGAAATGCTGTTCCCTCCAGACCCTTCTGTCCTCTACCACCTCCTGGGTCCCCTAGCACCCCTGTCAGCCTCCCTTAGTCCAAGCCACTGCTGGACTGCTCTGTAACAGGAGGCTGTCTGCATGAGAAGAGCTATAAATCAAGCCTTTCTAAACCCCTTTTCCACATGGGCTGTGGGGAAGATAACATAATGCCAGCCCACTGCATGTGCTCAGTAACTCCCAGATTGTTCTGGAAAGGCCTGGCCCAGCCCCAAGCCTCCTCTCCTCCCCTGCCTGTGTCCCCCAGCCTTGCCTACAGTCGCTCATTTTCCTTGCTGCTGAGCTCCTGATTAAATCAACAGAGGACTCAACCGCAGAGTGGGCACCAGCCTCTCCGCTAACAGCTCCAGGCAGCCCTAATTGCAGTCATCTCTCCCCGCCCGCCTGCCGCAGGCCCTGGGGGGACTGGATCTGGAAGCGCAGGTGAACCTCCGTGCCTGACCCCTCCCCACGGAAGCCACTGCCCTCCTCATGACTCCCAGGACACCACGTCTGAACAGCTTCTGTGGCTTCGCACTGCCCTGATGAAGTGGCTGAGACCCCTGTACCCCCACTCCAAGCCTACATGGAGCTGGAGGAATTCCAGCCCAGGTGTGACCTGAAGGCCTCCTGAATGCAAATGGGTGGTTTTCATCTCCTCAAAATCCCAGGGCTGCCAAGCCTACTGCGCTAGAGAGACCAGAAGCCCCCTCCTCATGTGGCCACAGCAGTCATGTCCAGCGGCCCCCTGGGTCACAGTGAGCCTGAGCCCTGCCCTGCCCCGGCTCACCTCACTCTCCCCAATGAGGGCGGCCAGCTGCCGGGCCCTCTGGTCCATCAGGCTGACGTGCTTAATGGGGTTGATCAGGGCCTCCGCATAGTCTGGGGGGAGGCAGAAGGCCAAGGTCTCAGAGACAGAGCCCCCAGGCCACCCCCACCCGCCACCTCTGGTCTCAATGAGGAATTCCAGAGCTTGTCCTCAGATCTGTTCCCTACTCAGTTCCCTACTCAGTCGGGGCCATCCAGCTCGGCCACTCCCAGGCCCTGGGGGTGGCCCTTGTCCCTCACACTCCCTGGCCAGGCAGGCCCCGCCCACCCCCAGCTCACCCTGGTGGTCGTCAGGAATGTAGTCCGAGGCTTCGGTGTAGATGAGCAGGGCCGGCAGGCACAGCGGTTGGTTGGCCTCGTTCCGCAGGCAGACGTAGTGGTATCCTGGGTGGTCAGGAAGGCAACGTTGGGTTGCTGGGCCAGGTGGGGGCCCTACCCACTGCCCGCTGTGCTGCCCAGAGCCCACCAAGGCCTCACCGGAGCGGATGGCAGAGACAGGCAGGATCCGGTGCCCTACGAATTTACCCCCCTCCTCAAAGGCTGCAATGCGAAGTGAAGCCAGCGTGGGCAGCACCACCTGTGGGCCAGACTGGAGCTGAGCCACAGGGCTGACCCTGGGCCACTGTGGCTACCAGGCCACAGCTAACCACAGCCATCAAAGCTTAACAAAGCAGACCTTCAGACGAGCTGACCTACTGACCATCAGTCACCATTGCCACTAAGCTGATGGCTGACCCCACTTCCATGTCCTGGCCTAATGGATGACTGCAGCCATCAGGACCCTGAGGCAAGATGACAGGCAGCCAGGCCCCTCCAGGGCCCCCACAGACAGTTCTGGTCATTGCCAGTTTAGAAACGGGAGTGAGTCATGAGCAGGAAACCAAGAACACACATGCCCAGGCTGGGAGCAGAGGCCGCGTCCATGCAGGGCCGTGCGGGGTGCTGAAGAGCGGATATGAGCTTGGGGTTGTGACCTCAGCTCCTGCCTCGGAGACAGGGTAGGCTGTGTCCACTCCTCGCAGGGGACACAAGACGTCTAGCTGACACCCCCCAACCCCCATCTCACCTTCTCACCCTGGTCTCTTACCCTAAGGAGGGCAGGGAGACTGACGCTCGGACAGGCAGGTCCTGGGGGACCCATGGCACCCCCCACTTTCTGATCCCCAGTCGCCAACGGTGTGCCTGGTTCCTGTTCTCCCACCTGAGAGTCGGGGCGGTCTGGGCTGGATCTGCCTGTGCCTGGGCGGGTGCAGGGGCCAGGCTCACCTTGGGGAAGTCGAAGGGCTCTTCGTCCCACACGGGGTTGAACGAGTTCCCCTGAGAGGTCCGGGTGCGGTACTTGCGCCGCGTATCAACAGGGAGGCCAAACATGTCCACCTCCACGTAGATGCCCACCTTCCTGTCGGACAGGAACTGCCCTGAGATCACCTGGGGGTGGGCCAAGGAGGGTGAGGCGGATGCTGAGAGTCCTGCCCCCAGGACACCCCTGGCCTGAGCCGCCCGCAAGCCCCACCTTGACCCGCAAGGCATTGGCCACGATGCCATCCACGATGACCTCAGTGAAGGGGTCGAAGGACTTGTCCGGCCGCCGCATGAACTCCGGCTTGAGCAGGTACCCGCTGCGCCCGTTGTACTCAAAAACGCCCGCGTTGAGCTGCATCGCCACATCTGGGGTGCCACGGGCACGTCGAGCAGGGGCAGGGATCAGGCAGGACGGTGCCATGTGGGGAATGGGAGATCATCAGGTCAGATGGCATCCAAGGTCCAGGGTCAGGGGCGGGCTCAAATGGCATCAGGGTCCGGATCCAGGACAGATCAGACAGGGGAGGGGTCTGGTATCAGCCAAGGGCAGGAGGCGGGGTGAGTCGGGAGCTGGGTTCCCCTGGGATCTGGGATGAGACAGGGTCAGAGGTCCATTCAGGCAAGACCAGCAGGATCGTGGGTCAGAAGTCAGTAAGACTGAGGGTCGGGGTCAAGATGGAGGGGGCCAGGGCTCACCGAGGGTCTGGAAGTTGAGCGCAACAAGCTGGCACCCTACGTTCCAGAAGAGCTGGGGCATGTAGTTGGAGGAGTCCACGCGGGTGCCCTTGGGGTAGATGCGGCTGAGCTGCTGCTTGTTGTATCTGAGATTGGTGGTCAGGGGCCACACAGGTGCCAGGGCCCACCCCATCAGCCTCCACCTCCGGCCTCAGCCAGGTGCTCCTGTGACCCCCACACCCGGCCTCTGTTTCTTAGCCTAGCCATGCCCCCTGAGACTGCCTGGATCTGCCCAAGCCCCAGGCCAGGGTGCAGGAGGGCCGCCGGAGGGCCAGCACCCTGTGCAGGTGGCATATGTGGGGACAGAACACCGGAGCCGGCCTCCGAGCGCCCCACCCTGGCCTGCCCGCCCACAGCACCTTCAAAGGATACTCCACAAACTCCATGGGGCTCTTGGTCAGTTGCTCCATGGCCTTGGTCTCCACAAAGGACGACATCTCGAAGCATTTGTTCCTCTCTTAGGGGTGAGCCAAGAAAGGGCGTCAGACCTGGCAGGGCTGAGCTGGGCAAGCTCCCATGCCTGCCACCCACCCCCACTCACTTCGAGCAGCCTCAAAGGACTTGAACTTGACAGGTTCGATGTAGTTGACAAGCGTGGACATCTCCTCAGTGGCATTCACCTCGCTGCTGGCTGTGCCCTGTGGGCCCCAACCCAGGGTCAGCAGTGCCATTCCCGCCACAGCTGGCCATTCCCTCACCTGCCCCCCATGAAGGAGGTGCTGACCCTCTTCCCAGCACTATATACACACTGCTGGTGGTGCCGACAGTCTTCTCCCCGGGGTCTCACTGATGCGCCCTGGACACCACCCAGCTCAAGCAATTTTCCTGCCTCAGCCTCCCAAGTAGCTGGGATTACAGGCGCCCGCCACCTTGCCCGGCTAATTTATGTATTTTTAGTAGAGATGGGGTTTCACCATGTTGGCCAGGCTGGTCTGGAACCTCCCAACCTCAGGTGACTCGCCCACCTCAGCCTCCCAAAGTGCTGGGATTACAGGCATGAGCCACCTCGCCTGGCCCATATAGGTGTTATAATTATCATTACTTTTACTGAATCATTTGGGAGTAAATTATAGACATCATGACCCTTTACCCATAAATACTTCAGCATATATGGACATTCTCTTCTATAACTCCAATACAATAATTAAATTCAGGAAACAAAACATTAACATATTATCTAATATGTAGTCCATCTTTAAATTTCACTAATTGCTCCAGTAATTGTCTTTATAGCAATGATGTCTTTTTTTTTTTTTTTTTTTTTTGAGATAGTGTCTCCCTTTTTAGCCCACGTTGGAGTGCAATGGTGCAATCTCAGCTCACTGCAACCTCCACCTCCCAGGTTCAAGGGATTCTCATGCCTCAGCCTCCCGAGTAGCTGGGATCACAGGTGTGAGCCACCACGCCCAGCTCAGACTGATTTTTTCTGTACCATTCCTCACAGCTACTCAATGCTCCCCATGACAATGCTCCCCGCTCCTGCACCCCCTGGCCCTGCCCCAGGACCTTTGTACATGCTGTCCCCCTTCCTGAGGTCTCCCTGCCCCACCTCCCTGCCCAGGGTAGACTCCCTATCCTCTGCCAGTTCTGTACCCTAACTCGCACCTCCCAGGCCACATCACCAGCAGAACTGTATGCTTGTTTCCATGCCTGATGACTGAAGAGCCCTCCTCCCACCTTCACTCACACCCACACTGAGCCCCAGGAGGCAGGGGTGATGTCAGTCTTGTTGATGGTCAGACCCAGCCCCCTGGGAGGTAAATAGATGCTACCTCCCCGACCTGCCCACCCTGTGGGCCTGACCTCATCTGTAGTTGGCTTTTTGGGGTCTGTCTGTTCCTCCTCTTCCTCATCTTCCTCCTCATCCTCACGGTCAGCAGGTCCAAGAACATAGGGGCCTCGGTTCAGGCCCTCGTCACCCAGAGACTTCTGAGGCTCCAGGCTGGGCTTCTCAAGCCCTACCTCCTCCCCATTGCTCAGGCCTGGGCAGCTGTCAGAGCTGGGAGACCCTGCAGAGGACAGGGCCACAGGGTGAGGGGTCAGGACCACACAGCTGCTTAGGAAGTCTGGAGGGGTTTTTCCCAGTGTGTGCCGAGGTGACTCAGTGGGGAATTCAAGGGGTACTCTCAGGGCAGTGTGGCTTGGGGAGAGGCCAAGAGGTCGAGGTCAGATGGTATTAACCCAGTATGGGTTGAGAGGGGTCATAGGTCAAAGGTAAAGGTCTGCAGTGATATTCAGCAGGGAGGCAGATAGGGTGGTTCAGTGGGGTGAGAAGTCAGGAAGTAGCATACCACAGCCCTAATAGCGGGGTAAGGGATGACATAGAGAGGTTACAGGTCAGGGGTAAGTCAGAGCCATGTCTAAGGAGGGGGCATAGTGAGGTGAACAGTCAGGGGTGAGAGGTCAGAGGTCAGCTGAAATGATAACCAACTGGGCAGGTGAACTCAATGCGGGCTTAGGGGTCTGAGGTCACACCCAGTGTGGGATGTGGTTTACTGAGGTCAGAGGTCAGCCTTCAGAGCCATCACCGGGTTGTGGGAAGGCTCTGAGAGGTGAGAGGCTGAGGTTGGGAGTCAGGAGTTGGGGTGCAGCTGGGTGAGACGTGCACCTGAGGTCAGGGGTCAGAGGCCCCACACCAGCCGACAGGTGGTGAGGAGACAGGCCGGTTGTGGGAACAGGCGCACAGCGAGGCAGGAGGGTGGGCTGGGGGTCTGGGATGAAGTGTCACGGCGCCTGGAGCATGAGGCCAGAGGCTAGGGTCAAGTCAGGGTGGCGGGCCGGGCTGGGGCCTACCCAGCTGCGGGGAGGAGGGCTCGGTGGCCGCGGAGCTCTCGCTCAGGGCAGAATTGCTCTGCTCCAGGGGCCGCTTGCGCCCGGCGCTGTCTGGGCCACCTGCGCTGGGTCGGTGCCGCTTCTTGTTCTTCACCAGGATACGGCCCATCAGGTCCTGGGGGCTGGGCAGGGGAACGCCTGGGGCCAGCTGGGCAGGCATGGACGAGTCAGGGCCCTGGACCGGGTCCGCAGCACCCTGGCCCCCATGCCACCCCCCTCGCTCCGAGCTCCCGTACCGGGTACTTGTCCAGAGGCTCGATGAGTAGCGCGTCTCCAAAGATGGAGCGGCAGTACTCAGCCATCTTTGCCTGTTGCTTTGCCCTGCGGAACCGAGGTCAGAGGTCAGAGATCCCTCCCCCAGAGAGGAAGCTGAGGTCTACGGGACATGTCAGTGGCCGTTCGCAGGGTTGGAGGTCCCTGAGCAGTCCAACAGCACTGAAGCTGGAAGACTGTCCCCCGGTCCATGGGGTTTCATGCCAGGGGCTCACTCACGAGTCCACATGGTTCTCGAAGGAGAGGATGACGGGGTAGGGCGAGGTCTTGAAGGCAGTCTCGGCAATGGCCTCCAGCACGTCGCGCAGAGGCACCTCTGTGGTCATGGTGAAGCCGTGGGTAATGAAGGGTTCCTCCTCAGGCGGCCGTCCCTTCCACACGTCCAGCTCCACGCAGCGGCAGCCCCATAGTAGTGCCTGGCGGTACATCTCCACCGACGAGGTCCCAGCCAGCTGCCCCGCTGGGGCGGCGAGGCTCTGTCACCGAGGCCGCCCACCAGCCCAGCTCCTCACCACCCCGGCCCCACCTGGAACCAGGACATGCTGGATTTGCAGAGGGCTCTCCATCTCTCAGATGGATACCCACCACCTGTCCATCCCACCAGCGTGAGCTGGGGGGAGTCATCCCTGAGACTCACTATAGCTCCCCACTGCCTCAACAATCCCTCCCTCTCCTCACTCCCTCCACCCACCTCAGCCCTGGCACAGCTCACACCACCTCCTGTGTGGAAGACTCCAGCCCTCCCTGCCTCCAATCCAATCTCTTTTTTTTTTTTTTTTGAGACGGAACCTCGCTCTGTCACCCAGGCTGGAGTGCAGTGGCACAACCTCGGTTCACTGCAACCTCCGCCTCCCTGGTTCAAGCGATTCTCCTGCCTCAGCCTCCCGAGTAGCTGGGATTACAGTTGCCCACCACCATGCCTGGCTAATTTTTGTATTTTTAGTAGAGATGGGGTTTCACCATGTTGGCCAGGCTGGTCTCGAACTCCTGACCTCAGGTGATCCACACGCCTCAGCCTTTCAAAGTTCTGGGATTACAGGTGTGAACCACTGTGCCTGGCCTCAATCCAATCTCTATAGAGCACCTGGCATCATCCTTCTAAAAACATATCATATCAGGTCACATCACCTCTTCTGCTTCACCCTCCAAAAAGCCTCTTCCTCACACCCAGGATGAATCCAAGTGCCTCTAGGCCCCTGGGCTTAGCCCTGCCTTGCTCTCCCTCTCTTAGCAGGCACCTATCTCCAGCACTCTGCACCCTGCCGCACCAGCTTCCTTTCTGCTTTTTTATTATTTATTTAATTTTTTTTTTTAGAAAAGGGTCTCTCACTCTGTCACCCAGGCTGGAGTGCAGTGGTGCAATCACAGCTTACTCCTGCCTCAACCTTCCCAGAACCAAGCGATACTCCCACCTCACCCTCCCAAGCAGCTAGGACCACAGGCATGCGCCACTATGCCCAGCTAATTTTTTAAAAATTATTTGTAGAGATGGGGTCATGCTATGTTGCCCAGACTGGTCTCAAAACGTGGGCTCAAGTAATCTGCCTGCTTCAGCCTCCCAAAGTTCTGGGATTACAGGCATGAGTCACCGCACCCAACCCCCTTCCAGCCTCTTAAAAGCACCCTGCAGGCTGGGCGAGGTGGCTCATGCCTATAATCCCAGCACTTTGGGAGGGCGAGGCAGGCGGATCACCTGAGGTTGAGAGTTTGAGACCAGCCTGACCAACATGGAGAAACCCCATCTCTACTAAAAATACAAAATTAGCCGGGCGTGGTGGCGAATGCCTGTAATCCCAGCTACTTGGGAGGCTGAGGCAGGAGAATCGCTTGAACCTGGGAGGCAGAGGTTGCGCTGAGCCTAGATCGTGCCATTGCACTCCAGCCTGGGCAACAAGAGCGAAACTCTGTCTCAAAAAAAAAAAAAAAAAAAAAAAAGGACCCTGAAGTCTCTCCTGCTGCAGGCCCTAACACAAGCTGTTCCAGCCCTTCCCTGGGAAAGCCACCATGAGGCCCCACTGCTCAGGGCTGGCTGCCTGTTCCCTGCCTGCATCCCCAGCACTGGCCAATGAATGAGCAAATGGGCCAAAAGGACTGTGCCCCAGGAGGAGTGGGGCTGTGCAAGGGTCACAGGGCAGAGGTCACGGGTGCCACCCTTGCTCCCCACTCACCAGTGAGATAGGTGTTATGCGAGGAGTTGATGAAGTAGGCACTCAGTGGCTGGGTCATGTCCGTGCTCAGATCCAGGGCTTCCAGGGGCAGGATGCCATTCTCCTCGCCTCCCAGGTAGCGGCTAAAGCCCTCCATGGACATCTGGTCTGGGGTGGGAGAGGATCAGCAGGGTCAGCTGGGGTCCCACCTGCCCCCACCCACCTGCACCCCAGCCAGCTCACCTCGCTCCAGAAACTGCTGGTTGGGCTCATACTTTTCGATGAGCAGCCGGGCCTGGGAGGGCCGCAGGGGCGGGTACAGCACTTCGTTGAGTCTCGGGTCGCGTTGCTTCTGGTTGATGAAGTCCATGAGCTGCTCCAGCGTCAGGTATGGCTTGCCCTTGGCGCCTCTGGAGGGGACAGGAAGCTGGGTCAGGATGGAGCCTGGCAGGGCTCCCACCCCGTCGCCAAGCCCTTGCCCTGGGCAAGGGAGTCAGAAGGCCTGCCCCTGGATCTGGCACCCAGTGAGTGGGACTCTGGGTGAGTCATGGCCAACCTCTGGGCCTCAGTTTCCCCCTTTACTCTCCTGACTACTCAGGATTGTCAAGGCAGCAGACTAGTGGGCACCAGCAATGGCCAGGGCTTAGGAGCTGCCAAGTGGTCAGCCCACCACCCCTCGCTTCCAGACCTCACAACACACCTGAGGCTTGGACCCCATTGCAGAGTGGGCTGATTAAACCAACCCTGGCACAGGGTTAGCCCAGAGCTGCCTGTAACTGAGGGGCAGAAACGGCGGGTCTGAGTACAGGAACATCACCGACAGGTTCTCCCTGGGCACCCCTCCGCCCCCTGGCGCTCCAGGACCCGGCCCACCAGTTTCCCCTCTCCCCATTGAGCTAGAGGCACGCTAAGCAGAAGCTAAACACAGAGCACAGGGGTTGTGAGGCAGGCCGG
Organism: Homo sapiens; assembly: GCF_000001405.40. Taxonomy (NCBI): domain Eukaryota; kingdom Metazoa; phylum Chordata; class Mammalia; order Primates; family Hominidae; genus Homo; species Homo sapiens. The sequence continues at coordinate 64,255,831 of NC_000011.10, read as the reverse complement.
GCCCACTCACATCTCCAGCAGGATCTTGTCAATGTCCGGCCGCAGACACAGCTTGTTCAGGAACCGCTCAAAGATTTCCAAGGAAAACTCATCAGGCCGGATGGACTCACTCTGGAGGTCGAGGAGTGTGGGGTGAGAAGCCAGGGGCGGGCAGCCCCGTAAGGGTGGGTGCCCACCGTGACACCCCACCCCGCCCCTGTCCCCACCCCACACACCCGGTTGAATTTGAGGCCACAGGATTCCAGCGCAGTCTCCACCCGCTTCTTGTCTGCTGAGAACATCTTCAGGATGCTGATGCGGGCAGGAGGGGTTCAGGGTCAGTGGAGGACAAAGGTCACCAAGGTCAGGGCAGGAGGAAGGTGCTGGGGGAAGGGGTGCTCACTTCTTGACGGGGATCCGACCATCCTGGTTCACCTGCAGCTTCAGCTTCGTGTATCTGGGAAGGCAGATGAAGAGGTCACACCCTGAAAACGGCCACGTGAACCCCCCGGCTCCCCCTCGGGTGGCCTGGGGCTCACGCTTTGCGCAGGAAGGTGTTCCGGGAGGCGTTCTGAGCCAGGATGTTCATAGCCAGCTTGAATAGCTCCTCAGACCAGACCTGGGGGGCCAGTATACACGGGGAGGCGGTGAGTGGGGGACACAGGGGCTGCCCAGCCACAACCCAGGTCCACAACTGCCTCTGGTACACAGTAGGTCACAGAGCAGCCTAGAACACAGCAGGTGTTCGGTAAGTGACGGCCGACTCACAGAATAAGACAGTGACTCCCCCTTCGTCCCCTTGGTGCCAGCCCACCTTGGCTGTGTCATCCTGCACGGCCATGAAGTTCAAGAACACTGTGTTCACTGGGTCTGGCCCAGACACCACCGTCATCAGCTTCTCCTCCAGCCGGGCATCGGGACCCCCAAAGCCCAGAACTTCCCGGATCTTGGGGTCCTGAGTAGGTGACAGCGAAGGGTGAAGAGGGGGCTCCCGCACAGCCTCGCTGTGGTCTTCACTCCCAGGCTCATCACTCACCTTGGGCAGGCGGGCGTACCGGCCTGTCCGTGTGTCCCTGATGGAACTGATGTCCAGTGTGTCCACCTCCTGGGGGGAACCAGATGCCAGGCTGAGTATGAGAGGCTGCAGGGCAATAGCCAGGAGCTTCCAAGCTCTCTACCCAGGCCAGGGAATGGCCAGCCCCTGGCTATAGCCCCAGCCTCAGCTCCTGCCCTGAGCACTTCCTGTCTGGGCAGCAGTGGGAGAGGTCAGCCTGCAGCCGGGCCCCACCCCCACGGGCAGGGCAGGGGTCTGGGACAGGGGTCCTTGGCCTGAGCGAGCTGCACCAGCGCCCACCCTCACCATGTTGGGGCCCGTCCAGTACAAGAAGAAGCCATTGGGGTCCACACGCAGGGTCACCAGGTTCCGACTGGAGGTCTCCTGAGGACAGCACAGGGCAGCAGGGGTCAGGAAGTGAGGGCTGTGGTGCAGGCCTGGCCCCTGGGGCCCTCCCATCATGCACCCCAGAGTTCCTGCCCATGAGCTAAGACGAAACCTCATCCAGTCCACAGGTCCTGTGTGGCTGCCTGTGGCCCTCAGAACAAAGCCAAGGTCCTAGGTGTGACATTTAGTGTCACACCTACCTCAAAGCCTCTTCCCAGCCTCACCTCCCTCTGGCCCTAGGATTCTACCTGACCTTTCCCAGGGCTTTGTCTCATGTTCCCTTTGCCAGGACACCCTGCCCTTCCTTCTCCACCCGTGAAATCTGACCCACCCCCTGGAAGAGGTCCCCAGCCCCCATCCTGGGCTCAGTTTCCCCAGAAGTGCTGAGAGCTCTGTGACAGTGGCAGCCCCCCAATCCACCCCACTGCAGAATGTTTAAGGCATGAAAGTGAGAAGTCTGACTCCCACTGCCCTTCTGCATCCCTTGGGACATCACGATAGCCCTGTGGTCTGCCTCAAAGCCCATTATCCACCTTACCACATCTGCCGGGGTCCTCACAGCCTCAAAGCTCATCCCCATCTCGTAGAAGAACAGTCCCCCTAGAAGGGGACTTGCCCTACTCTCAGGACTGGGCAGTGAGCTCTTCCTCCCTCAAACAGCCGTGCAGCTGGCAGGGGGCAGGGAAGTGCATGCCAGCCCCATTTTCTAAGAAGGGCCCGGTCCCTGGCACACTACCAGGGCCACCCTGTGTGACTCAGGACCAGCAGCCAGAGGGGCTGTCCTCCAGGGCTTAGACTCGGCCAGGGCCAGAGTGAACAAGTGGCTACAGGTAGAACCCTCCTATTCCAGGTTCTTCCAGACAGAAAAGGACCCCACCTCATGTTGGGTGCCACCCCCAAAATGCATCTCAGTGTCTGGTGGACAATACTATTATTATCAATACATCTCATATACGCACACCGCCCCTACTGCGCACCAGGTACAGTTCTATGCACCTAGCATCTTCGAGCACACAAAGGCCTCCTAACCAGCCTAAGAGGCATGTGCTGTTGTCACTCCCATTTTACAGATGAGGACACTGAGTTACAGGGACACTTCGTAGCCTGCCCGAGATCACTGGAGCCAGGACCTGCTTGCAGGCAGTGTGGTTGCAGCGTCCTGTGACCTGGGAAGCAGGGAGCGGAGACTTCTGCCAGGCTCCCGGCTCCTGGCCTCAGCCACACCCCATTGTGGGGCCTGGGATAACTCTCTGCTTTCCAGACCTCAGTTTCCTCTTCTGGAGAATGGGGATTGCACCAGCCCCACCCATGGCAGGCTTTGCTTACAAAAGATGGGCGTTCATCTGGGAACAGAAGGCCCCCAAAATTTGGGGATGCATGGGCCTCCCCACTTCAGTGTGCTGACACCCAGCCCCAGCACTTCTCCGGATTCCCAACCCTACCCTGGGCCTGAGGCCCCCGAATGGTGTGCAGAGCGGGGAGTCTATGGGTACTGCCCCTAGTGTTTCCCTCCCACCTCTCCCCAGGGGTCTGGACCTCAAAGGCAGCCCAGGTCCCCTGCTCTCCTGCCCCAAGCCTCCGTCAGCACCCCCCACCCCACCCCCAGGGCCCTCTCCCTGTTCCCACTTCCTTATTTGGGTTTATCACAGTGGAATGAAAAGAAGAAACTTTTCCCTTCAGGCCAGCCTGGGGGGAGGGGTCTCCCCCGGCCCCTGGGGCCCCCAGGCACCCCACCTCGCACACCTGCCGCTTCAGGCCACGCCCCCATCTCCTCCCCCCAGCTCCCACGCCTACCCCGGGGCCCCACCCAGCCGGAAAAGAGCCCAGAGTCTTCCAGGCCCGTGGCCTGACTGGGAAGGAGCTGCGAGGAAGCTCAGGCCGGCCGGGTGGAGGCCCTAGGGAAGGAAGGGCCCAGGGGGCAGAAGAGGATGCACCCAGGATGGGGATGGGCAGCCGAAGGTGGGGACACAGGCATTTGGGAAGCACCAGGGGCAGGACAGGGAAAGGGGGGCCAGGATGTATTGGGGTTCAAGGTCCCAAGCCTAAGGAGTGGGGAGCAAAGTTCCCAGGGGTGGAGGAACTTGGGGGGCAAAGTCTCCACTAGGGGGTGACTGGGTGCTCCCATCTGAACAGGGAGCTGGGCTGGGATCCAGAAGCAGGGCGAAGGGGTGCCAACCAGAACAGGGGGAAAAATGATGAATGGACGAGGACTGTTCAGGCAGGGCACCGGGGAGAGTAGGGGCGCCCTGGCACACACCCAGAATGAGGATGCCCCCAGCCAGCCTGGAAGTCAGGGTCCTGCAGCCGGGGAGTCTAGTGCTGGGCAGGGGTCTGGGCACCAGGCCAGGATCGGGGAACGAGAATTAGTCTGGCAGGGAGCGGTGGGAAGAACGAATGGAAAACGGGGGGACGGGGTTTATTGGGGTTCAAAGTCTCTGCGCCAAGGAGTGGAGGCAAATTTTCCAGAGCTGAGGGACTGGGAGTTGGGGGGACAAAGTCTTCATTACGGAGACGATCGGGGACTTAAGTTTCCGGGGCGCCGCCAGACTGGGATGAGGGTGGCGCCACGGGCAGGCGAGGCTGGGGTGGGGGTCCCCAGCGTCTGGTCGAGCTTGACTGAAAGAGTCCCGGGATTTGGGCGGAGCAGGGGCCCGCGCGCTTACCTCGTCCCATTTGATGAACTTACTCCCGCGCCGCAGGGTCTCCACCACGGTGGGCGGCTCCAACTGCAGCGCGTGGACGCCGGGCTGGGCGCCCGCCATGGCCCGGCCAGGGGCGGGTCGGGGACCCACGGAGCCCTGACGGGGACCGACGGCGCCGCTGCTCCCACCGCGCGGCCCGCTCCGGCCCCGCGGCGTCAGTGCCCGCCCGCCCGCCAGTCTGTCCCGGACCGACCAGAGCCTCGGCGGGGCCCGGGCGGGGCGGGGACGGGGCGGGGCCTCCCGGGCCCCGCCCCCTCCCACCGCGTCGGCTCCCCCTGGCGGCCGGGGCGGCGACTGCAGCCGGAGCGGGGATTGGGGCAGGGGCACGCGGACGGGTCGGGGGCTTTGCTGCGGGGCTCAGCAGAACCTGATTCTTCAGGCCTGTGGTGGAAGGAGGGCGCTGGGGGCCGAAGTGGCTGTTGGGGAGCAGCTGGAGGGACTGGGTGTAGAGGGCGCTGCTTAAGGCGGTCCGGGATCAGCCCACTGAGGTTTCCGAGCGACTAGGGCTGCAGTACCAGCGGAGGGCTAGACTTGGGCCGGGGGGTCGCTGCACAGCCCTGTCGCCCACCCTCTTCTGCCGCACTTAGCTGAATGCAGGAAAAGCTTCTTCCGCCCCCCTCTGCCCTGGCTTCGCCTCACCCACTCTTATGCCGCGCGGTCCCCCCTCCCTGGGAGCACTTAGCCGGCTAATGGACCTCCCGCCGGCAGGCACCCCTCCCCCGTCCCTAGCCCAGGGAGGCCGGGCGCCTGCCACCTCCTTTAAGGACCCAAGCATCCTGGTCTTCGAGAGTGAGCCCTAGAACAGCCCCCTTCTTGTTGCTGCAGACTCCCATGACTGGAACCTGACTGTGAGCCTCTTGGCTGGGAACCGCGGGGGGAACGCTGTTGTCTGCCCAGAGGGGTCAGAAGCTTTGTGGATGTCCCCAGACAGGAGGGTTGAGGAGGGGCTCTGCAGTGCCTGGCCCACAGCAGGTGCCCTGAAATCTGCGTTCCAGAGATGGGAGCGGGGAAGGCGCATGGGCAATGGGATGGGTGGGGGCTGCAGCCCCTCCCGCAGGGCTTAGCTGGTGGGGGGGGTTCCTGCCTGGGGGCCCCTGTGGGAGCCCCCCCAATACAGAGGCAGTAACAGCAGCAGGTTTAAAGTAGAACTCATCCAGAGGGGCCAGCCAAGTCACCTAGAAACCCAGAAAGAGATGCAGCTGGCTCTGGGGGAGGAGGGGTCAGCAAAGGAGGAGCTCCCCTGCAGGCCCCTTTGCCCCAGGCTCTGAGACCTCCACAAGGAGCCCTGCCTGGCCCTGGCCTTCCTCCACACCCCGCCAAGTTCTCCATCAACTCTAACCTGGCGGATCTCCTCGCTCTCAGCCCTGGCCCTGTGGGGTGTGATTATGATCTCCACTTGAGGCCCAGAGAGGGGAAGGGACTTGCCCAAGGTCACACAGCTTCTTAGGAGGATTTCAACCCTCCGACTTCCTGAGGCCCAGGAGCCTCTAGACCTCATTGGGAAAACAGAACCATGCAAGGTGGAGCTTGGCCTCTGCCCTCACAGGCTGGAGTTCAAATCCGGCTCTTGCTAGCAGCCTCTTGCTAGTGGCAGAACCTAGTCTCTCTAGGTGCCTCAGTCACCTTGTCCAGAACCTAAAGGTTGTTGTATACATAAGCAAATGGGTGGGAGATGCCAAATTGACATGAGTAGCTGGAAGCTGTGGGTATACCAGGGAGGGAGGAAAGGGCATAGGTCAGCTCTGGGGCAGTGGAACCTCCAGCTTGTGCCAGGGCTAGCAAAGCCTGGAGCCAAGGCCTGAGCTTAGGGGATCTGAGCTGTGGGCCCTAGGCCTTGTGCAAGCGTACTTTAGAGAAGCATTGGGCAGCAGCTCCTTGTGGAAAAAAACAGGATGGGCACCTGTTTCCTGGGCTTAAGCCTCTCTCCTCCCCCAACCCTGTGTCTCTGGAGGCCAGGGCAGCCCCCATTACAGGGCTCCTTCCTTCCCAGACACTTTCTTCCATCCTTGGTAATGGTAATAGGGTATCTCAGCAGGCAGTAATGGTGAAGGCAGGCAGCCTTTCCGGACTCTACCCTTGATTGAAGGAGCGGTCTTGACCCACAGGACCCTCCCCAGAGCCTCTGCTTCAAGGATGCACTCTAATGGAGGGGGGCTGGGGCCCTGGAAGGGGTAGGGCTGGGGAGGCCACAGACTGAGGCTAGAAGGAGGAGGAGCAGTGGTACACTCCAGTCCCAGTAGGGCTCAGGCAGGAGGGCCAGGGCTGGGCATGGGCCCCCAACCACAGGAGGTCAGGACCATAAGCCCCCTGAAGAGGCTCTGAGCAGGTAAGTGACTTGCATACAGCCTCTCAGCCCATGGGGCAGAGCCAGGATTTGAACCCAGTATTTCTACTCCAAGGCTAAGGTTCTGTGGCCCAGCTTCCAAGAAGGTGGCAGGCCAGCATGCCCACCTGCACCAAGTGGTCTCGGGTGGATAGCCATGGGAACTGGACAGGAATCTGGGTGTGCCTGGGCATGGCGCGGTGGGGGGAAGAGGGAGAGTCAGAAAGAATGCCTGACCTGTGGACACGGACATGGCTGGAGACCTTCACACCAACCCTGAGGGAGGACAGACAGAAAGGTCAGGGCTCAGGGTCACAGCATCTTGGGGGCAGAGCTAGGGCTGGGGGTCTTCATGGCCTGCAGGCCCCACTTCCACAGAAGCTGTTGGGCATTAGGGGCTGTTTGAGGGTCTTCCCCCTTTAATCTGTGTGCACCCTCAAGGTACAAACAATGCTTGGGTTCAGAGGGAGCTGGCCTGGCCTGGTGGGGTGTGGTGGGGAATTTGGACTGGGGTAAAGTGATCCTCCTATCAGGCCAGGCTTAGGGCAGGAGGCCAGGCCACGGATAGGGCTCCCGGTGGAGAGGGTGGATCCTACCTAATCCGCAAGAGCGAGGGTCAGCCCTTCCTCGGCACCCAGACTGGCTGAAGGGAGGCTGAGGCCGGAGGAGGGGCACGGGAAGGGGAGGGGTCAGCTCACTCTACCCTTCCCTGAACTGAGCCCTGTGAGCCCATTGCCTTCACAATGCCCAGCCTCTGTCTTCTCTTGGTCTCTTCTCTCTGACTATAGGGCAAAGGAGGAGCCCAACATCCTGGGTTGGAGTTTGGATGCAGCCCCAGCTGTGTGACCCCGGGGCCAATCCCAATCCATCTCTGAACCCCACCCGCTGCAGAGGGCTTCCCCCCACAACATCCAAAGAGTGTCTTTGAGGGGCTGGAGCAGAAACATTGCCTCTCAGATCCAAGACCCTGTTTGGGGTGGCACAAGGTGAGCCTGCCTTCCACAGAAACATCCCCCGGGAGCTGCGCAGCCTTATTGGGTGGTGTCTACAGGGTAGTGAGGAGGTTGAGTAGAGACTTCGTGTCAGGGGGTTTGAGCCACACAGCCTGGGTTCAAAGTCTCGTCTCCCGTTTTATCTAGCAGTGCGACTTAATTAACCTCTGTGGTGTAGTAATTGAACTTTCCACGAATTTTCCTATTTAATCTTTGTTACAGCCTTCTGAGGAAATGCAGGCACAGAGGAAGACATTCATTCTTTCAAAATCATTTGTTCAACCAATGCAGCGGCCTACTACGAGTGTGACATAGTTCTAGGTGCTGGAGTTCAGCGGGAGCCAGGTAATTTGCCTAATAGCAGTGGATTTGAAGACTGTTCAAGCCTGGTAGCACCAGCAGACCAGGTCGGCGCAGGCCTCAGCCCCGTGGCACTCACAATCTAGAAGTGGGAGACAGACAATACACGAATGAATGAGACCATTTAAAGATGCAGAAAATAAAATAGAGGGAGGGAATGGGATGCGCCGTCGGCTTATTGGAGGTGGGCCAGGGCTATGTGAAGGACCGAGGAGCCGCAGGGCGGGGGTGCAGGAGCCCCGGCACGGCGCCCTCTCTGCGGAGCCGACTGGGCGGCGGTCCCGACGCACGCTCCTAGGGTCAGCCGCAATTACCGCCTTTATTATTATAAGTCGCGGCCCCCGCACTGCCCAGCTCTTTGCGCCTTAGTTTCCCCCTCTGTGCGCACTCGGGTCGCGAGGCGCAGAGGACGCCCCAAACAACTTTGCGCTTCCCGGCCTGGCCGCAGGGCGGGGGAGGGGCGGCGCCGGGAGCGGACTCCGTTTCCCACAAGCCCGAGCCTCGCGCCATCTTGCCGGTGGGCGGTGGCTGCCCGGGGTTGGCCGTTTGGGCCGGCCGGGTGCCACCGCTCACCCCCAGCCCCGGCTTCTTCCGCTGGGGGCGTGGGACCTGCTACTCGGAGAGTCTAGGGACCCGGACAGCTCCTGCCCGCCTTCTCCACTCTTCCTTTCCCAGGAGCCCAGTCCACGTGTCGGTCCGTGCGGAGGAGCCCGTTCGCTCCTCGCTGGCCGAGGGCTGGAGGACCTGGACATCGGGGACCGCAGCGTCTCCTCACCAGACTCCCTGTCTGCACACGATGTCCACTCCCCTGCATTCTCAGATAGCCCCTATTCTCAGATGGCCTCAATGAGGACAGAATGAGGAAGGGTCCAATGAAGACTAGGGTCCTGGCGTGAGCGCAAATCGTCGTCCTGAGCGCTTAGAACGCCTGGGTTTGGGACTGGAAGGTTGCGTTTGGGGAGTACGGACAGCTAGGCCACCCCCTGCCGAATAGACCCTCCCCTACCCCTGCCCGGGGGCGGAGTAGGGGAGAGGGGCCTGTAGAGGGGCTGGCCCTTTAAGGGGGTGTGGTCGGGGGGCGGAGGAAGAGCGAGACAGAGAAAGCGCTTCGGCGGCTGCAGCTCGGGCGGCGGCCGCGGGGGACAAAGGGCGGGCGGATCGGCGGGGAGGGGGCGGGGCGCGGCCAGGCCAAGCCCGGGGGCTCCGCATGCTGCAGCTGCCCCCGGGCGCCCCCGCCGCCGCCCTCGCCGCGGAGCCGCGCGGAGCGGAGCCGGCGAGCTAACCCGAGCCAGCCGGCGGGCGTCCCGGAGGCGGTGGCGCAGGGAGGGGCCCGACGCTCGCACGTGGCCCCGGCGGCCGCCATGGCGGACAGCGGCACCGCGGGGGGCGCGGCGTTGGCGGCCCCGGCCCCCGGGCCGGGCAGTGGCGGCCCAGGACCACGCGTCTACTTTCAGAGCCCCCCCGGGGCCGCAGGAGAGGGCCCGGGCGGGGCGGACGATGAGGGCCCAGTGAGGCGCCAAGGGAAGGTCACCGTCAAGTATGACCGCAAGGAGCTACGGAAGCGCCTCAACCTAGAGGAGTGGATCCTGGAGCAGCTCACGCGCCTCTACGACTGCCAGGTGTGTTCCCACCCCGCGCCGACACCCCAAAATCGGTCTCGCGCCGGTCCGCCTGGCAGCTCCACTGTGAGCTCGCCTGTCACTGGAGTCAAAGGGCGCTTTGCTTCCCCGCGCGCTCCCCTCCCCTCTGCACTCCCGCCCCCAATATATACTCTTTCTTGCCTGACCTAAGTCACTTCTGCCTTCTCCGTTGCCTCGGACCCTGCCCCCCATCATGCCACTCCCCAGGTCAAGCCTAGTGTCCTCCAGACGCCTCAAGGGGTAGCCTGAGCCTTGGGCAAGAGGCAAGGGGGCTATCCTGGGCTGGCAGCGGCAGGAGGTCTCACCGCCTGGTGCCCGCTGGGTTAGACTGTGGTTACAAGGTGCTGGTCTGGTAGGACGGCTGCGGCTGGGCTGTTCTGTGGGCTAGCCTGGAGCTCCATCTTGGCGTGCGTGCAGGCTAGCCCGCTTTCTGGGCTCTGCTTCTCCACCCCCATGACTCCCTGGTTGTTCAGACGGTGACTCAGGCCCCGGGGGGCAGGGTGGAGGAGTGGGTTTGCCCGGTGCTGCCTGCCTACCCTAGCCCAGCCCTGGAATGCAGCTGACTACAAACAGGATAGGGGCTTCCTGGGGAGGGTGTGGCAGGGTGGTGGGCATCCCCTCCCTCACCAAAGCATGGGCTCTTTGTTTCCTCTTTGCCAGGCCTGGGTCCTTCCCAGTGACCCCTCAGCCTTCACTTCCTCCTCACTCCCGGGGAGCTGTGACAGGTGTTTGGGGGAGGGGAGGGGGGTATGATAAGCTGGGACAGCTGCACCCACCGGTGCTCTGGTGAGATGGGGGGCCCGGATGTTGGGGAGACACATCTGCTGGGTTCCCAGCCCAAGGTCCCCAACCCTGGCTGTCTGGCCTTGTCTGTCACCCCCCGTGCCCACTGGCAGGGACAGGAAGCTCCCCCCCCCACCCCGCTTTGGGCAGTTTGCCTTGGCACGGGCCTGATCTGTTTTCCTCCCCAGAGCAGCTGCTGTTCTGTCTGCTGGGCAGAGGGCTGGGTTCCTCCGAGGTAGGCAGGGGCCTCAACCCAGAGCCCCTCTCACACCCTCTCTCCAACTCAGGCTTATGTCTCTCCCTCCTCCCCCACCCCCACCCCAGGAAGAGGAGATCCCAGAACTGGAGATTGACGTGGATGAGCTCCTGGACATGGAGAGTGACGATGCCCGGGCTGCCAGGGTCAAGGTGAGGGGGCTGGGGGGCGATGGGTTGCCTGAGGCACTGCCCCGGGAAAGTGAGGCTGTGGAGCCAGGCCCTCAAGCCCCAGCTCCTGCCTCAACAGAATGGGGCCAATGCCTAGCTGTGAGGTTGTTGTGGCATCTCCTGTGCCTCAGGGTGGCCCCAGTCTCTTGGAAGTGGGTATAGGCGAGCTCCAGGCCCCCACTCCTGAGGACTCACTTATCCTTCCTCCCCCATCCTCTGCTAGGAGCTGCTGGTTGACTGTTACAAACCCACAGAGGTAAGAGATTTCCTGGGGGGCTGGCGGGGGTGGCAGGGTGAGGGGAGCCCGGCTCCTGTCATCTTGGGGTCTGGTCTCCTTAATGTTTACCCTCCCACCCCATCCAGGCCTTCATTTCTGGCCTGCTGGACAAGATCCGGGGCATGCAGAAGCTGAGCACACCCCAGAAGAAGTGACGGTCCCCGACCCAGGAGAACGGTGGCTCCCACAGGACAATCGCTGCCCCCCAACCTCGTAGCAACAGCAATACCGGGGGACCCTGCGGCCAGGCCTGGTGCCATGAGCAGGGCTCCTCGTGCCCCTGGCCCAGGGGTCTCTTCCCCTGCCCCCTCAGTTTTCCACTTTTGGGGTTTTTTATTGTTATTAAACTGATGGGACTTTTTGTGTTTTTATATTGACTCTGCGGCGCGGGCCCTTTAATAAAGCTAGGATACGCCTTTGGTGCAGCTAACAGGCTCGGCTGGTCTCTTTTAGGGGGGCACACTGCTCTTTGACTTCTGCCAGCTCAGCTTCTCCCCAGGTGACCACAGGCCTTCCTAAGGGCCACGTAGCCATGACGATAGCCCAGTGCTGGCTCCCAGACCAGGAGTTGAAAGTGGCTGGGGAGCTGTGGGGGTGGGGGGAGCAGTATTGCTGTTGGCAGGCAGGAACACTCCTTTCTCTCTGGGCAAGGGCCACCATGTCATTGAGCCTAGACCCCCAAGGCTCCACAGTCGGGAAAGGAGAAGGTGGTGGGGTATGCTGGAGCTGAGGTCTCTGAGTCTCTCAGGGCCCACAAACACACACAGGCTTACTCCTTGGGCTTTTAAGTGTTTTTTTGTTTGTTTTTGTTTTTTGTTTTTTTTTTGGAACAGTCTGGTCCCTGATGGGGGCCTCTCCCCCTGCCCCTCCCCAGTCTGGTTACAGCTCAGTTCGTCGCTCTATTTTGAGCAGCTCCACCTCGAACACCAGGGTTGCACCACCTGTAGGGGAGAAGGGGAGTCAAAATGCCAACCAGGGCCACAGGGAGGTGGGCTGGCTGCAGGTGATGGGAGGTATCAAAAGGTTTACTACCTGGAATCTTTGGGGGAGCTCCCCGCTCTCCATACCCTGTTGAAGATGCACAAAGAAACAGTCAGTGATGGCCAAGCTCCCTTCCAGTGTGGGCAAAGGGAGAGTGTTCCGCCCCTCTCAGCAAGAAGGCCAGAAATGGAGAAGGGTAATGGAGATGGGAAGGGGGTGCCAAAGGCCTGGCAAGGGCAGAGTGGGGCCACTACAGCTGAGTGCTTCAATGATCTTGCCCTGTACTCACTGCTAGACACAGCCAAACTTGGAGGAGGCATGTATTGTAATGAATGGATACGGTGAAGACCAATGAAAAGCTGAAGCAGCTTTCACCCTTCCCAGTCACACACCCCAAACTCGCTCTGCACCCTCAGGAGGGGCCTCTTACCTAGCTCGGATGGGATCACCAGCTTGCGCTTTTCCCCCTCACACATCCTGCAGGAAGACACATGCTCAGCCCATGGCAGCACCCAGGGCCCTTGTCTTGTATCCCTGGGGCTTGCCTCCCACAGCTTACCTCCTGGGCGGTGGCCATGCACGCCCCCACTCCCAAGCCCATTCCCCCATGACTCACCCCAGCAGCCCCTGGTCCCAGCCCTTGATGACCTGGCCTGTGCCAAGGGAGAAGACAAAGGGCTGGTTCTGGGGCAGGCTGCTGTCAAACTCTGTCCCATCTTCCAGCTTCCCCTGTGGAACCATGAGAAGGCCAGTGAGGAAGAGGGGACCACCCCTGACACCCCCTCCCTCAGCTGCTTTCCCCATCAAGCTGCCCCCCCACGCCCACCCACAGCCCTGGTGGTCAGTCCTTTTTGTTTTTTGAGATGGAGTCTCTGTTGCCATGGCTGGAGTGCAGCGGCGTGATCTCGCCTCCCTGCAGCCTCTGCCTCCCGGGTTCAAGCAATTCTTCCACCTCAGCCTCCCAAGTAGCTGGGATTATAGGCGCCCGCCACCACGCCTGGCTAATTTTGTATTTTTAGCAGAGAAAGTTTCATCATGAGGCCAAACTGGTCTCAAATTCCTGACCTCAGGTGATCCACCCGCCTCGGCCTCCCAAAGTGCTGGGATTACAGGGGTGAGCCACTGCGCCCAGCTGGTCATAGTTCTTTAAGAGGACAGAGCCTTGGGCAGCTCACAGTACACTGTCACTGCCTGCTGGTGCCCACCTGGGCAGTAGGCAAGGGCAAGGCAGAACCATGGAAACTGGCTTAGAGGCGAGAGGGGACTTGCCCAAGGTCACCTACCTGGCTTATGGAGAACCAGACTCCCAAGCACTCTCTGGTCCTCGGAAGCCCCACCCACTCCCAAAAGGCCCGCCCAACCCACTCACCGTGTAGTGCATGTGCAGGACATCCCCTTTGCGCGATTTGATGGGACAGTGGTCCACCCGCTTCTTGACCCCGATCTGCAGCTTCCTTTTGCCCTCGGCCCCCGTGGCCGTGGCCACGGCGCTCAGGCAGATGGACAGTACTGTCAGGACCCGGAACCAGCTCAGCCTCATGTCTCTGTGGGCACAGACCCCGACCGACCGACTGAACGTGGGGGAGGGCAGGGAGAGTATGGAACACGGGTAGGTAACAGGAGGGTTCCACCGCCACTGTATCTTCCTTGCCCCGGGGGATCCCCTTTGTCCCGGGTCACCGCCCTCTCCCCCGGGCTCCGGGGCCACACTTACCAGTCCAGTGAGAAGGGGGCTTGGCCGAGGACCCCAGCAGCGGGGGGAGGGGGTCAGGGGAGGCCACAGCAGCCAGGGACCCGCCCCTTTGCTCACCCCCATACCTTCCCTCCCTCCCAGTCCCCACCTCCGCTCTTCAGTTCCCGCCTGTCCCTTTACGCAAAGTCCAGACCCTATCTGGCTGCACTGCAGTTGCCCCGACTGGGCGGCCCCACTCACGCCACACCCAGCTGCCCCCGGTCCAGCACACCAACACCTCTGCGGCCGCTGCAGGGGGCCGGCCCCGAGGCACCCACACATCCCCACTGGGTGGCTCCGAGGAGCCCGGGTCCTCGGGAGATACCCCCCAGCCTGGCCCTGTGCTTCCGCCCGGGGCGCCGCCCCAACTCTGAGCCCTTGGGGGTCTCCGGGGCACCCAGACTGGCCCTGTGTCTGCTGGCCGCCGAGCCCGCTCCACCCACACCACCTCTCCCGGTGGAGTTCTCGGCCTACGGCGTCCCCAAGCCCGGCCACCACGGAGACCACCCCCGCGAGGACGCCCGGGGCCATTACTCGGGCCAGGCTCCTCACTTGGCTCCTTGGCACCGCCCTTCGGAGGACGCGGTACCGCCCCCGGGCCTGCAGCCCCGCCTTCGACAGAACTAGACCCCTTTTCCGGAGCCGTAGCCACGCCACTCACCGGCTGAAGCCCCGCCCCCAGCGCCTCCGCTCCGTCCCCCTCTGCTTCCGACCCCGAGGCTCCGCCTTTCACCTCCTCCAGCTCCTCCTTCAAGAGCCAGGCTCCGTCCCCCGACCCTCCTAGCTCCGCCCCCCGCCGCCGGGCTCCGCCTTCCACTGGCACCAGCTCGGAGGTCCCACCCGTCCCGGTTCCACGTCCCGCCCCGAGTCCCAGGACTCCGCCCCGTGCGGCGTGAGAACCCTCCCCCTGCGGCATCTCCGGACAGCTCCGGCCCCCACCCCCAATTTCCTCGTCACCTAGCTCTCGTTGACACTCGGAGCCCGGTCCGCTTCTGCCCGGCCTGATCCAGCCTGCCCTCTTGCACCCCGGCTCCCCCCAGCCCGGGCTGTGGCCCCCGCTCACCTCCTCGCCGCGCCCCCGGAGTCAACCCCGGTGGTGCTGCCGCCTCTGCGCAGGCGCGTCCTCGTCGCTACCAGGCCGGGCCACGCCGCCCTCCCTTATTGGACCGTGCGAAACCCGCGGCCACACGCCCGCTGGCACGGGTCTTTCCCGAGCCCCGCCCCCGCGACGCCGCTGCCCTGCGTCACTTCCGGCGGAGCGGTAGTCTGTAAGGTTAGGTGAAAGTGACTTCCGAAAAGGCCGGAGACACTTCCGGCCGAGGTGATAGTAAGGTCAGGCGGGCGTGGGTTCCCGGAGGGGGTCTTGAGGCGCCATTTCAAGTCGCCCCCAGCCTCTCCCACAGCACTCCTGTTTTCCCGGGCCTCATCATGGCCCACGGCCCTCAGTCGCTGTGGAGCCTGGGCTTCACAGTGACACTCACGTTTGAACTCCCGGTCGGCTGTGTGCTTGGTAGAATTTGTCATCCAATACAGGCGTGTAACACGGGCTTGATGACACCCACCCCACAGGGCCCCTGCAGGACCGAGATGATGTCCAATGACAAGCCCTGGCTTCCAGCCAATGCTCCTGCCCACATCTCTCTCCCAGGAGCCAGGCTTACCTCTACCTGTGCACCTGGGCTGTGACTCATGACTGGAATGATCTGGCTGGGCCTGTTCCCCCACCAGACTTATTTTCAGGCGCCCCAGCAGCCACCAAACATCTGTCAACTGAAGTAATGAACCTGCAGTTGAGAGGCAGCTAAACCTAGGTTGAAGGTTAGGGAGACAGCTGAGTTGAGGTCAAATCCCCCCGGCCAGTTAGCCTTTCTGAGCCTATTTCCTCAATTGTAAAAGGAAGACAATCATGATGCTGACCTCAGAATCGAGCGAGGAGAAAGTGAGGAGGTGCATGTGAAGCATTGTGCGTGACTGGTGGGGCTAACTGGGCTCTGGAGGCGGTAGCTCTGGGGCCCTAACCCCTTTCTGCCTCATGCTAATTGACCTATGGCATGTCCAGTGACATCATGACTGAGAAAATGATTTGAAAGTAGTAATCGCTGTCAGGAATTGTCTCCTGGTTCAACCCACTCCTGCCTTAGGCCCACTAAGATCATACCCACATGCTCTGACCCAACACCTCAGAGAAAGCCTCCATTAGGGTGGCTGCCCCTCCCAGTGGCTGCCCAATTGAGTTAACTCTGCCCCTGAATGTCCTGCTTCAGCAGGCAAAGCAGTGGTGCCCAAGGTTGGCCTTTCATCCACCCCAAACCACTCAGCCCTGGGCACTGGAGGCTGCAGGGAGAAGGGTAGGGGCTGGGCTTGGGCTAGGATAGACAAGTCAGGAGAATCTCAGGCAGCAACTGATGATGAAGGAAGCTGCAGGATGCAAGGGAGGCGAGGGTGGAGAAAACTGTGTGGGTTGGGCGGGCGCGGTGGCTCACGCCTCTAATCTCAGCACTTTGGGAGGCTGAGGCAGGTGGTTCACCCAAGGTCAGGAGTTCGAGACCAGCCTGGCCAACATGGTGAAACCCGTCTCTACTAAAAATGCAAAAATTAGCTGGGCATGGTGGTGGGCACCTGTAATCCTAGCTACTTGGGAGACTGAGGCAGGAGAATCGCTTGAACCCAGGAGATGGAGGTTGCAGTGAGTGGAGATTGTGCCATTGCACTCCAGCCTGGGTGACAGAGTGAGACTCTGTCCAAAAACAAAAAAAAAAACAAAAAACTGTGGGTTGGGTTGAGGGGAGCCTGCCGCCCAAACCAGGCCCACCAGCCCCAGACTTGCGGTGCTTCCCTTTCAGGGAGGTGGGAGTGAAGTTAAGACAGGGCAGGTGCTGAGGCTTTAGATTCAAGCTGCAGGGAACAAAAAGCAGCAGATGCTGAAAGCGCTGCCTGGCAGGAAGAACAAGTGTTCTTTTCTATTACGTAAAGATAGTCTCAAACTTCTCTGGGGCCCGAGGACGCCAACCACAGCAATCTTCTGTTCCCTCTATGTGCACATGTGGAAACTGCTGCTCAGAGAGGCAGGGGTAGTGACAAGCAAGGTCACTCAGTAGATCTGGGTCCTACCCCAAGCTCTCTGGCCACAGAAGGCTGTCTCCTTCTAGAAAAGAACCCTGGTGAAGAGCAGGAGGGCAGGCAGTCTGTATTGACTGGGCTATCCCTGACTCCCATGCGTGGCAATAACTTGAAAGTGATGAATACATAATTCTGGCCCTGCCTGGGATCTGCTGTGGGGCCTTAGTCCTCATTTCCTCCATCTGCACAATGAGGGAGCAAGACAAGCTCTGGATTTAGTGATGCAGACATTCATGCCCAAACCAGCCAGCCTGGACAGTGACAAACAGTGACACAGGCAGGGACAGCTCCTTCCATCTCTTTTATCAGGGTTGGGGGTCACAGTTCTTGTACCAAAGCCCAAATCCCATTATGCAGAGGTTTGGGTCTTCTTAGTGAGGGGAGGAAGAGCCAGTTGTAAGATGCTTACTTGCACAGAGTGGTTAGAAACTGAGACAGTACTCCATTCTCCCCTGAGCTGGTATGTGACCCCTCTTGCTGCCTCCCAGTCTCCTCTTCCAACTCTGTCCTGTTTGATGATGGCCTCAGGGAGACAAGGGATGGCAGAAGAGCCCTCTGAGAGGCCCAGGTCCTAGAGCAGCTTCTGCCTGGGCTGAGGTCTTGGGGGCTTGGCTGTTTTTTACCAGGCTCCTCTTTGTTCCCCCACTGGGATATAGCCTCTGAGGCAAGTCACCCTGCTGAGTCTGAAAAGCCATGTGTCACCTTCGCAGCTTCCGGCACCTGAGGAGGGAGGAAGTGATCTGTTCATGCTGGCTGGAGCGCAGCCCCAGCCCTGGACTCATGTGTGCCTCGGGCCCACTAAGATCACAACCTGAGCATCCTGCCACACCACTCGGCCCTGGGCACTGGAGGCTGCAGGGCGAAGGATGAACCTTTTGCAAAGGTCATCCCCTCCTGACACTCCTCGGGAGCCCCCACTGGCCCTGCCCATATGATTTCACCCCATGGCCTCACTGCGGGACACGGATGGTGAGAAACACATCAGGTAAGGGTGGACAAGGGTTCCACTATGTCCCCTGGCCTCTTGAAGCCCGTAGGTAAGGGCAGATGTCTACCACAGGGGCTTCTGGGAAGGCCCGAACTGCAAGCTGGAAAAGCTGTGTCCTACATTTCTACTCCGGGCAGATGTCACCTCCTCCAAGAGATCTCTGACCTCTGAAAGACGAGGCCAGGTACCCCTCACCACAGCCCTTGACATCCTCTGCTGGCATTGTCCCTCCTGTATCTGACTCCTGAGTTAGAATGTTGGACTTGCTTATACAGCTCCAGGTGCCAGCAGCTGTTTGGTAAATATTTGTTCAACACATTCAACAGTTTCCCCTTCCCTGGCCCTCCTCCTACTGGCAGGCTCACCCTGGACCTGCTCCAGGACAGGGCCTTGGTGCCTTCCCAAACAAACACCACCCCACAGACGCCTCACCTGCAGGTGTCTGGGTTGAGCTCTAAGCCCCGCCCTTGGCAACGGAGGAAGCTGCGGCGTCGGCAGCGGCAGCGGCAGGTCCGGGGGTCAGGGCGCTGGTGGTGCTGGGTGCAGCGTGGGCAGAGGGGCCTGGGGCTGGAGTGGGATGGGTGATGTCAGCTGGGGAGGGTGCTCCGGGGGCAGAGTCCCAGCCCGGAACAGAACGGGGCTGGGGACGGTGGTGGGGAGTGGCAGCCCTAGGGAGGAGAAGCGACATGTCTGGGGTGGGAAGGAAGAGTCTTCCCTAGAGCTGGGGTCGGGGCAGAGAACACAGGCTTGGGGAGCAGAGGAAAAGGGAAAGTGGGGGACGGGTGGGAGGAGAAAGAGGAGCAACAGCTTCTGGACTCACTTGTACTCCCCATACCCCTACTCAGCTGGAGTCCAAAAGACTCACCTGTCTGGCTTCACAGCACTGTCCTTTTTTTTAGGTCTGAAAAGTAAGATAGACAGACACAGACAAACAAGAGGAAGATCAGGAAATCCCAGCATCCTACTCTCTCTCTCTCTCTCTCTCTCTCTCTCTCTCTCTCTTTGAGACTGTGTTTCCCTCTTCTTGCCCAGGCTGGAGTGCAGTGGCGTGGTCTCGGCTCACTGCAACCTCCGCCTCCCAGGTTCAAGCTATTCTCTTGTCTCAGCCTCCCAAGTAGCTGGGATTACAGGCACCTGCCACCATGCGCGGCTAATTTTTGTATTTTTTTTTAGTAGAGATGGGGTTTCACCATGTTGGCCAGGCTGGTCTCAAACGCCTTACCTCAGGTGATCTGCCTGCCTGGGCCTCCCAAAGTGCTGGGATTATAGGTGTGAGCCACTACCCCCGGCCCAAGCATCCTACTTTGTTGCCCCAGATCCAAGGCCTACCCTTGGCTCTACTCTTTTTTTTTTTTTTTTTTTTTTTTTTTTGTGGCAGAGTCTTGCTCTGTCGCCCAGGCTGGAATGCAGTGGCACGATCTTGGCTCACTGCAAGCTACGCCTCCCAGGTTCATGCCATTCTCCTGCCTCAGCCTCCGGAGTAGCTGGGACTACAGGTGCCCGCCACCACGCCCGGCTAATTTTTTGTATTTTTTTAGTAGAGACAGGTTTTTACCATGTTAGCCAGGATGGTCTCGATCTCCTGACCTCATGATCCGCCCGCCTCGGCCTCCCAAAGTGCTGGGATTACAGGCGTGAGCTACCACGCCCGGCCCCTTGGTTCTACTCTTAGGAACCTGGTCCCCAGTTCTGTGGACCACCATACCCAGCACCCCCCAAGCCTGGCCTCTGCGAGCTCAGAAGTTGGGCCTGGCTGGCACCTGCATTCACACTGGCTGTGTTCTTCCAGGGACATCTCCCCCAGCTGACTGCTCGGGTACCGGATCATGAGGATCTGTGCTCAGGAGAAGAACAGGGGGGACAGTGAGGGAGAGAGAGAAAGGGGATGCTCTAAGACTGAAGGGAGAAAAGCTCACCCAACAGCCGGGAGGCTGGCCACCAGCCCTCCCCCCAACCCTGTCTCCTGTGCATCAGTCTCCAGGCTGCCCCAGCCCCAGAGCCAGCCAGCATCCACCCTGCCCGCTGCCCCACCTGCCCAGTACCTGCATCCCCTGCCCGTTGCCCCACCTGCCCAGTACCTGCATCCGGACTTGGTGCTGCCCAGTGGGCACACACTCCAGGCCATCGTCAGGGCAGCAGCCACCACAGCGCTGCACAGTCACGCAGCTGGGCACCAGCTGTTTGGCCACGGTGCCCATGAGCTCCACAGTCAAGGGCACCACCACCTCCCGGGGCTGGCAGGTAGCGCGAGTATACACATCTATCCATGACACCACTGGGAGCAGACCGGTAGGGGTTAAGTCCTCACTGGTTTTCCTGCAGCTGCTCCCAGCATCTGTCCTCCCCAGTCCCCAAGTCACAGCCACCCTCCACTAGCCCTCCCCACTCTGCCCTCACAACCTGTCTTCCCCTGCCCTGTTTATCCAGATCCCAGTAACCCCACTGCCTCAATTTCCTCCTCTGTGAAATGGGTAGAATAATAGTTTGAATCTTCTAGGGGAGTTACACAAGATGATGGACACCTGGAATCAGGGCCCATGACAAACCCTCTTAGTGCTGGCTAGTGCCGAGTTTTTGTAAGTATTACCTTTCCTCTGGTGGCCAGGGGCATCAGGCTGGGAGACAGGGGCCTGTGGGAGAGAAAAGACCTGTACCCAAGGTACACTTTAGGAGGGTGTGGCCCTGTCACCGTCCCTGGGGCTTTGCCCTTGCATCAGTAGGCTTCACCACCTCTCTGACATCTTTCCAGATTGCTCTGTTCCTGCGGCCACTGCTCTAGCTTTACCTGTCCTCTCCTGGCCACCCGGGACCTGCCCTGGCCCAAAACGCAACAGGTGCTCTGGTGGCCGCGCCAAATCTCCAGGCCGCGGAGCCGAGCATGTTTGGGGGCTGCATGCAGATCAGGAGCGCGCACAGTGCCCACCGAAGCAGGTCCTGCAGGCACCGAGGGAGCCCCGCCCCCGGCGGTGCCCAGGGGACGGGGTGGGGCGGAGGAGTGGCCCCAGACTGGGGCTGGCGGGCCAGCGGGGAGGGGCACCTCCCAGGGGATGCACGCGCCGGGCCCCCGAGACGCCCGCGTCCAAGGCCGGACCCCGCAGATCCCCTCGGCCGAGGCCGCGGGTCGCCTCCTCACTTCCGCCAACCTTGAGAGAGGGCACGGCGGGCGGGCGGGCGCGCTGTCGGGCCGCACGTACCTGGGCGGGGGCCAGCTGCAGGAGTGCGGCGAGCAGCAGGCGGCGGAGCAGAGGGCTCATGGTGCCCGCCGGGGCCGCCCGCCGGGGGCGCCCGCATCGCCCTAGCCCGGCGGCGCGGGGGGCGGCGACAGCCAGAGCCCCATGGCGCGGGCCCGGGCGCGGCGGGCGGGGGCCGGGCGCGGGGGGCGACTCCTCCGCGGCCCCCTCCCGAGCCCTGGGTGCAGGCAGCGCAGCGCAGCGCAGCGGAGGCGGCCGGAGGAGCCGGGCGGGCGGGCGGCCGGTGGCGGCGGGCAGCGGCGGCGGGGACGGCGGGGGCGGCGGGGGGCTGGGCCCGGGCTGGCGGGCAGGCGGCTCATGTGACCCAGACACGCGCTCCCCACCGGCCCGTGGGGCGGGGGCGGGGCGGCGGGGTGGGGGGGCGAGGCCGTCGGCGGGGCCCGCCTCCTCCACACACCCCCTCCCGCCTCCCGCCGCGGCAGGGGAAAGGGGACGCACCGCCCAGGAGGCTGGGCTCCCCAGTCGCCGCCGCCACTACCCGGAGGGCGGGGCGCTGCCCCTTGGCGAGGCCGGGGCCGGGGGCGTCGGGCCTTAAGGAGGGAGCCGGACACGAGCTCTGCGAATCACTTTATTGCGCGCGTTTCGGGGAGCGGGCCGTCCAGGGAAGGAAGCAAAGCGGGAACGCACTGCAGGCCCCATCCAGGTGAGCCCCTCAGGGGCCGGCGCCCCGGGGCACGATCTCGGGGCCTTGGGTTGGCTCGGATGGTGGCGGCTGCCGCTGCCCTAGCCGTTGTCGCTCCTGCTGAAGGATGCCTCTGTTGGCCCTGGAGGAGAGGGCACCTGGGTGGTTGGGATAGGGATCCCGAAGTGTGGTTCCTGGACAGGGAGCAGGGAGCAGAATAGAGCAGGGACAGACCTGGCCCGTGCCCGGGCTTCGTTGTAGAAGGCTGTGATGATCCGATCCTTTTCATCCATGAAGTTAAGGTGCATCTGCTTCACCTTCCTGCAATGGGTCACAATTAACCCTGGGAATCCAATTCCTGCTGTCCCTGAAGTCCTGCCCCCTTCCACCCCACTCTAGGGGCCTCACAGCTTTTTACCCTTACACAGGGTTAGGAACCTCAGTCTAACCCTTCCTGTGATAGATAGGGAGGGCTCAGAGTGGCCCTGGCTTGTCTAGGGTCCAATGGCATCCGAAGTCCCTGGTCACTTTGAGGTGTGACAGCAGCTGTGGACATGGGGGTGCTCCTCCCAGAAGACTAGAAAGGGTATGCGTCTAACTCCATCACTGAACTAGGCAGGCTGCTAGCAGTGGGCACTGGCCTTTAGGTATCTGCTATAGAAAATCGGCTTTGTGGCCAGGCGCGGTAGCTCTCACCTGTAATCCCAGTACTTTGGGAGGCTGAGGCGGGTGGATCACCTGAGGTCAGGAGTTTGAGACCAGCCTGGCCAATATGGTGAAACCCCATCTCTACTAAAAATACAAAACAACTAGCCGGGTGTGGTGGTGGACGCCTGTAGTCCCAGCTACTCGGGAGGCTGAGACAGAAGAATTGCTTGAACCTGGGAGGCAGAGGTGGGGTTGCAGTGAGCCGAGATTGCGCCACTGCACTGCAGCCTGGGCAACAGAGTGAGACTCCATCTCAAAGAAAAAAAAAAGAAAAAAAGAGAATAAAGAGAATCAGCTCCGTGGCACGCGTGAGAGTGGCAGGGAGATGCCTACTGCCAAATGAATGAGCTGTGCTGCATTTGCTGCTTGTGCTTGATTTTGTTTGGCTCAATCCCTTCCTGGCAGCCAGCATGAAAGATTTACATTCGAAATATGAAAAACTGTAAATGACAACGTTAGCTCTTGGTGCAGCGCTGCCTTTAATAAGTAAGGAGAGGCTCCAGAGACCAACTTCAAGCAGCTCTTAGCTTGAGAGACACAAGAGTACGGGCCACGAGGTGCTGTGGAGGACTGGCTGACCACACTGGAATTCACCCACCCTCCTGCCCTCTGCCCATCACCCCGGGGAGAACAGGCATCACCTGAAGGCAATGTAGTGCAGGCCCATGCCCGCCAGCATGAGGAGGAGGCAGTACCCCAGCACTTGTTTGTTTTGTTTGTGTTGCTGCTGCCTCAACTGGGGCCCCTGTGGCCTCACGCTGTGAAACTGGGACCAGTACTGTGCGTTGGGGGGTGTCCAGGAGCTGCTGGGAGGCAGAGGAAGGGACATTGTGGAAATGAGACTACCCAAGAGACCTGGGGGTGGGGCAAGCTGAGGGCAGGATTACTGTACCTGTGTGTTTGGTGGGCAGACTTGTCATGGACTGTGGTTCGTGGAGACTTTGGGGGACTACCTGAGCGGAGCTGGTCATCATAGCTGCGGCGGCTCTGCTCACGGCTGAGCACACGGTATGCCTCGCTCAGCTCCACAAAGCGGCTGTGCAGGCTTGGGTTCCCAGGGTCCCGGTCTGGGTGCAGCTGGGGTGGGGCAGGACTCCCCTTATCTCCCTTTGCCTGTCCCTCCCCAGGACCCATGCTGATGACATCCACCCACCAGGGCTCCAGTCATACCCAGAGGCCCTGCCTGGTCAGTGACCCTCACTCAGGCCTGCCCACTCCTCAGAAGGCCAGAGAGCATGGACTCCTGCTTCCTCCTGTGTTCAAGCCCTCCCCACCTGCCAGCCCCCTGCATTCACCATATGCCCTGGTCCAGGTTTCTCAAGAGCAGGCAGGCAGGTCAAGAAAACCAAGCCCAGCCCATCAGACAGGACCCCTGGCTCCTGCCCACAGCCTTTCCCCTACCATTGAGCACCTGCCACTCCCTATGAGGGCTGAAAAAATGTGGCACCCGCCAGAGATGCTGGTCTACTCCTGGGAATTTGAAGCACACCCCCACTGGCTCAAAGTTCCTGCTCCCCCTCCCCACCTCAGGGGTACGGGTACCTCTTTGGACTTGGAGAAGAAAGCTCGTTTAACTTCCTCAGTGCTGGCACCAGGATGCACCCCCAACAGTTCATAATAAGTACTGGGTCTGGACCTGTGGACAGAGTCCCAAACCTTGCAGGGGCTGAAGGAACCCAGAAGCTAGCTCTGCCCTGCCTTCTGGGCCACACCCTTCAACTCAGCCACCAGGAGCTGACAGGGCTGAAACAGGTCCCAGGACAGATCTGTCTCCAGATCAGCACCCCCTTTGGAGTGTTTCAGGCATAGTGCAGGTCAGGATTTCTCAAAGTGGAGTCCAAAAACTTGTTGGAAAAAACTGATTCCTGGACAGGCGCGGTGGCTCACGCCTGTAATCCAGCATTTTGGGAGGCCGAGGAGGGCGGATCACCTGAGGTCGGGAGTTCAAGACCAGCCTGACTAACATGGAGAAACCCTGTCTCTCCTAAAAATACAAAATTAGCCGGGCGTGGTGGTGCATGCCCGTAATCCCAGCTACTCGGGAGGCTGAGGCAGGAGAATCGCTTGAACCCGGGAGGCGGAGGTTGTGGTGAGCCGAGATTGCTCCATTGCACTCCAGCCTGGGCAACGAGCGAAACTCCATCTCAAAAAAAAAAAAAAAAAAGGAAAAAGAGAAAGAAACTGATTCCTGACCCCCACCCAATTGATTCCTCCAGTTCAGAATCTCCAGAGCAGAGCCCAGGAATCTGGATTTTGTACCCGACACCTCCCCATCTCCCACCCCCCACAGAGGGTTATGCACAGTGATACAGCGATGCTTGGAAACCACTAGAGCTGTGGTAAGAGCGTTGGGTTTGACCTGGACTCAAACTTCCTCCTCTGCCGCTTAAATCGGTGTATGACCTTGGGGGTCTTCTCTATCTCTGATCCTCAGCAGGGAAGGCGAGGGTTACCTGAGACAAACCTGGGAGCCTCCTGACACGGAGTAGAGACCACAACTAACTCAGCACGTAGGGCAAACAGAAACCCATTGAACAACCGGGCCGGCCCCCCGCGCCCAACTCACCGCTGCCCGGCGGCCGCTCCGAGGAGCCGGGAGGGAGGGTTGCGGGGCCACAGCCGGCACAGGCGCAGGGGCAGTAAGGGCGGCATGGCGGCGGGCGGGCAGCTGGGAAAGGAGGCTACCAAGAGCGCATTGGACCAGGATGGGGCTAGACTTCAAGCACCCGGGGGCAGAGGGAAGGGGCCTGGCCCGTTGTTCTGCAAAGGAAGACTGAAGCAGGCCCGGAGAGGGGGCGGTTCTTGCCCAGGACCAGACCCGCGTGTCCTTGGACCTGCCCCTTCCTCTGACCCGGGCATCCGCAGCCCTTCCCAGCGCTGGCTTCGGGGTCTGGCCACCCAGCCAGGGACCCCAAGACCCCGTTCCCACCCAGGGAACTTGGGGACGGGAGAAGGAGGGGCCACAACCAGGCCCCGCCCCCGCTGCTCACAGACCCGCGGCCGTCGCCATTTCCTGCGTCTATTCAGGCCCCGCCCTCACATTCTCATTGGCGTGGATGCCAAGACCACGTCCACCTGTCAGGAAAAAAAAAAAAATCGGTGGAGACCCCGCCCCTACATGTCTATTGGCCTTTGGTGCCTCCGGTCCCCCAGCCTGCGGACTCGCTGGACAGGCGCGGGCGCCCACCTGGGGAGCGGGCGGGACAGAGCCCGCTCTCTGCGGCTTTGTGACGTTTTCGGCCCGGCCACCGTGTCTCCGTTCCGCTGTTGCTCCCCTCTGCAGCGAGGTATATCTTACGGAGCTGCTTCCGCCCCGGAGCCTCTCTGGAGCCAGCAAAGAAAGGGAGGCACAGTTCTTATCCCCTGCTTGCAGAGGGGGACACAGGCTGGGCGGGTTTTTTTTTTTTTTTTTCCCAAGTCACTTGTCCTGCCTTACACACTCAGGGCCCATTGCTCCTCTCTGTTACAGAAATAGCAGATGCCAACGGAATCCAAGAATAAAGTCGTTTATTATTTTCAGAGCGGCGGGAGTAGGGCTGGGGACCCTAGGGCCGCTCCAGTGGGACTTCCCTGAACCCGGTTGTAGAGGATGATGGCGCCTTTGGCCGAGGGGCAGAGTTCAGCCCACATCTCCGTCTCGAGCAATCTCTGCACGTTCTGTGGGGAGACAACGAGACCCAGGCATTCAAGCTTGCCACTTCTCCTGCCAGGGCTGTGCCCAGAATTCCTGAGCCTCAGAGACCTCTGCACTGTCCTTAGGGAGGCATGTTAAGGGGCTGAACATGTCCCTGGACCTTTCCCTTGCACTGAGGGCAAATCTTGTGACTCTGGAGGGAATTGTGACCCAGCCAACACCTCCCCTACAAGATATGCATTGCCAGGCCTCTGCAGGCCCCAGCCCTGGCCTCCAAGCAAGATGGTTTGTCACTCTGCACCTGTGTCTCCACAAAGAAGATTCCTGTAGACTCGTGGGCCTCGGGTCCCCCACTCAGGTAGTGCTTCCTCACCTGCTCAGAAGTCAGGCTGCACCTGGACAAGAACACAAGGGTGGCTTAGTGGGTGACCAGCCCCTGCGGGGTACCTGTGGAGCCACAGCTGCCTCAGCCCACTCCTCACCACCCACCTTCCCAAGACCCAGGATCATGTACCCGAGCCTACTCACTGGACATAGAACTCGGCACTGGCTCGGCCAGCACTGGTCTCATTTCGGGCGATGCCCAACAGCAGGGGCTGGCTCAGGGTGAGCAGCGGCAGGTTCACCTGCGGTGGAGGGTGGGGTGGGGGGAGGTCCCACCTATCAATGCCACTGCCCACATCCCTGCCCGTCTCAATGAAAAACCGCCTGTTACCTGTGTACAGCATTTTATAGCTTGTAGATCAAGGACCCAGCATTACAGAATGTCAGATGATGGGCATGTTTGTTTTACAGGTACACCAAAACCAGAGAGATTGAACACGTTGCCCAAGGTCACCCAAGAGAAGTCAATTTAGTGACTGGGACTCCCACTTACTCCTTTTTCTTTTTTTCTTTTTTTGAGATGGAGTCTCGCTCTGTCGCCCAGGCTGGAGTACAGTGGCACGATCTCAGCTCACTGCAACCTCTGCCTCCCAGGTTAAAGTGATTCTCCTGCCTCAGCCTCCTGAGTAGCTGGGATTACAGGTGCACGCCACAACGCCTGGCTAATTTTTTGTATTTTTAGTAGAGATGGGGTTTCTCCATGTTGGCCAGGCTGGTCTCGAACTCCTGACCTCAGGTGATCCGCTGGCCTTGGCCTCCCAAAGTGCTGGGATTACAGGTGTGAGCCACCACACCCTGCCACACTTACTCCTTTTTCTTTTTTTTGAGACGGAGTCTCGCTTTGTCGCCCAGGCTGAAGTGCAGTGGCGCGATTTCGGCTCACTGCAACCTCCGCCTCCCGGGTTCACGCCATTCTCCTGCCTCAGCCTCCTGAGTAGCTGGGACTACAGGTGCCCGCCACCACGCCCGGCT
Source organism: Homo sapiens (assembly GCF_000001405.40). Lineage (NCBI taxonomy): Eukaryota > Metazoa > Chordata > Mammalia > Primates > Hominidae > Homo > Homo sapiens. The sequence continues at coordinate 64,228,516 of NC_000011.10, read as the reverse complement.
AACTTTTGGTATTTTTAGTAAAGTCAGGGTTTCACCGTGTTAGCCAGGATGGTCTTGATCTCCTGACCTTGTGATCTGCCCACCTCAGCCTCCCAAAGTGCTGGGATTACAGGCATGAGCCACGGCGCCCGGCCACTTACTCCTTTTTCAACAGACTTGGGGAGTAGGCAAGATATTTATCATTGTTTCCATTGAAAAGAAGAATCCTTGGCGGGGCAAGGCATGAGAATCACTTGAACCCAGGAGGCGAAGGTTGCAGTGAGCCGATATGCCACCACTGCACTAGCCTGGGCAACAGAGCAAGACTCTGTCTCAAAAAGAAAAAAAAAAAAAAGAAGAAGAATCCGGCCTGGTGCAGTGGCTCACACCTGTAATCCCAGCACTTTTGGAGGCTGAGGCAGGCAGATCACGAGGTCAGGAGATCAAGACCATCCTGGCTAACAAGGTGAAACCCCATCTCTACTAAAAATACAAAAAAAATTAGCCAGGCATGGTGGCGGATGCCTGTAGTCCCAGCTACTCAGGAGGCTGAGGTAGGAGAATGGCGTGAACCCGGGAGGTGGAGCTTGCAGTGAGCAGAGATCGTGCCACTGCATTCCAGCCTGGGCAACAGAGCGAGACTCTGTCTAAAAAAAAAAAAAGAAAGAAAAAAGAAAAGAAGAAGAATCCAAGGCAGAGGGTACTGAGGGCTAGAATTCCACTCCAAGTATGTATAGCTGCAAAGCCAACTTCTTCCCTCATTGCTGGCCAGATGCCTGCAGGCCTCCTGCCAGCCCAGACCTGTAGAATTCTGGCAAGTCCTACCCCCTCCCTTCATGTCTACCACCCTGTCCAGGTCAACCTCACTCACCTCATCACAGATCTCCTGAAGGACACTGGAAAAGAGTTCATGTACCACCAGCTGCCCAGCGAGGTCCTGGTGCTGGGGGCTGCCACCAGGGCACAGGGCCTGTGAGAGGTCAGGCTCAGCCCCTGCTCCCCACCTCTTCCCCCTGCCCCATCTCAGGACCAGCAAGCCTATACCTGCTGGCCTTGAGGGTCTGATGTGGCACAGTGTAAGAGAGTTAGTGATCCTGAGTCTGGTGTCCTTTCCCTGACAGACAACCAGAGGTCCAGCTTCAAAGGAGATACACAGGGGGCAGGGGTGGAGTAGGGCATCTTCTTCCTGTGCCCAATCTTTCCTCCCGTGTTTTCTAGTTTCTCACAGGACTGGGGCAGGGGTCAGTGGGGAGGCAGGTGGACTGCCCTGAGCAAACTTCCAGAGAAATACCAGGCCAATTTTCCCTTTAAGGAATGAGGAAACCAAAGCTGGGAGGATTGGGAGGGTGGAGAGCTGCAGCTCCCTTGAGCTGTCTGGGTCTTTGTGCCCAGCCTGGAATCTCACCTGAGGCTCAGGGTGCCCACCAGGTACGTCCACCAGCCCAGGGGCCTCAGCCACCTGCCGGGAGCGGCGCAGGAAGACAAGGAAGTCATCGGCTGTGGCTAGTGCAGCGCCCACCCCCAGTGGGTCCGCCAGATAGGCCTGCGTGTCACCCCAGTCGGTGGCACCCTGCTGTCGCAGCCAGGCAGCTGAGCTGGACCAGTTGGTGCCCAGGAAGTCTCGGTAGGAAGTAAGGCCCAGGCGCAGGAGCAGCTGTGGCCCCCGAGAGCCAATAGGCGCCAGGGTGGCTGAGTGCAGGCGGAACTTGGGGGCGTCGAAGAGCCAGGGTTGGGCCTTTAGCCGGGTCTCCCAGATGGCAGTGATGGCCTCGTCCCCACCTGGCAGTGGGCGACGGTCATGGGCGGGGCTCAGCTCGGCCTGTATCTGCTCCTGGGGCAGGCCCCCGCCAGGGCACTGCAGCAGCAAGGTCACCTCAGGATCCATGGTCTGAACGGGGCAGCTCTGGGGGAGGATACGGCCAGGCCTGTCATCCAGGGGGGCCACTACCACTCCTGGGCTGCGCAGCTAGCCCCCTCTGTCGCAGACCTCCTGAGGGTATCCGCAGCGCTTCTCCACCCCCCTGACCACTCCTTGGGCAGTAAAACGTGCCATCTTCCCCGCAGGAGCCCCGAGTCCCGCAGGGTATCCAGGACGCCCGGGCATCCCTACCATCCAGAGGTCTTGGGTTCAGGCGCCCCAAATGCCCATGTCCCCCAAACCCAGGGGTCTGCCTCCGACCCGGGGCGCGCGGGGACCCCTTTCCAGGGCCCGGAAGCTCCAGCCTCCAGCGGGCGCTCACCAGCCGCCGGGTCCCTCAGGCTCCGCCCCTTCCCCGAAGCGGAAGTGCCCGCCCCCTTTCCACGCGGCTTTTCATTGGCGGGTCCGCCGCGGTCGAGGATCCTGGAGGTTTGTCCCCGCCGCCCCGACGCTTCCGCCCGGTCCGTCGGCACGTCGGCCCTGCCTCCCGGACCACCCTGCGGGGCGCACCAGCGATCTGGGGTGCGGGGCTCGGCCTCCCTGCGCTCCTGGCTGACCGTGTGACCTTGGGCAAGTCTGGCCTGCTGGGCCTTAGTTTCCCTCTCTGCAGCAGGGACTTGGGGGTGGTGAACTTAATGAGCCGTATACTCCCACCCAGCGCTCACTTCCTGAGGCTTTGTGACTTTCTGGGAGGGATGGGGACGTGGAAGGGGCCTTAAAGCAGTCCCCCCTCGTCACTGCCCCCCACAGGTCTTAACCATGAACTTCTCTGGAGGAGGGAGGCAGGAAGCAGCAGGGTCCAGGGGTAGAAGGGCTCCCAGACCCCGAGAACAGGTGCGCGCCTCCTCCCCACCCCCTCCCACCAGTCCAGGCTCCCTGGGAGTTGCTGGGGGGCGGAGCTGAAGGGTCCTACTATTCCTGGAGACCACTGGCACTCCTTTCTCTCTGGGCTCTCTCTGCAGTGGGTCATTGAGGGTTCAGGATGGGCAGTAGGGCAGGGTCACCATGGAGACTAGGGGCCACCGCTGGGTTCTTTCAGGACCGAGACGTGCAGCTGTCCAAGGCTCTGTCCTATGCCCTGCGCCATGGGGCCTTGAAGCTGGGGCTTCCCATGGGAGCTGGTAAGTAGGGGCCTTGGAGGCTGGGGCTTGAGCCCAGAGAGAAACGTGAGCCTGTCTGCGACTCCTCCCTGATGGCTGCCTCCACCGCTCCCTGAGGAAGGCACAGAGTGCACTTCCTCCCCATGCACAGAGGAGAGCAAGGCCTAGAGCCCCTGTCATGTCCACAGCAGACTGAGGAGAGTTCTTGTCTGGGCCAGGCCTGGTGACCGCCCCCTCCAGCCAAGCAGCCAGATCAGCACTTACCCCGAGGGCGAGCCCTGGAGGATACGGTGCAGCTGGTGGTGTGAGTGTGCACTCCGGGCCAGCGCTATGCTGGGCACTCACCTCCCTGCCCCTCCGTGAGGCAGATCCTCTTTTTATGTAAGTTGAAAAAACTGCGGCCCAGAAAGGGGAGACTTTCTAAAGGTCCCACAGAGGATGCCCAAGCGATCTCCAAGCCCAGACTTTGTTTCGGTTGCCTGTGGCTCCCTGTTAACCCTGGCCCAGTCCAGAGCAAGGTTAGCTCCTGAGCACCCTGCCTGCCCACAGATGGCTTCGTGCCCCTGGGCACCCTCCTGCAGTTGCCCCAGTTCCGCGGCTTCTCTGCTGAAGATGTGCAGCGCGTGGTGGACACCAATAGGAAGCAGCGGTTCGCCCTGCAGCTGGGGGATCCCAGCACTGGCCTTCTCATCCGGGCCAACCAGGGCCATTCCCTGCAGGTCGGGGTGAGGGGACAAGTGCGAGACGAGATGGGAGGGACCCCTGCCTGCGAAGGGGGTCTCACTGCTACCCGTTCAACCAGGTACCTAAGTTGGAGCTGATGCCCCTGGAGACACCGCAGGCCCTGCCCCCGATGCTAGTCCATGGTACATTCTGGAAGCACTGGCCATCCATCCTACTCAAAGGCCTGTCCTGCCAGGGAAGGACGCACATTCACCTGGCCCCAGGACTGCCTGGAGACCCCGGTATCATCAGTGGTCAGTGCCCTCCCCTCCACCTAGCTACTCCCACCCACTCTGTCCTCCCAGGTCCCCTTCAAAGGTTACAACACTTGTCTGGGGCCACCCCATGTCCGGCATGGAGCAGCACCCCTGCATCCCCCAGCCCAGGACCCCAGTCTGCCTAGGTTGCTGACTGCACTCCAGGTGCCCAGGCCTCAGCTCCAGCTGTCTCTGCAGGCATGCGGTCCCATTGTGAAATAGCTGTGTTCATCGATGGACCCCTGGCTCTGGCAGGTGAGTCTGGACAAAGCAGGAGCTGCCCTTGCCTTCGGGGAGGGCATGAGTCACATCTCTGGCTCTGTCAGCAGATGGAATACCCTTCTTCCGCTCTGCCAATGGGGTGATTCTGACTCCAGGGAATACTGATGGCTTCCTCCTTCCCAAGTACTTCAAGGAGGCCCTGCAGCTACGCCCTACCCGTGAGAACCACCACCCCAGCCCCTATTCCTTGTTCCTGAAAGCTGTGCCCTTCTGCCCTCACCTCTCTCCTAGCTTCCAACCCTAGACTGACTTAGGTGTCCCTTTCTCTAACCAACTCTTGTCTTTATCAGGAAAGCCCCTTTCCTTGGCTGGTGATGAAGAGACAGAGTGTCAGAGTAGCCCCAAGCACAGCTCCAGAGAAAGGAGGAGGATCCAACAATAAAATATTAATTTATAAAAAAGAAATTTTAAAAAGTAACAAGAAAGAACTCGTTTGAAACCATGTTTCATCATCCTGTAGCTACATCTGGTCTTCCTTGTGTGCTGGGGGACTGCAGATAGGTCAGGGGTATCAGCCTCAGCCACTCAGACAAGGAAAGGGGGCACCACATGAGCTCAGGGACCCCCACCCCCATCCCTGGCCTGGGTGATGGTACAGCGTCTGGCCCTGCCAGGTCCTTGGCCTGCACAAAGTCAGTGACAGCAGGTGAAATGCCCAGCTGGGTGCCTGCCTGGAGCGGGTGTGGGGCAGTGAGCCCCTGTGGGTGTGGGCTTGGGAGTGGCTGTGACAGGGTGGTGAGCAGGGCAGGGGCAATCAGACAGCCCTCAGAAGGCCTCATGGCCCCCGGTGAGCTGCAGGAAGAGGTCTTCATCCAGCTCCTCCCCACGGGCCCGCTCCCGCGTCGACAGGAAAATGTAGCCCCCGATATACTCGTGTACAATTCGGCAGCTGGCAGACACGCAGCTGAAGGCCACATTGATGTGTTCATCAAACTCGATGGCCACCTGAAGGGCAGACAGAGGGGCAAATGGTGGGTGGGATAAGGGAGCAGCCCCTGCCCCACCCTGGCTGGATCCAGCTCCGGCCTGCACCTGTCCCCCATCCATATACCCTGGGTCTGGGCCCACCTGCCGGATGTCCCAGTTGACATTCCACTGGCGCATGTTGCTGAAACGCCAGGTCTTGACCACGTCGCCCACGGCCAAGTCGATGCGGATCAGTCGGTTGTTGGCGATGCCCAGGATCTCGTCTTTCCTGCTGCCCTTGAACCTGGCCCCCAGGGAGAGAGAGTGAGCCAGGGCTCCACCCTGCATGGCCAGAGCCCGCCCAGACAATGTGGCGCCGTGCTGGAGAGCCAGCCCTTCCCGACTGCAGCTCACCAGCTGTGTAACCCTGAGCAAGCCATTTGGGTTCCCTGGGCCTCAAGTTCCTCATCTGGTAAATGGGGGTTAATTGATAAAATCCCCACAACAGCATTTAGCAGCATCGGGCAAACAGGCCAAGCCTTTAAATGGTAACTTTTTTTGGTTTTTGTTACCATCCTCATCAACTGCTGTCTCCCTCCCTTCTTTGCAGTCTTGGGAAACAACTAATCAAAGGGGCCCACTCCCCATAACAGCATCCACCGCTAGCCCTGTCTTGCGGACCGGCGAACCCAGGCCCAGACAGTGAACTGTCCACAGCAGAGCTGGAGCAAGAACTGGTTCTTCTGCTCTCCTGACCTGAAATCTCTTTTTTTTTTTTTTTTTTTTTTGAGACGGAGTGTCGCTTTGTTGCCAGGCTGGAGTACAGTGGCTCGATCTCGGCTCACTGCAACCTCCGCCTCCCGGGTTCAAGTGATTCTCCTGTCTCAGCCTCCCGAGTACATGGGATTACAGGTACGTGCCACCACTTGTGGCTGATTTTTGTGTTTTTAGTAGAGACGGGGTTTCACCATGTTGGTCAGGCTGGTCTCGAACTCCTGACCTCATGATCTGCCTGCCTTGGCCTCCCAAAGTGCTGGGATTACAGGCATGAGCCATCGCGCAGGCTCTTTTATTTATTTATTTATTTATTTATTTATTTATTTATTTATTTGAGACTGAGTCTCACTCGTTCGCACCCAGGCTGGAGTGCAGTGGCACAATCTCGGCTCACTGCAACCTCCACCTCCCGAGTTCAAGACATTCTCCTGCCTCAGCCTCCCGAGTAGCTGGGATTATAGGCGCCTGCCACCACACTCGGCTAATTTTTGTATTTTTAGTAGATACAGGGTTTCACCATGTTGGTCAGGC